>NC_000003.12:43343333-43646363 GCF_000001405.40 Homo sapiens | reverse complement strand
AAGTGTGCCCTTGGTCTACTCTCCCTCCTCCTCATCATCCCTGCTCAAAATAGGGAAGTGGAAAGAGTCCCCTCTTAGAAGCATGGGAATTAGAACTCCTCGAATCTTTTGTTTTCACATTGTATCAGAGTAAAACAACTAAAATTTACATACTAAAACAAGCTAATCTATAACTTTGAACATGACTCTGCAGAAAAATAAGAAACTTCCCACAGACGTTTTCCACTAGTCAACTAAGCTACTTAAAACAGGTAGAGGCCAGGCGCAGTGGCTCATGCCTGTAATCCCAACACTTTGGGAGACTGAGGCGGGTGGATTGCCTGAGTTTAGGAGTTTGAGACCAGCCTGGGCAACATGGCAAAACCCCTTTTTACCAAAAATACAAAAAATTAGCCAGGTGTGGTGGTGCGTGCCTGCAGTCCCAGTTACTCGGGAGGCTGAGGTAGGAGGATCGCTTGAGCTTGGGAGGTGGAGGCTGCAGTGAGCCCAGATCGTGTCACTGCACTCCAACCTGGGTGACAGACCCCATCTCAAAAAAATAAAAATAAAAAACACCAGGCAGAGATACTTAAATAACTTTGCCAGAGCCTTTGAAAAGCTAAGTGCAGAGCTATCAGAGTAAATAAATGTGCCCAGGAAATAGCTCTAGGGGCTTGACTGGGAGTAATGGGAGCAGGGTTATTTTTTATTTTATTTTAAGCAAACATAGCACAGCCTGCACATGCACATGTCCGACTTCAAAGCAATCACTTCAGAAAGAATACTAGCTTGAAATATTTTAGAAATGTTTTTAGTGGAATTGTCTTCAGAGGCAGAGAATATTCTCTTTAATATCCCTAGGAGGAGTTCAACCTTAAATTTTTTTTTTTTTTTTTTGAGACGGAGTCTCACTCTGTCGCCAGGCTGGAGTGCAGTGGCACGATCTCAGCTCACTACAACCTCTGCCTCCTGAGTTCAAGCGAGTCTCCTGCCTCAGTCTCCTGAGTAGCTGGGATTACAGGCACCTACTACCATGCCTAGCTAATTTTTGTATTTTTAGTAGAGGTGGGGTTTCACCATGTTGGCCAGGATGGTCTCAATCTCTTGACCTTGTGCTCCGCCCACCTCAGCCTCCCAAAGTGCTGGGATTTCAACCTTAAATCTTTGAGATGCGTTTGCTTTCTGAAGCCAACCACAAATTAGACCAGAGCCTTGCATAGTGAATAAGGAGGATAATCAAGATAAATAATGAATAATCAAGTTGAATCACTGAAGATCTCTAAATGAGATGTGGCCTCCTTGACTGTTTATTGGCTTTGTAAATTTTTAAATTTAGGATTGGTGGAGTACAGCCATATTGCCTACCTTTTTGACAGATGGATTGGTATGTATTTGTGATGTCGTTGGTATCAGCCAGGTTCTGGCAGGACACAGGCTGCACACTCAATGAACAAGAAGGCATACCTGAAAAGGGTTCAAGAGGGCCTCTTTACAGAGGTGCAGACAGGTTGAGGAAGCAACTGAGGGCAGTGAAACACCCAGGGTGCCAGCACCAATGGGAAGGTGTTACCGCCCAGGCCTGAAGGGCAAGTGGGAGGAAGGGCCTATCAGAAGTCAGCAAGAGCTGCAACCAGAAGGGTGGCTGACCCATTGAAGAGGTGGTTATGGAGAGCACACTGCAGCACCTGCCAAAGGGAATCCAGTTTCTCTTATCTTGTGCTCAGATCTCCTGGCAGTGTGACAGTCCCCCATCAGAGTAAACCCAATCAAAAGCCAGGGGCAAGGCTACTGAGTGATGTCATCCACAGAGGTGAGCCTTGTGGAGGAGAGCAGGCCAGGTAGGCCAGATCTTGGATCTGGAGAGGCCAGTGGAGGACAGCACAGACACACTGTGCGTGCATTGTTCCTCTCTGTTCCAGGGAGGGAGGGAGCAGTTCTACTCTATGGCAGAGTAACCAAGTCTACTCCTTGATCTCATTTCTCACCCTCCCACCCCCATGTTTGCTTCTTTGTCTCTGTGTGCTGCATTACAGCAAGTTAAAGTCTAAAACTAAATCAAGTTATTTCCTGAGGAAAAACTGGGCTTTTAAATACATAGTGTTGGGACAAATAGAAAGCCACCTGAAAAAGGATGGAGTGAATCTAAACCTCACACTAAAATAAATCCCAAATGGACCAGAGATCCAAATATACAATGTGCAATCAAGGAGGTTTGGCACAGGTGAATTACTTTATAACCTGGGGACACGGAAAGCCTTTTCAACATTCAGCAAAAACAAACAAACAAACAAACAAACAAAAAAATCAGGGAAAGATTGGTGAACTTTACTACCTAAAACAAACAAAATACAAGAAGCAAGGTCAAAAAACAAATGACAGACCAGGAGAGACCAATTTCAAGTTATCTCAGCGGTGGCTCACGCATGTAATCCCAGCACTTTGGGAGATCAAGGCGGGCGGATCATGAGGTTAGGAGATTGAGACCATCCTGGCTAACACAGTGAAACCCCGTCTCTACTAAAAATACAAAAAAATTAGCTGGGCGTGGTGGCGGGTGCCTGTAGTCCGAGCTACTCAGGAGGCTGAGGCAGGAGAATGGTGTGAACCCAGGAGGCAGAGCTTGCAGTGAGCCGAGATTGCGCCACTGCACTCCAGCCTAGGCGACAGAGCGAGACTCCATCTAAAAAAAAAAAAAAAAAAAGAAAAGATGAGGACAAGTACATGAAAAGCTTTTAACAATGGATAAGCTCCAAAATTGCATAAAAATATGGGCAAAAGTCATGAAAAGAGAGAAATGTGAGAACAGAGCGAAAAGAAATGCAAGTCACTCCCTACACATATGAAATGACGCCCAATTTCCCTTACAATAAGAGAAATGCAAATTAGAATTCTTCTGGATCCAAACATTTTATAACATACTCTACTGAGAGTGGAAATGCAAAATGGAACAAACCCTATGGATGGGGATTTGGCAAAATTGAGCAAAATTACATATGTGCTAACCTTTCACCCAGCAATCTCGTTTCTAGGAATCTACCTTGAAAATACATCTCAGGCAGGGCGCGGTGGCTCAACCCTGTAATCCCAGCACTTTGGGAGGCCGAGGCGGGTGGATCATGACGTCAGGAGATCGAGACCACCCTGGCTAACACGGTGAAACCCCGTCTCTACTAAAAATACAAAAAATTAGCCGGGCGTCGTGGCGGGTGCCTGTAGTCCCAGCTACTCGGGAGGCTGAGTTAGGAGAATGGCGTGAACCCGGGAGGCGGAGCTTGCAGTGAGCCGAGATTGCGCCACTGCACTCCAGCCTGGGCAACAGAGCAAGACTCCGTCTCAAAAAAAAAAAAAGAAAAAAGAAAAGAAAATACATCTCTACAAATAATCAGTAACATTTGCACAAGGTTATGTAACACAACATTGTTTGCAGTAGCAAAAGATTAGAAATAATCTAAACATCCACCAACAAGAGAGGCTGTAAATAAACTGCAGTACATACATGAATTGGCGACCAGGCATCATAAAACACAGAAAAAAAAAAATGTCTGTGAATTGAAACAATCTCCAGAATATATTTTTAGATTTAAAAAGTTAGTATAGTATGCTATATTTTGTGTGTAAGGGGGAAAAAGGAGGAATAAGAATATATTTAGGTATTCGCCTATATTTGCAAAAAGAAGCAATAAAAATAATTACCTATAGGAGGTGGGGGGAATGAAGTGAAGGGAGAGGGTTAGGAGTGAAACTTCTGTGGGTTTGGTTACCTTTTCGTGTATTTTTTAACTTTGGGACCACATAAATGTTTTATATATTTAAAAAATTCAAATAAAAAAGACAAAAGTAAAATCCTAAAATGGAAAACAATTGGGACCAATGAGCTTAACTTTATTTCAAATGTGGCAACCACAGCTATACAAAGAACAGAATTATTTCAGTACTTTAATTATACACTCATAATGGATTTGATCTAAGGATAAATGAATAGAAGGAAATCTTAAATTTCAGTCAGTAATTTATTATTTATATAGTATTATAATTCTGAACTAGGAGAAAACAAGTGTACAATTCTGAATTAGGAGGAAAGAAACACTATATTATTACAAACCAAAACTTTCAGTGTAACAGAAAAGAGAGGCAAAAACAACTATTAAGTCAAAGAACTTAAAATAAAACACTGTAAGGTTAAATTTGCATTGAGAAATTCACATTAAATAACCTTTTAAAAGTGTATTTGTCATTCCTGGATCTGTTCACTGAAAGGGCTTTGAAGCAATGATACCCTTGTGTCAATTAACATACCTTGCCCCTTGATCTTGGCATCGAAATATCATTTCTCACCAGTAAGGAGAATGTCCTTATTAGGAAATGCATGTTGAAATATTTAGCAATGAAATGGCATGAGTCTACAGTTTATTTTCAAATGGCTCAGCTGTGTGTGTGTATCTGTGTATGTCTGTATGTGGGTGGGTGGGTAGGTGGTAAGGATCTAATTATTACACCAAGCAATCCCTTTTCCTGCACCTGGCATAACCTCCTGTAGAATGAGCTCAAGCTTCCCACACTCGCTTGATGACATGGCCTCCATTCTGAAGATGAAACAAAACTTGGAGGAGCACTCATGTAAAGATCTAAATTACTAAAATGCCTGTGCCTGAGACTCAGAGATCCTAAAAATAGACAGTGCCATGTGTGCTCTAATTTTCTGCTTAAAGTGACTTAAATCCTTTCAATTCAGACATTTTCAATAGAATATATGGTACTTCAACCTTATAAGTCAAATGCATTTGTTGAAATAACATTTCTCAGTAGTTTTTTCAGTTTCCGTGGCTGCAATGGGTGGAGAACTTTCATTAGCAGTTATTGGCTTTGGTGTGGCAATGGATGTTGCACAAAGGCCTTTGCTTGGGAGTTGGGAAACACAGGTTCTCATTGGGCTCTATAACTAACTTGCTATGTAGCTTTGTATAAGTCATATCACCTTTTGGGATCTTGGTCTTTCAACTGCCGAATATAGGTATTGGATTTTTCTTCTACTGTAAACAGTGATTTGGAATTTTCTCCAAGTAGAGTGATATGTCTACCATAACAGGGGTAACAAGAAAGAAACAAGAGTGAGAGTTTATTACAGCATGAAGTGGCACCAGGAATAGGAAAGGAACCCCCAATCCAGATAATTTTTTGATATCAATCTTGTGTCAAATTCTTTAAACATATGACAATGAATAAGAGCAACAAATGAATCCTCAACTATAAGAACAATATTTTGGTATATAATTTTATGTATAATTATCCTTAGTTCCAATAATTATTTTCTTTTTCTATCTAGAAGGAAAAGGATGGATTCTGAGTGGTTCCAGCTAGCCATAGCTCCCTATAGCTGCAATTCATGTGGCAGCCTGCGTGTATGCTAGCGTTGGCTGAGGATTTTTAATGCACTTCAGATTTTGGTTTAATATGCTTGCAAATAACTTACCATGGAAGTCCCCTTGAAACACATTAAATTCTCTGTTTACTCGCATGACTGGGGAATTAGACAATCAACCATGACAATCTATCAAAAGTATTAGAATACAAAAAGCACTAAGCATGAAATCTTATTGAAAACCATTTCATTCTCTTAATTATTCATTAGGTTCCTCAGACTCTGAGAGACCTTCAAGGTCATTATTATGAATATTAATTATCACTGTAATGTGGCAATGGAAAAATGCATTTTAAAAGAGTTCTGTTCAGTAGAATACTGCTAGTAAAAGAATTCACCATTTTATTTGGGAGTGTGTGCTCTTCTGCTTTTTTGCTACATGGTGAGAAAATAGGAACATTAGAAATGAAACTTCCAGAATCTTTTTAGTGCATGGGATGGGTTCCAGTTTGCATGATTCCTGTGCAAAGGCCTGGGAGGAAGGAGTACCTGCTGACTGGGGTCAGGGAGGAGTGGAATGAAGTAGTGCCAGGCAAAGATGGCAAGTTCTCCACTGGCCAGGGTTGATGCTTTGCCCTGCTAGCCAGTTGTTTTTAAAAAAATTCAGCCAATATCCACCAGATGCCTTCTCTTCACCATGCTTTTTGTTGGTTTAGAAACAACAGAATGGACTTGGTTGAGTGGTGCAGCTTCAAGTAAACTCTTTCCACATTATAAGCTGGGGGTATATTTTTTAACCTTTTCTTCCCTGTTCCCTCAAAGCACACAACCAGCAATGAGAGGTCTTGTGAAATTGAAACCCATTAAATATAAAGACATCTAATGACTGATGTGTTTAAATATCAATCCTTCAAGTAAAGCTTTGTAGAGTGGTTCATTTTGGAATGATTGTCCAGAACACTGTTTTCAGACCTACTCTGTGTCCTCTTCCTTTACCACCCCACTTTCACCCTAACATACATCTTCTGCAACCCCGACTCTCAGGACTAGGCTTGCTTAGGCTAGCGACACTCCAGTGAGTTCAGCTGGTTGTGCTAAGACAAAATAATGCTGGAGACATTCTCTGAATGAACTGGGGTGCCATCCAAACAGGCTCATATCTGAAAGTATACTATTGTGCCAGGTCCTACTTTCTAAAAAGGCAGAATTGTCTACATTTTCTTTTTCTTTCTTTCTTTTTTTTTTTTTTCTGAGATGGAGTCTTACTCTGTCGCCAGGCTGGAGTGCTGTGGTGCGATCTCAGCTCACTGCAACCTCCGACTCCCTGGTTCAAGGGATTCTCCTGCCTCAGCCTCCTGAGTAGCTGGGATTACAGAGCTGGGATTACAGGCATGCACCACCACGCCCAGCTAATTTTTGTATTTTAGTAGAGACGGAGTTTCACTATGTTGGCCAGGATGGTCTCAATCTCCTGACCTCGTGATCCGCCCACCTCGGCCTCCCAGAGTGCTGGGATTACAGGCGTGAGCCACTGCACCCAGCCAGAATTGTCTGTATTTTCATCACAAATTGATTCTTCAACTTATTTTAGTTGTGTGGCATTTGGATCTATGTCTTAAACATTAGTGCTAGAAATGCACTGTAAACACCTAGCAAGGGTGTGGACGGGAGCCCTCTAGATCTAGTGAGGGCAAACTGGCTGAGTCATCTGATCTCTGGGCTGGCTGCACTGCGATGACTTAAAATGTGAAATTCTTTGACGCCCCTTTCAAAAGATGAAGGCTAATTCCTCTCCCCTGGAATGTGGGCTGGACCTAGTGATGTGCTTCTAACAACTAGAACAACACAGAAATGATGGTGTGTGACTTTGGAGAGTAGGTGATTCCCAGGTATTACAGCTTCCTGCTTGCTCGCTCTCTCTCTCTGAGCCCTCCCTCTGCAGGAAGCCCATGCCATGTCCTGAGGACGGGTGAGCAGCCTGGTGGAGAGATCTATCTGGTGGGGAACTGAGACTGCCTGCAGTCATGTGAGGGAGCCACCTTAGAGGCAGACCCTCCAGCCTGAGTCAAGCCTTCAGATGACTGCAGGTGACATCTTGACCACAACCTCAGGATCAATTCTGAGCCAGAACCACTCAGCTAAGCCACTCCCACATTCCTGTCAGAAACTGAGTGACATAATGACTCTGTGGTTTTTAGGCTGCTATATCTGGGAGCAATATGTTCAACAGGAGTGGTACCTACCTTGAGTATTAATAATTGTTGAGAGTCACCTTTCTCACCCCTTCACTTGATGGCGCTGTGGTGCAACTGCAAACTCCTGTGGCAACGACTTGTCTCGCTGTACAGCAGGTGTGTAACTTCCTACCCAGTGAGTGCTGGGAATCAGGCCCTTGACCACCGTTTCACAAACCTCTAGCTGCTCTCTGGCTACTTGTGAGTTAAAGTATTTTTACCCTTTAAAAAATACTTACTAAACATTTCATTTTTCACAAATAGGTAGAAAAAAGATTTGTCACAATATCCCATCTATATCCCATTGAGCAGACTGAATAGCCAACATTATATGCATTTATTGCTTGATTCTGAAGACTAAAAATCCCAGTGAAATGACACATGCTTTAATAGGGGTAATTATAATACAAAATTTCCAATTTGTATTATTTTTATTAACACCATAAAAACATCTCAAAAAAGCTTCTCTTCTTAACTTTTTGTAAATTGTGATCAAGAGGATTAATATAAATTGCATAATTTCAACAAAAATATCTATTTCTTACTTGTGAAAATTATTCATCTCTTCAATTGTAATGCAAGTTCGAAGGTTATCCTTACAAATGAGCAGTTTATAGCCTGGTTAGTCAATGACCATTTATACATTTCTGTCTGGAGAAGGCAGATTTTCAGGAGGAATAATGTAGAGTTTAGGTTTTCACAAGATGATCTCATTAAGAATTTTTAACTTATAGTTCAATTAAACGACGTATCTCAATTTAATCTGCTTGTATTTGAAGATAAATATGCACATTTCCTTTATGCTTTATGAAGGAAACAATTTTTAAAACTCGATGGAATTCTGCTTTGGATATTTTTATGATTACTCATTCATTGCTGCCCATTATATTCTTATACTGTATTCAGAACAGGTAGTAAATCCCACTAGTTCTAAAAGGGAAAATGACAACTTTCTGATTTATCCTCCAACAATGGTTACTTTTTGCCTCATAATTTGTTTTCTTTAAGACAAAAGATAAAAAGCAAGATTTGAGAGAGGTTCCTGGATCAACTGGCTCAATCTGCTTAGTTCTACAAAGTGGAGTTTCTGGGCATCATTCTTCATTTCTGTACACAAAGTGCTGTGAAGCTCAAGAAGAAATAGCTCTGCACAGGAACGATGTGCACTGCCCTACTGCTTCTTTATCTAGTAGGTGAAAAAAAAAAATGCCCTGACGCTGTCTCTTGGGCTGTTTTATTCTTCTTCTAAATTTTGGTCCTAATTCTCCGTGATGCTATTGTTTTTAATTGGGGCGTTTGTTTGTTTGTTTGTTTGTTTGTTTTGAGATGGAGTCTCGCTCTGTTGCCCAGGCTGGAGTGCAGTGGCGCCATCTCGGCTCATTTGCAGCCTCCGCTTCCCAGGTTCAAGTGATCCTCTTGCCTCAATCTCCCGAGTGGCTGGGATTACAGGCATGCGCCCCCAAGCCCAGCTAATTTTTGTATTTTTAGTAGAGACCGGGTTTCACCATGTTGGCCAGGCTGGTCTTGAACTCCTGACCTCAGGTGATCTGCCCACCTTGGCCTCCCAAAGTGCTGGAATTACAGGTGTGAGCCACCGCACCCAGCTTTTTGTTTGTTTTTTTGAGACAGGGTCTCACTCTGTCACCCAGGCTGGAGTGCAGTGGTGCAAACACAGCTCACTTCAGCTTCCACCTCCCAGGCTCAATTGATCCTCCCACCACAGCCTTCCTGCTAGCGGGGACTGCAGGCATGCACCACCACGTCTGCCTGGCTAACTTTTATTTATTTATTTGTGGAGACAGAGTCTCATCATTTTGCCCAGGCTGGTTTTGAATTCCAGGGCTCAAGGATCCACTCGCCTTGGCCTCCCAAAGTGCTGGGATTATAGGCCTGAGCCACTGCACCAGGCTAAATGGGGCCTTTTTAGTGGTGACAGAGACCAGGTGTTTTTCAGTTTTTGAGACTCCCAATATATTTTAAAAAATAAAGAAATATCAATTCAGGTTTACAACAAATTTAAATGCTAGATACTTTCAACATCCACATTTAACAAAGAACGTCTATTAAACACAAAAATATATGACAATATATTGTACAAATTACAAGATAAAGGATTTGTGAGAAATATTAAATTCATTGTGTATAATTATTACTACTGTGGTCTGTTAATGAGACACAAGTTTAAAGTTGTTTTGAAGGATGTCTTCTTTCAATCCTCTCTGTATAGCTCTGTAACTACTTCTGTACCCTCAGAGATGGTGTTTCAACTTAAAACTTGTGAATGTGAAATATGAGCCAAAAGACTCTCTCGGCCCTGAAATGACCTTTGTAGCAGATGCTGCCAGAGGCCCCCTGTTATCCTCCCTGGACTCTCCAGCTAACCTGATGTCAACTGCCAGTGTGTGCATCTCCTTACCTGAGGGCTGTTCTGGTGGCAGGAGTCCTTGCTACTCACAGAAATGGCCACCAGAAGTGCCAGAAAAATTAACCTCCCTTGGCCAGCAGTCCTCAACCAGCTCCCTCACTGACACTGATGTGCAGGTGTCTCCTATGCTGGTTGCTGGAGTCAACCACAGCAGCAGCCTTCTTGACAACATACCCTTCACTGGCTGCCTTCCTTTCCATCTCTCTTCTTCACTCCCCTACCTATGTCTCCTAGGCTCTCCCTTCAAATAAACAGCTTGCACTTGAATCTTTGTTTCAGGGTCTGCTTCCGGGGAAACCTACACTAGGACAACTCTGTTTTTTGGGTTTTTTTTGTTTTTTTTTGTTTTTTTTACTTGTTTGTTAAGGATTCACCATATAAGAATTCACCATATAAAAATGCTAACGTCTGACACATTGGACCACTCAAAGAGAAGATATCAGAGCTGGGCCGGGCATGGTGGCTACGCCTGTAATCCCAGCACTTTGGGAGGCCTAGGCGGGTGGATCATGAGGTCAGGCTATCGAGACCATCCTGGCCAACAAGGTGAAACCCCATCTTTACTAAAATACAAAAAAATTAGCTGGGCATGGTGGGTGCGCGTCTGTAGTCCCAGCTACTTGGGAGGCTAAGGCAGGAGAATTGCTTGAACCCAGAAGGCGGAGGTTGCAGTGAGCCAAGATCTCACCACTGCACTCCAGTCTGGTAAAAGAGCGAGACTCCGTCTCAGAAAAAAAAAAAAAAAAGATCAGAGCTTACCAGATTATACGAACTAAAGAAACCAAAACTATAATGTCAGATTAAGTCAAAGACCTTTAAAACATTACCATTGTCTATTTCATCACATAGATAAAGGACTATATTTACTTTATAAAAGTCACAATTCATCTTCAGCCATGAACTTGTGTTTACTAGAGAATACTTGAATAGCAGTCAGTGTAACATCTATAGGTTATATGGCCAGATGGAGGGATTTTTGTTTAAGTCTAGGATACATGAACGAGGACTTGAAGTGTTGTTCATGGTGACCCAGAGTTCAGACGATTAGCATTTGACATCACAGAGGGTTCTGGTACTCAAATTTAGCTCTGAATGTTTTGCAGTCTGTGCTTGAAGAGATGGATTCCGGCTATGAGTGTCCTAAATGATGTGTAGGCTGTTACATGTGGGCTCAGTATCCTTGTTCTTTTGCATTAGGACCAAAGAAGATCATGCTGCTGCACATATTCCCAAGAAAGACATAACTGGCAGTAACATTGCATTTGAGGCCCTTTTGCATCAATGACCCCTCCCTCCCTCCTTTCCTCATCATCCTTCTGCCCCAGCTCCATGGACTTCTCCTTGTGTCCTTAGTCCACACCATGCTTTCCTGCCTCTATACATCTGCTCATGTCTTCCTTCTTCCTGGAATGCCTGACTATTCCACTTCCCACCTGCTGCCTAATTCACACATGCCACAGGACCACATCTCCTTTCATCAGACCAGCTCACATACCACATCTGCCATCAATCCTCTCACGAGGCCCTCTAGCTTCAAGTAGTTTATCCCTCCTCTGATTGCCTGTGCTAATCATTCTTTATCTTATATTTATGTGTGTAGATGCCTTACTCCCCAACACAGGTGTGAGCTCAGTGAGGGCAAGGATCATGATATACCTATCCTTAAGTCTTCCAGGATGGTCACCAGATGGGAATAAATGAAGAAATGCAAGAATTCCGAAAGGCACTGGATGAAACTTAAGTGCTTCTTGTTTTAGATTTTGCACCTGCCTTAATATTAATTGCTTCTAGAGGGTGGAGATATGTGTAGGACAAGAATTTCAGGTAGGGGGAAGACATGAGTATACATACACATACCACCACCCCAACAATCTATATCATATGTAACATTTATATATAAGTAGTATATATATCCAGGACATTTAAAATAAGCTTGTTTACTCTGGGGAGAAAGACTGGGTGGTTGGGAGACGGGGAAAGACACCTACTTTTCACTGCCTACACTCTTAATAGTCTTTTATTTTTATACTAAGTGCTTGTATTATACCTATCTTATTTTTTTTAATTATTAAAAGACATGTAAAAAGGAAATCTAGCAATCGTTCTCTTACTAAGTTGTGTAACTCTGAAGTTCAGTTACCTGTGTAGGCTGTAGAGTATACTTCTGCTGGGAAAACTCATGAGTTGTGATGGTGGCAAGGCTACTCCTAATTGTTGGGAGATAATTCTGCATGGGTCTTTTGTGTGTCTGCCCATCTTCTGAGTAAAGGCACTGACATCCTTTGTTTCAAATTATTAAATATCTTTTGGAAGATGTTTGTGTAGCAGACGGTCTTGAAGATAGTGGCAGATTTTTTTTTTTTTTTTTTTTGCTGTCCATGATAAGAAAGATAATGTTTCCCTCAGGTTGAGCAGGTTTGCTAACAGTCCCTTGAAAAGACCAGGGTTAAAAGTCTGAGTTTTTTTTTTTTTAGCTACGATGCAAATTTATTGATTGTGTAGAATCCACCCAGGCTCTTCCACATGTTCCCATGGGACTTGAGGAGTAAGGAGAACTGACACAAATATGAAGCCCATGCTGACTGCTACACAACGAGTAATAATGTCCTTTGTCTCTGACCCAGGAGTCTTGTGTCTTCTGTCAACAACCATGAAACTGTGACAGGCTAACTTATTATTAGCTCATACATGTGGTAAAATTTCAACCCCTTTGTAGTTCTTGACACTCATGATTCAGAATCTGATAGTTAAAATATCTATATTCATCAAAATCTAAATTTAGAATGAACAGTTCTCCTCAGGTGAGTAATTTCATAGAGGAATTCTATTACTTCAATGGCTTTATTCTAGGAATGTATTACATACACAGAAGACACAGAAAAGACCCATTAGCCATTTAGCCTCTTCCCTGCTAAGACAAGGAACTGAAATGGCACTGTGAGCCAAATAGTGTCTTTGATTATTTGGCAGATGTCAAATGGTCATTATGTTGTAGGTTTCCAGTAAAAACACAGTGGAAATAAAACAACATTTTCCCCAAGATATTCAAAATATGTATGTGGTATTTCATCTACTCTAACTTGTATTCAACACTACAGGGAGGATGGAAACAGTTTATATATTATATTGATGCAAAAGTTATTGTGGTTTTTACCATTACTCTCAATGGCAAAAACCGCAATAACTTTTGCACCAACCTAATATTTCTTTCCGGGGGGACGAGATAGGTCTTTTAATACGTGAAAATAAATTTACGTTTTTTATTTCAAAATAGAAAACATCAAAAATGTCTTCAGCAAAAATGTAAAGTTCTTTTTCTCTTCATTTTATTTCTACTTGATATGTTGAGGCATTTTAAACGTGATGCGAAATACCTGACTATAATTGATTTGATCTAAAGGTTGCTGTTATATTTAAATAGAATTTTTTATAATCAGAATATTAATTCTATTTACCACCACTGCTCTTTGTATAGACTTTTTATTCATTGCCTACTAGAAGCTAAATGTTCACATCTAAACTATTTTCATTATGTCATATCTGCCTTATGAAGGCTGTCCAAACATGAAAAATCAAATCGTGAATTACCTCCATTAAAATCTGAGTCATGTTGGGAAGAGTTTAGGATGGCAGTCAAGTCTATTATAGAAACTGTGTAGTGCTGCATGGAGATGCTGGAATATATTTAGGGCAGCAAAACATGTCCAATGCATCAGTCACAGTCCTGGCAGGAAACAGATGGCATACTCCAATTTGGTAATTTGAGTGGAGTTTTAAAAAGAGACTATTCACAAATGTGTGAGCAAAGTTTAGGGAAACCATGAGGGATGGTGGTGCACCCTGAAGCTAGTAATAATTGAGTCATTACCGTTCTAGGCCTGAAGGGCAAGGAGCGGAAGCAGTTACTCCACTATATGGAAAGGGCTGCCTGACTAGAGCTATGGCCTTCCACTGAGGGACATGGCCAGCTTGCCATGACTCAGCACAGAGGTAGCCAAGGAACAAATACTCTGACCTCACTCTCTTACCTCTCTCTAGTCTCCTGCCAGTGCTCCCATTAACTGAACCCAATCAGGAACCAGAAGACAAGGAAGCCTACTGACACATCCATAGAGGCCAGCCTCCTAGGGCACAGAGGAGGGTGGAGAAGGGTAGAGGGTAGATGTGGACAAACAGAAAATAACCAGCACCGTCAATTTAATTCAAAACAATTTTCTTAAGTACTGAACTCTGTATCATATTCTGAAGGAGATAATTACAATTTTGTAACTTACTTTCTTTTTTTTTTTTTTTTGAGACAGAGTCTCACTCTGTCACCGAGGCTGCACTGCAGTGGCATCGTGTTGGCTCACTGCAACCTCTGTCTCCTGGGTTCAAGCAATTCTCCTGCCTCAGCCTCCCAAGTAGCTGGGATTATAGGCGCCCACCACCACGCTCTATATTTTTAGTAGAGACGGGGTTTCACCATGTTGGCCAGTCTGGTCTTGAACTCCTGACCTCAGGTGATCCACCCGCCTTGGCCTCCCAAAGTGCTGGGATTACAGGTGTGAGCCACTGTACCCAGCCTGTAACTTTCTTTTTTTTTCTTTTCTTTCTTCTTTTTTTTTTTTTATAAGCACTTTCTTTTGCCATAGAAAATAATGGGTTCTCTACATTCATTGAGGTAAGTTGGGTGTGTTATGTAGAATCATGGAATTTCCAAGCTGAAGGGGACCCAGAGGTTATCTAGTGGGTCCCTCTCATACAATGAGAATATTTTTAAACAAATCTCAGAAAGAAAAAAAAAGCACTATGTTTATGCCAAGTCTGAAGACCTTTTAGTAGCTGGAACACCTAACTTGGCTTTTGCTAATAGTAAAACCCTAATTTATAGAAAATCAGTTGGCAACTCTGGTTTGAGAAGGGTGGATACTATAAGCATTCCTCCTTTCTCTTAGAAACCACTCAGCAGTAATAAGGCCAACTGAGGAACAGAAATGAAAACCCCACCTTTGCAAAACAAGGAGATATCTCAAACTCAAAACCATACAAAATGTGGGAGTGGTATCAAGGCAGTGAGGGTTAGTAGAAAAGCTGGAGAAGGGGTTGCAGATCTCAAATGAGGCTGGTGCACACTACAAATTAAAGGGCTTGTGGGAGAAGGTCACAAAGCCAGATCCTAACCAGAAGAGCAACATGTGGAGGACAGAACTGAATGAAGATGCAGACAATTCATTTATTTGCAGGAAGCAGTCTGCCAGTAAACATGGAGAGAAGACCGCACTGACAGCAGCCTTCCAGCTGCCTAGTTTTTGGCTTGGGAGAAGTAAAGACTAAAACAATTCACTCACTCAGTCTTGAACCATCAGTCAAACTCCTTCCAGCCAGGAAACTGGGCTCTACTAACATATACCTCTTGCAGGTAGCTCACGTGAGGGAAAGTGAGACAACCGATCAAACACGAGCTGGTAGCACTTCAAAAAGAAGTGAAAGGGGAAAAAAAAGGCATCAAAGAAATAAAGAAAAAACTGGAAGCAGTCCATGAAAGAACAGACACTAAAGAACACTCAGCAAGAGATGTGAAGAGCAGGAACAAAAACAATGTGCAAAATAGAGTTTAAAAGAATTAGACAGAATAAGTTACAATTTTAAATATGGAGGTCACAATAGGATTCATTGAGAAAATAACGTTTTGAGCAGTCTTAGGGAAATGAATGAGTTACTTGTGCTCTGGGGGACAGTATTCCAGGCAGAGGTAACAACCACTGCCAAGGCTCCAAAGCAGGGGCATCTGGGTGCATTTGAGGGGCAGCAATGTTACTTGGGGCATATATACTCATAGGAGGTTATGTCATTGTGAAGTCTGCACCTTAACATTCTAAACTCCCCTTCTCTCTTTTGTTTAATAGGCTTTTTTTTCCCTCTGAATTTAACTTTATCAGAATCTTGGCTTTATTGGTGTTTATATTTGCCTGGTGTGTCTTTGCCCATCTTTTATTTTAAAACTTTTTGAATCAATTTGTTTTAGGTGTGTCTCTCATGTAGAGTACAGAGCTGAGTTTTAATTCATCCAGTTTCAATATCTTTATTCACAAATGATTTTAGTATTTAGATTTTAGTTTTAGTATTTAGATTTAGTATTTAGATTTTAGATTTATAATAATTGATAGGACAAATATGTTCATCCTAGTGCTGTCATTTTATTTTTTCAGTTCTTATCTTACTTGATCTAGCATCAACATATGGCAGAACTCCTCTTTAATTCAGATTGTTTGTTTGCTTCTGAGACACTGCCCTTCCCCATTCTCTGGGTTTACCTTGCATCTCATTGGCCAGTCTTTCCCAAGTTCCTTTGCTATTTTCTCTTCTCTCAACTTCTTACTATTGGAGTTAATGATTGAGGCTCTGTCCTTGGTCCTCTTCCCTTCTATAACTGCACTCACAACTCTGGTGAGTTCATCCAGTCTCATAGCATCAAATATCATTTTCTGTTGATAACTTGCAAATTCTTATCTCTAGCTTTGGCATCTCTCCTGAATGTCAGAGGCCTATTTACTGACTCAGATTTCCAAAAGGCATCTCAAACCCAAGAATATCCATCGCAGGGCTCCTGAATTTCTCCCAAATCTGATTTTCCTATAGTTTTCCCTACCTCAGTTATCAATTGACTCCTCTTTCTCTCATACTTTACATCTCATATGTCATCAATTCCTGAAACTTCTACCTTCAAAATATTTCTAAAATCCAACTACTTCTCATCAGTTCCACTGCTACCACCCTGGTACAATCAATCCATCTCTTGTCTCAAAGATTGCAACAGCCAGCTTCCATCCTTGTGTCTCTGCTGTGTATCTCAACACAGAAGCCTGAGTGATTCTGTTAATATTTAATTCTGAATAATGTCTCTCATCTGCTCAGAATTCCCCAGTGACTCATTTCTCTTAGAATAAAGGCTAAATAAGGAAACCTATTAACAAAACTCACAATTACTAAGAAAAACAAATCACATGACTATCTTCATAGATGATGAAAAGGCATGTAATAAAATCCAGCATTCATCCTAATAGGTAAAGAATTTCAACAAAATAAGAATTGATCAATTCTTACTTAATTATAAAATATGTTTATCTCAAATCCAAAGTCAATCTCCTCCTTATCGGGGAACCTGCCCCGATAGTCACATAGGTTCTTTTCTATTTTCCCTAAGCATTGGCTGGTTTGAGAAATAAAGGGACAGAGTACAAAAGAGAGAAATTTTAAAGCTGGGTGTCCGGGGGAGACATCACATGTTGGTAGGTTCCGTGATGCCCCACAAGCCGCAAAACCAGCAAGTTTTTATTAGGGACTTTCAAAAGGGGAGGGAGTGTGCGAATAGGTGTGGGTCACAGAGATCACGTACTTCACAAGGTAATAGAATATGACAAGGCAAAATGGAGGCAGGGCGAGATCACAGGACCACAGGACTGGGGCGAAATTAAAATTGCTAATGAAGTTTCGGGCACCATTGTCATTGATAACATCTTATCAGGAGACAGGGTTTTGAGAGCAACCGGTCTGACCAAAATTTATTAGGTGGGAATTTCCTCTTCCAAATGAGCCTGGGAGCGCTATGGGAGACTGGGGTCTATTTCACCCCTACAGCCTTGACCATAGAAGACGGCCACACCCGGGGGGGCCATCTATAGACCTACCCCTAAGTGCATATTCTCTTTCCCAGGGATGTTTCTTGCTGAGAAAAAGAATTCAGGGATATTTCTTCCATTTGCTTTTGAAAGAAGAGAAATATGTCTCTGTTCCGCCCGGCTCACCAGCAGTCAGAGTTTAAGGTTATCTCTCTTGTTTCCTAAACATTGCTGTTATCCTGTTCTTTTTTCAAGGTGCCCAGATTTCATATTGTTTAAACACATATGCTCTACAATTTGTGCAGTTAAGGCAATTATCACAGGGTCCTGAGGCGACATACATCCTCCTCGGCTGACAGGATTAAGAAATTAAAGTAAAGACAGGCATAGGAAATCACAAGGGTATTGACTGGGGAAGTGATAAGTGTCCATGAAATCTTCACAATTTATGTTTACAGATTGCAGTAAAGACAGGCATAAGAAATTATAAAAGTATTAATTTGGGGAACTAATAAATGTCCATGAAATCTTCACAATCCATGTTCTTCTGCCATGGCTTCAGTCGGTCCCTCCGTTTGGGGTCCCTGACTTCCCGCAACACCTCCTTGCTGAGTAAACACCAAAAACATATTCTTAATACCAGAAACAAGACAAGAAAGGAGGAAAAATAATTATTATCTTTATATTATATGACTGTAAACTTGGAAATCCTAAAAGAACCAACTACTATGCACACCTGTAGTCCCAGCTACTCAGGAGGCTGAGGCAGGAGAATCGCCTGTATCTGGGAGACGGAGATTGTGGTAAGCCTAGATAGCGCCACTGCACTCCAGCCTGGTGACAGAGCAACACTCTGTCACATAAACAAACAAACAAACAAAAAACCCAACTACTATAAACTATGAGATTTTATTCTGAGTATAATATTAATATACCAAAATTAATGATATATATATATATGTGCAGCAACTAATCAGAAGATATAATGGAAGAAACAACAGTTTCTTTAGCAATTAGAAAGATAAATTGCCTAGAAATAAACTCTATAAGAAACGAGCAAGATTTATGTAAAGAGGTATTAGAGGTCGGAGTCCTAAAAACAACTTCAGGCTCTCCAGTTAGATGCACTATCTTGGTATCAGGCAGGTGGAGGTTAGGAAACCATCCTCCTGTGGCTTTGGACACCTCCCCTGAATAGGAAGGTTGTGGCTTCTTTGTCACAAGTTTCAGTCCTTATTCTTCAGCTTCCTGGGTGTTAAGAAGCAGTAGTGACTGTGGCAGCTTCTTGATCAAACTCAGAAATCCCTAGATCACAGATTAAGGTGTCCACATTCAGGCCATGGCCTTGGTGCCAGGCCTAGCCTGGCTCCAGTGGCCTCAGACCCAGCAGCTTCCTTGGTAGACTGGCCCAGTAGAGTTGTTCACTCCAAGATGTCCAGCCCAGAGCTGTTTCTCCAGGCCTTCCACCGATTTGGTAAGAACTTAGTTCTCTTTATTAAATATCTTCCTGTGTAAAATACACACAGTGATTTCTGTTTTCTGTACTGAAATTTGACTGACAAGTTTGGTATTGGAAGTGGTTGCAGAAATCAAACCCTGAAACTGGGAATCTGGTACTGGCTGGGTTTGAAGACAATGGTGGATGGTGGCCTTGTCACTTAGTGGAAAATGGGATGCTATGAATCTAAGCATACAGAAGAAAAATTATGTAAATTATCACCTTGGATGAACAGTGAAAGTACATGGTCACCTTGGATGAACAATTTACTGACAGTGAGTCTTCAATGGCTGCTATTGTAGGTGGTTATGAAGGGAATGAGAAATACAGGAACTGCTGGGTGGGTGGGTGGGTTGACTTTTCTGATTGTATTGTAGAGTTTAAAGAGAGAGAATGAAGTATTATGAAGATTCAAAAATTAAAATCTTATGATTCTGGTACAGAGATAAACCAACAGATTAATAAGACAGAATAGAAAGTTCATAAATAGGGAAGGAAATTTAGTATATGATAATGGTGGCATTTAAAATCAGTAGGGGAAATACGGATTATTAATGAAATGGGGTTGGAAAAATGTGTAGCTATCAAGATATAAAGTTGGATCCACTCCATTTACCTCAAATCAAAATAAATTCCTGATTGGTCAAATTTTAAAAGTAAAGAACATGGCTGGGCATGGTGGCTCATGCCTGTAATCCCAGCACTTTGGGAGGCCAAGGTGGGCAGATCACTTGAGGTCAGGAGTTCAAAAGCAGCCTGGCCAACATGGTGAAACACAGTCTCTACTAAAAAAATACAAAAATTAGCCGGGTGTGGTGGCACATGCCTGTAATCCCAGCTACTCGGGAGGCTGAGGCATGCATGAGAATTGCTTGAACCTGGGAGGCAGAGGTTGCAGTGAGCCAGGAGTACACCACTGTACTCCAGCCTGGGCGATACAGCGAGACTCAGTCTCAAAAAAAAAAAAAAAAAGTGAAGAACATAACATCATGAGATGTAAACAAGAAACCATGGAAGAATTTAAAAAGTAATTGGGCCAGGCATGGTGGCTCATGCCTGTAATCCCAGCCCTTTGAGAGGCCGAGGTGGGTGGGTCACTTGAGGTCAAGAGTTCGAGACCAGCCTGACCAACATGGTGAAACCCTGTCTCTAATAAAGATACAAAAATTAGTTGGGTGTGGTGGCTTATGCCTGTAGTCCCAGCTTCTTGGGAGGCTGAGGCAGGAGAAGCATTTGAACCCGTGAGGCGGAAGTTGCAGTGAGCCTAGATCATGCCACTGCACTCTAGCCTGGGGAACAGAGCTAGACCCGTTAAAAAAAAAAAAAAGTAATTGAAGAGAGAGAGAGGTGGAGGTCTTTCTAAGTACGATGCAACCCAGAAGTAGTACGTAGTAAAAGAAAAGCCTGGTAAAATTGACCAGTTAGAAATAGAAGTTTTCACGGCCAATAAACAAAAACAAAAACAAAGTAGCATAAGATAAATCAAAGGACGTGACAAACTGAGGAAAAGTTTTGACATTCATATCTAAGAAAAAGGACTGTTCTATTATATAAAGAGTTTCTATACATAGTAGAAAATTAGACAATACAAATAAATAGATAATTCACAGAAAATGAAAGACAAATGTCTCTTTAACCTGAGAAGATGCTCTCGAACTCACTCTTCATAAGAAAAATACGACTTAAAATGTTTTTTCATCTACTAGATTGATGAGTTCCATTTCTGACCAAAATAGAGTAAGTCCACTGCTGCCCATGTCTGCTACTGATTGATCACTACTAAAACCTCTAGATAAAATGTAAAGAACAACTACCCAAGGACTCTGAAAAGTAAATAATAGCAGGTGGATCATGATGGCAGGGAACTCAAAGCCTGAAGAAAGACAGATAGAGTAGTAGTGAGAGTCTTGTTTTTATTTTTTTCTCCTTTACCTCTTGGCTTTGATCTGAGGACAGATGAATAGGGAATTGTCAACCAGACACTATCAGCAAAATGTCCGAGAGAAGCCGGACCATGTAGCCACAGGACCAGGAAAAAAGTCTGCTGCAAGCTAGAGAAAGTGGTGGAAACTGCTGATTCCTTTTTTTCTCTCCCTCCGTTTCCCTGAAGCCATTCCCTGTCTGGGAGCTGCCCTGCAGTGGTATGGTGACACAGTCACCTGAGAGAAAACCTGTCCTTCTGGACAGAGGAGTTGGGAAAAGGGACTCTTGGAAGCCAGAGAGAACATGGAGGAAATACCCAAAGAGAGACAAGTGGAGAAAGGAATCCCTAATTCTGTGTAATTGTTTGACATGCAGTCATAGGTAATTGATACAGTAGTTCTCCTTAGCCACAGTTTCTCTTTCCATGGTTTCAATTACCTTCAGTCAACTGAGGTCAGAAAACATTGCATGGAAAATTCCAGAAATAAACATTGCATAAGTTTTAAATTGTGTGCCATTCTGAGTATCGTGATGAAATCTCCGCCTGTCCTACTCCATCCCTCCTGCGATGTGAATCATCTCTTTGTCTGGTGTGTCCATACTGTAGGTCCTTGTATTAGTCCATTCTCATATTGCTATAAAGAAATAACTGAGACTGGGTAATTTATAAAGCAAAGAGGTTTAATTGGCTCTGGTTTTTCAGGCTGTACAGGAAGCATGATGCTGGCATCTGCTTGGCTTCTGGGAAGGCCTCAGGAAACTTAAAATCATGGCAGACAGCAAAGGGGGAGCAGGCATATCACATGGCGAGAGCAGGAGCAACAGAGAGAGAGCAAGATGCCACACACTTTTAAACAGCCAGATCTTGTGAAAAGTCTCTCACTATTTCGAGGACAGCACCAAGGGGATGGTGCTAAACCATTCATGAGAAATCTACCCCCATGATCCAATCACCTTGCACCAGGCCCCACCCCCAATACTGGAGATTACAATTCAGCATGAGATTTAAGTGAGGACACAGATCCAAACTATATCAATGCTACATACCTTTTGGTCACTTAGCAGCCATCTAGGCTATCAGGTCGAAAAAACATAATATATACAGGGTTCAGTACTATCTGTGGTTTCAGGCATCCAGTGGGGGTATTGAAATGTGGCTAAGGGGGACTACTATATAGGGATCTATGTCATTAACTCAGGTTTGCCATTTATGCTGTCCAACAATTTGCTATACTTAACAGAAAGTTTTAATTTGTTAATTGTGGAGATGAAATAAGATTATACAAGAGAAAATGACTTTTATATTTCCATTCATTTTTCTTCCTAATTCCTCCAGCCACATAAATATAAGAAAATGAAATTATATGGAGGATGGCCGTGCGTTCTAGGATGAGAAGATAAGAAGAGTACAATTTAAAAACAAAAGTCTAAGGAGTAATTCATGTCTAAACTTATTGAAGTTCATAAATAATTTGTCCTGATTTTCAGAAGAAAGAGAGAACTTCTGAACATAACCACACAGGACCTACAAAAAGATAGCTGCACAAAAACTGGTTAATAATGTTGTGAGCTGCCATGATAGCATCGGAGGACTAGAAAGAATGACAAACTGCTCCTACCAAGTAACGAGTCTTCTGCTCCTTTCTTTTAGTTTCCCTGCCTCCTGCCTGGAACCTGGAAGACCCAGAGAAGGGTGGGGAGTAAAGAACAGACCAGCCTTCTCCGCACTGCAGT
Source organism: Homo sapiens (assembly GCF_000001405.40). Lineage (NCBI taxonomy): Eukaryota > Metazoa > Chordata > Mammalia > Primates > Hominidae > Homo > Homo sapiens. The sequence continues at coordinate 43,623,610 of NC_000003.12, read as the reverse complement.
TTGTTGAGGCATTGATCTGGCCAAAGCTGGATGTATGGAGGCAGAAAGTGTTCATTCATTTTTTAAATTTTTCATTTCAGAATTATTGCTTGTCTGCTATGGACCTAACACTGTTCTAAACATTGGGGCTGGTAATCCTCCATTATCTGTGGGAGATACATTCCAAGATCCACAGTGGATGCTTGAAACTGAGGATAGTATAAAACTCTATGTATACTATGTTTTTTCCTACACATACATACATACTATGATAAAGTTTCATTTATAAATTAGGTACAGTAAGGGATTAACAACAATGAATAATAATAAAATAGAACAATTATAAAAATAGACTGTAATAAAAGGTGAATATGGTCTCTCTCTCTCTCTCCAAATATCTTATTGTTCTGGCCTCACCTATTTTCAGACTGTGGTAGACCCTGGGTAACTAAAAACACTTAAAGCCGGCAGGGCGCGGTGGCTCACGCCTGTAATCCCAGCACTTTGGGAAACCGAGGCAGGCGGATCACCTGAGGTCAGGAGTTCTAGACCAGCCTGGCCAACATAGTGAAACCCTGTCTCTACAAAAAATACAAAAATTAGCTGGGCATGATGGTGCGCGCCTGTAATCCCAGCTACTCAGGAGGCTGAGGCAGGAGAATCGCTTGAACCCGGGAGGCGGAGGTTGCAGTGAGCCGAGACTGCGCCACTGCACTCCAGCCTGGGTGACATTGCGAGGCTCTATCTCAAAACAACAACAACAAAAAGTCAAAAAGTGTGGTGGACAGAAGAAATAGGAGAGCAGGTAAGGAAATGGTGGGGTGAGGAGCAGATGAGAACAGGTATTAAGTAGGATGGTCAGAAAGGGCCTCAGGGAGAAAGTGAGAGCCCAGCAAACACTGAGGGAGGTGAGGAAGTGAGCCAAGCAGCCAACCGAGGGAAGAGCTTTCTGGGCAGAAGGAATGGCTGGGGCAGACTCTGAGCCTGGAGGTGGAAAGGTGTCTGGCGATTTCTAGGAGGAGCAAGGGTTTTGGGATTTGGCTGTGGTTGGATGTTAGGTTTTAATTATAAAAGGATCTGCGTTTTTCACAACTTGAAAGTGAGCTACAGTTAAAATGAGACTTGTTCTTATACCTGAAAGTGACCAGAAAATTAGGTTCTGGTCTTTAAGAGATGGAAGAGGGAAATGTGAAGGGGCGTATTCCTTTCCCCTGCCCCGACCGCTCGCGGTTGGAGAGCCCAGCCACATGCCGCCCCGGCTCGGAGTGACAGCCCAACCAGGCCTCTGCCTTCTCGGCCGCGCCTCTCCCGCTGCCGTCCGGATTTCGATGGGTGGTACAGTACGTTAGGCACGCCCCTCCCTTTCTCCCGGCCTGGTCTCCTGTTCCAGGCGACAGCCCAATGAGGGCTGCCTTTTTTTCTTCGGACCGGTTCCAGTCTAGGTTCTCGTCCACTACGATCGCCCAGTGAGGCCCCGCCCCTCCCACCGCAGTTCCGCCCCTCCCGGAGCTACCGCCCAGTGAGGCCCCGCCTCTCCCGCCGCGGCCCCGCCCCCCTGCGTGTGACCGCATCTAGGCCCCGCCGCGTCCGCCACGCCCAGCGCTCGGCGGCGCCCGCCCCACTGGCCTGGCCCGCCCCCCGCACCGAGCACTCTTTCGCCCGGCCTCCGGTTCTCGCCGGCTCTCGGACCCGCCTCCGAAGACGTGGAGCGCTGCGGCGGCTGGTGAGTCGGGGAGGGCACCTCGGACCCCCCAGCTGTCCGCAGCAGAGCCCGGCCCCTTGCAGCCACAGAGCCCCGGCCGCTGCAGGCTCCAGGAGCTCCGCCTGGTCGCCGCCCTGCGTTCCCGGGCCGCCTCCCGGTGCCAGCACCCCTGGGGATGGGAAGTGGGACCAGGATGGGCGCGGGGGCTGTGGGGGCAGGGACGAGTGAAGGTGTTGCGGGGAGCGGCGGTCGCAGGGGAGGGGAGAGGTTTGTGGAGGGGATTATGGGTCTGGGGCGAGGGTTTGAGTCCTGAGAGAAAGGCGGTGAGGCGGAAATTTGGGGCTGGTGAAGTCAGGATGGAGGATGTTGGGGGCCTCAGCGCTTTGGGGAAGGAGGCAGTGAGTGGGGTGGTCGGCGGAGCGGAGTGAAGGGTGGTTTTTAGAAGGGTCAGCTCGCGGGTCCCGGGGTTCTTGCTTCCCGGGCAGTCCGGGGATCAGGGCGGACTAGGCTGTCTCCAAGCAGGTTTGGCCGGAGCGGGCTTGCAGGATAATGCTCACATCGAGGTGACTGAGTTTCCAGGCTTTTGACTGGGACATACTGTACAGTTTAAATAATAGATACCTGTCTGGCTAGTGCCTGGGACACCTGAGAAACGTGGATGGAATGGGGTTCTCCCCTATAGGCAGCGTCTGATTTTGTGGGTGCCTTCACAGCACCAGCATTGGTGTGCGCTGCCTTCTGTAAAACCTTATATTCCAGCAGGACGGTGTATGGAGATCCCAGACTTAAAAAGTGCAGCTGAGGTTTATTCAGACTCAAGACACAGTTGTATCATATTGCCTTAAATCCTGCGGAGTTTAAATCTAATCCTGTGGGGTTTAAAGCGGTTAAATCCACTTTGTAGTGTCTACTTTTAATTTAAAGTCATACAAATCTAGAGGACTAGATGTTTTCTAAGGGCCCATTCTGCATGATAAACAGTTTAAAATTCGCTATGGAAAGTAAATCATCTGTTCTGAACAGCTGTTGCTGAAAGAATCGTAGAGTTGCAGATGAATGAAATTTGAAAGATCTAAAATAATGGAAGGGCATAGAAAAGTCTTGATAAATTGAAGTGTGTAAATGCACTTAAACCCACTGAAACTTTTTTCTTTTTGTTTTTTTTGAGACGGAGTCTTGCTCTGTCGCTCAGGCTGGAGTGCAGTGGCACAATGTCTGCTCACTGCAACCTCCGCCTCTCGGGTTCAAGCGATTCTCCCGAGTAGCTGGGATTATAGGCGCCTGCCACCATGCCCGGCTAATTTTTGTGTTTTTAGTAGAGATGGGGTTCCACCATGTTGGCCAGGCTGGTCTTGAACTCCTGACCTCAGGTAATCCTCCCACCTCGGCCTCCCAAAGTGCTGGGATTACAGACGTGAGCCACTGTGCTGGCCAACTTTTTTCATTGTAGACAACTTGGAAGACAGAGAAAATTATAAGGATGAAAATTAAAATCTGTAGTTTTGCCACATGTAATAACATTTTGATGCATTTCTTCCTAATTTTTGTATTTTTGTGTATATGAATGTACACAAAATTAGGGTAGTATTGTTACCTAATTGGGGTAATATTGTTATATTACTTCATACTTTTGCTTTTTCTTTCCACCTTACATTTTCTCACTTAGCATTTTTGTGGATCAAATTCTTCTTAAACATCTTTGAAAATGCTTGTATAATCATTCATCATGTGGATTCATTCTTTTTTTAAATATTAGAGTTTTAGTTATGTGCCTAGTACTGTGCTTGGAGGTGAAAAATCAGTGTTCCTCAAATGGATATATTTGTCATGGCTTGCATGAGAGCTGTACTAAGCCTTTTTCTCATCTGTCAGTTAAATTGTCTCTAGCCTTCTGTTTTTATAAGCAGTAAACCTTTGTTTTAATGGTTAAAAGCTCACAATAAATCTCATGTCATGTGTGAATCCAAAACTGTTATTTTTAATGTGTATGAGTTTTTGTGTGTATGTGTTAGGAAATTACGGAATTTTGGGTGGAAGAGGATTTTTTTTTTTTTTTTTTTTGGACAAGGTCTCACTCTGTTGCCCAAACTGCAGTGCGTGCAGTGGTGCAGTCACAGCTCACTGCAGCCTTGACCTCTGGGGTCAGGTGATCCTCCCATCTCAGCCTCCTGGGTAGCTGGGACTACAGGCGAGAGCTTCACCGTATCCAGCTAATTTTTTTTTTCTTTTTTTTTGTATTTATTGTAGAGACAGGGTTTCGCCATGTTGCCCAGGCTGGTCTTGAACTCCTGAGCTCAATAGATCCACCCCCCATGGACTCCCAAAGTGCTGGGATTACAAGCCTCAGCTACTGTGCCCAGCCCCTGGAAGAGGCTCTTTTTAAAAAGTTTCTTGTTTTGAAATAATTTTAGATTTACAAAAAGTTGCAAAAATAGTACAAATTTCCTTATGCCCTTCACCTAGCTTCCCCAGATGTGAACATCTTAGATGACGATGGTGCAATTGTTGAAACCAGAAAATTGACATTGATACAATTCTATTAGTGTAATCTACAGACCTTATTCAAATTTCACTAATTGTCCCACTAATATTTAGGATCCAGTCTGAGATCCTACACTGTATTTAGTCGTCATATGTCCTTAGCCTCTTTTAACCTGAGCATCCTCCTAAACAGGATGACCTGGTGCAGACCTGTAAAGTGAAGCAGGCCTGCTAGAAAGCACACACCTCCCCTGAATTCATATCCAAAACCTATCCCTTAGAAGGGGATATTTATCTTCCTTTTCTATATGAATAGACTACTGTTTGATTAAGATGTATAACCATAGCTGGGCACGGTGGCTCACGCCTGTAATCCCAGCACTTTGGGAGGCCGAGGCAGGCGGATCACGAGGTCAGGAGATCAAGACCATCTTGGCTAACACGGTGAAACCCCGTCTCCACTAAAAATACAAAAAAAAATTAGCCGAGCATGGTGGCGGATGCCTGTAGTTCCAGCTACTCGGGAGGCTGAGGCAGGAGAATGGCGTGAACCCGGGAGGCGGAGCTTGCAGTGAGCAGAGATTGCTCCACTGCACTCCAGCCTGGGCGACAGAGCGAGACTCTGCCTCAAAGAAAAAAAAAAAGACGTATAACTAATAAGGTGCCTTTTAATTACTTTTATATGCCATTTCTAAATCTTCTGGGAGTTACAGACTAGAAAGCATGATCTGAGTAATCCATGCTTATTATCTCTTTTATTAGTCTATGAATTGGCAGTGGGAATCTTTCAAAAACAGAGTGCCAGATGCTGACTCCAGTCCCTGGGTCTTTTGGAGGAAAGAGTAATGGCCTTTACTCTTTACCAAGTGTGATCAACTTGTCCCAGTTTTAAAGGTCTGTGTCTTGGGAACTTCTTCAGCCCAGGGCCACCTCACAGCCTCTAGAGCATTTCTACTGAGATGCCACAGTATATTTCTGACATTATTCTAGCCAAAACAAGCAAACTCTTGGCAGTATCTGGGGTAATGAGAGTAGATGGAGGCATGAGTGAGAGGAGGAAATATTCTTGTTTTCCTCACTGGTGCTTCCATGGCTAGACTCAGTTGAGTGATTGTGTGCAGAGGTTAGTGCAGCATCTAATCCGGCCTGGGCTGTTGTGGCAGGACTGTCTTCAGTATCCTGTGTCTCACCTCTCCTGTACCTTCCTGTGGAATCTTAAGGGCATGGAGTTCCCTCAGGGAGTGGTCCTCACCAGCTTCCCTAAGTTATCTGTGTTACTGAGAAACTGTTATAGTAAGGATGGGTGTATGCGGGGCTGATTCTCCATTCTCACGTCTGTCTACATCTGTGTAACTCCCCAAGGCAGCTGCCCTAGGTACAAGGAGGGAGGCTCCCACAATTGCTCTCACCATTAACTGCCTGCCTGTAGGTAAGTAGTGTCTCTGCATCTCGGGTCCTCTGGAGTTGGCCTGGCCCTCTTTTAGCCTGGCCATTAAAATTGCAACTTTTGTCCTATGGAGATTCCTCTCATCTTCCAGCTTGAGCAGTGCGGTCCTTCATTTTTCTCTTACTGAAGTGTTTCCTAATCTGCTTCATAACTGAGAATACTTTTCGTTCCTGTTTCTCTTTGAATCTGGAATAAGGTGATTCCTGAAGACAGTGTTATGCATTTCCTTCTTAACCTTTGAGTTTGTGATAATTCCATTGACTTTTTTTTTCTTTACCCAAATTCAGGAAAAGAATAATCCCCAGAATAAAGAATCCATTATTCTTTTCCTGATCCTTGTTAAAATAACTCCCCACTCTCCACACACTCCCCTGACCTCTCCATGGTGAACTCACAGTGTGTTTCTCTACATCTTGACCACAATGGTCAGACTTTACCTCTTGTGGGCCAGTGATCCAGTTGTTAATGTAAAAGCCACATGAATTTAACTTATTTGTAGGTCTCTCTTTGACCCTGTGTGCAATTCGACACATGATAAAGAACACAATTTGGGATCGCTGTCTCATAATCCCACGCCCCAGGGTCTGTGTGGAACCTGGCTGCTCTGTGCCTTATAATCAGCCTGGCTGCTGTCCTGGCTGAGAGTCCCGATCAAAGGAGGATATTGGCTGCAATACAGAAATCATTCTACCCTCTGGTGCCCAGGAAGTCTGTATGGTCAAATCATTGTTTTTAGATTGGCCCCAACTGGAACCATAAGGTTTGTGCTACACCTGCAGGAAGACTTAAAGCCTTCATGTCCCTGTCTGGTATTTTGTTTCCATTTTTTCATCTCGTATGCTTGGTAATGGTAGAGCAAGTTCCCATTAAGACCCTCTGGTAAAAGTAGATTCCAGAACTCAGTTTAGGCCAAGGCTGCCATGAGGCTTCTTGTTTCCACCGCTTTACACCTTACACTTGATATTTACGTCATTGAGCCAGCTAATTAGAGAAGAGAGACTGGAGCAAGCCTGGCCAGGGAACTGCAAGATGAAAGTCTGTCACATCCATAACCCTGCTGCATGAAAAAACACAGAGAGGGGCAGGAATAACCCAAAGAGAGGGGATCCCCAGAGGTTTTACTATACAGGCAATTCCCTGAGGAGTGGACCTACCCAGGTGGGATTACCATATGGGGACAGACATTTCCTGAGCAGAGAGCACCCCTGGATGGAACTTCAGGGACAGAAAGAAGAGACAGCTTAAGTAAGCTGGCCTGTATGTGCACTGTGGCATAACGGCTGGCACAAGTGTAGAGTGACTGAAAATGGGCACAAGAGGAGCAGAGCTGGTTCTTACTGTGGACCGTGTCACTGCAGTGTTCAAAGCTCCAAGAGCATCTTATGTCCTGGAGCCTTAAAGGGGCTAGGCTTACCAGCTTGCACTAAAAAAGCCCAGCAGCCTGTCTTCCCTCTACCTACATGATTCTCATTGCTTAAAGCAGAATCCAGGCAATGCCAGCACTTGTATTGGTCTTGAGGTTATTATTGAGCTGCAGCATGCACCTGCATGATTGTAGCAAGGCTAGTGTTATTTTTTGATGATGAGGGCATAATATGGGCTTTGACTTTATTGGCTGGTAAGTTCACAAAAAGAAAAAAACAAAAGGTTGTCTTCTGATGGCATGGTGTTGTTCAAAGAGCATTGGATTCCAGTTCTGCTTCTGCCACACCGGTGGTGTGACTTTGGGTCTGAGTAACATGATAGCGAGGGCTTTCTGAGTAACATGATAGCGAGGGCTTAACTGATCTCTAAGATTCCTTCCCCTCTTAAAGAGTCTATCATTGTCCAGCTCTCTGAAGCTTTGCAGTCTCCTGGATAGGTGCGGGATGGAAGATGATATGCTTATGTACGGATCCTTTTATTTCACATACTGTTGAGTATGTGACCTTTCCTCAGAACAAACCACATTTTAAATCTAGGTAGCTTTTATATAAGGTTGGCATGCTTTTAATCTGGTGAAGAAAAGCAAAATATCTTGTATCATATAGTTAAAAAATGCCATTTGGTAGCCGGGCGCGGTGGCTCACACCTGTAATCCCAGCACTTTTGGAGGCCGAGGCGGGCGGATCACAAGGTCAGGAGATCGAGACCATCCTGGCTAACACGGTGAAACCCTGTCTCTACTAAAAATACAAAAACTTAGCTGGGCGTGGTGGCATGCCCCTGTAGTCCCAGCTACTCGGGAGGCTGAGGCAGGAGAATCGCTTGAACCCAGGAGGCGGAGGTTGCAGTGAGCCGAGATTGCGCCACTGCACTCCAGCCTGGGCAGCAGAATGAGACTCCGTCTCAAGAAAAAAAAAACAAAAAACAAAAAATATATACACATATATATATGAAATTTGGCTTTAACTGAAGTGTGTATTTTACATTTGCTGTTGAAAATGTGAGGCTTCTATACTATTTTACAAATATAGAGCCACTTTTTTTCTGATTATAAAAAATACCCACTCATTAAAAATCAAATTAAAAAAAGTAAATAATAAAATAAAAATTATCCCAAATGCTACTACCTAGGAAGAACAACTTGGAGAAATATATCTGAGTAGCCATTGATGCAGCTTTTATTCACGTAAACAGACACACACACACACAATAGCTTGATGTGTGCATATACACATGCTTCAGGATGTGGACTTTGGTGTCAGGCTGTCTGGTTGTGAGTCCCAGCTCCCCTGTTTGCTACTGCAAGATATTGGACAGTCTATTTAATCTCTTTCACCTAAGTTTTCTCTTTGGTAAAATGGTAGCATTAAAGTTTCTTCTTCAAGGGGTGAGGATTAATTCACATAAAAATGTACACTGGGCTACAGTGTACATTTGCATGTGGTAAATCATTAGCAAATGATAGCTGGTGTTATTTTGATATTACTGTTTATTTATTATGTATATTTATATGATCATACTTTACATTTTTTACCTTACAATGTGTCAGGAAATCTCTCCATGTTAATAAATATAGTTGGGTCTGTATCTCAGTATTAATGGTTCTATTGTATTCTTGTACCAGACTTTAGCCAATTTCTTGTTGATGGACATTGAAATATTAAGTTGTTTTTTGCCATAAATGCATAAATAAAAATCTGTAATGAACTTTTACATGCATATTTGGCTTAATTATCTTTTTGAGATAAATTCCATAAAAAACTGTAATGAACCTATATATATATATATATATATATATATATATAGTTTAGTTTTCTTCTAAGAATTTGGGATAAATTCTTAGAAATAGCATTGTTATGTTGAAGAGTATGAACGTTTAATATTATTTTTCTTGCTGCCTCTCTGCTTTCTGGAAATGTGATATCAAATTATGACATCTGTCAGCAATGCGTGAAAATGGTAGATTTTCTACACCTATCCCCAAACTGGGTTCTTTCCATTTTTTAGCTTCAGCTGATTTGAAAAGGGAAAAGTATCTTATTGTTACTTTGCATTTTTAAAATTGGTGACTCTGGACATCTTTTCAAATGTGTCTTGGCATATTTCTTTTATGAGTTGTATTTTTATGTTTTTTTATTTTCTGTTGTTGATTTGTAAGGACTCTTTGTATATCAGGGATAGTGAAATTTGTCTGTCATATTGCAAATACTGTTAAGGTTGTGCCTTGCATAATGAAAGGCATAAAGTATCTCAAATGAGAATAATCAGTGAGCAAATAATATATGAGTTTGTAGATAGTGCTCATATACATGTTTAGAATGGAAACCTGCTTTTAGTGTCTCAGCAAAATTGTTTTATGATCTGGTTATTATGAATAAGGTTGTCCTTTTATTACTCACATTGAACAATGCATAAATGTTCAAAAACGTTGACCTTTGATGCGTGTCCCCAGATACTCTGCGGAACACTTTATTGTTCCCTTAAACTAGACATTCTTTCCAACTTTGCTATTTTTTTCACGCATAGTTATTCTTCCCATATCCAAGATTGGAAACCTTGGGGTTTTCTGTGTATCTAGTCTAAGTTGAACGCTGTGTGGCTCCCATCATCCCTTCCCAGACAGTGCCCTCTCCTGAGGCTACACCTACTTTTTGGGTTCCTGCTACTGTACTTAGCCCATGTGTTAGAATAATTTGATGCATGCTTGCTTCTGCTACTAGACTAAGGGCTCCTCAAAAGCAAGGTGTAGACTTTATTTACCTTTGTACCTTTTGACTCTCATGGCCTGGCTCATAGTAAGCACATGATAAGTGTTTATTGTATTTGATATTTCCATTTTGAAGGTGATGAACTCAGCCTCTGTATTCTACTAGTAGGTTAATATTCGCCCCCACCAGCTTTTTATTATGAAAAATTTCAGTCAGGAGAGTTAAAAGAATACCACAAAGTATACCCATATTCTCGCCCAATAGATTTACTTACTGAGATTTGTATTACTCTGACACAAAATCCTCTGCTCAGAAACCTACAAGAACGTACTGGCCATTGGATCAGATGTAAACTATAGCATTTGTTATCCTTAAATGGCTGCATCTAATAAAATGTAGCCCCTCTGCTCTGGTCAGGCCAGTCTTCTTATTGTTCTTTTCCCATGCTGTCTTTATTCTTGCTTCACTGATTTTACACATTGTTCCTTTTGTAGAACATGTGTCCCCCATTGCCTGGTCCAAAATTTTTATGCATTAAGTGTTCTGACTGCATTATTAGCTATTTGGAGGTGACCACTAGATTTTGTCTTGATCTGATTTCCTTCATTGAACCTAGCATGTTGAATATTGATTTGGCTGGTATCTTTCAATAGCATTCCTGATACATTTGGAGTATAACTTGATTTTTTTTTTTTTTGAGACAGAGTCTTGCTTTGTCTGTCACCCAGGCTGGAGTGCAGTGGTGTGACCTTGGCTCACTGCAACCTCCACCTCCCAGGTTCAAGCAATTCTCTTGCTTCAGCCTCCCGAGTAGCTGGGATTACAGGCGTGTGCCACCACGCCTGGCTAATTTTTGTATTTTTAGTAGAGACAAGGTTCCACCATGTTGGCCAGGCTGGTCTCGAACTCCTGACCTCAGGTGATCTACCCACCTCTGCCTCCCAAAGTGTTGGGATTATAGGCGTGAGCCACCGTGCCCAGCCGGGAGTATAATTTTAATCCAACATTCACTTAGAAGGCCTTTTTTGCCCCTGACAAAACCTAAGCTCTGTTAGAGGAAAAAAAAAGTTGAATGGTTCAAGCCAGATATCCTGAATCTGTTTAATCAGATTGCTGCAAGATTATGATTTCTACTGAAGAAAAGAAAGATGTTATGCAGTGTTGGCCACTCCTTTGTGATTGTTCCCTTGAGTTTGATTTACCTTTATACTTTGGAGTCATTAAAGCTTGTATGAAGTGCACAGTTAGAATAAGTAAGTCCAAAGTCTGAAAATTGCCCTGGTTGAGAATCACTGGGTTAGACAGGGTCACCTGAAAAACACTTTAGAGCAAGGCCTTTAAGCCTTAAGTGACTGACTCCATTTGTATGTCTCCAGCTTGGCTCCACTATTTTGCAAGCTTGGTAACAGAGCTGAAGGTGGTATCCCTGAGAAAGGCAGGGAAACTGGGAAGGAAGCTGAGGCTGGGGAGAAGTGTATGTTTAGTTTTGGTTTTATTGAGACAAGTTTTAGTGAGATAACAGTGTTGGAAACTCCTGAGGGAGCTCAGCTTAGAAGACAAAACTAGAGACAGATTGCAAAGACAGCAACACAGGTTAGAGTTTGAATTTAAGAGAAAGAAAGAGGGTTTAGAGGGAGAAATAATACAGAAAGAAGGCAAAAGTCTTGAGATTGTTTCTTGGGCATATATATATATATATATATATATATATATATATATATATATATAAAATATTTAATTTTCTTTATTCCACTGCACTTAAAGGAGGAATGATTTGGGCATATTTTTGCAGATAGTGGTGGGGAAGCCAGAAGGAAAAGGAGATTCTAGAGGTAGGGAGAGAATCAAGGTAAGAAAGCATTCTGGAAACCAAGGAAAGAGTCTATGATAACTTTGAATTTAAATGGAAGTGTTTTGTTTTTTGTGCATCTAAAAGTGTTATTAATATTTTTTAACAGCAAGTTTGGGCTATTCCAACAAGAATATCTTTGACACACTAGGTAGACTACCTCTACCCTATGGCTACTTATTTTACTATCAGCCTTATCATATTTGTTCTTGCTGGTTAGAGCTGGAAACTTGATCAGAGTTGACTAGAATTTCTCTGAAGAGAGTTTAATTCCAGAGTTTTAATATTCTATTTATACTAGTAGCCAGTAATAAAAAGGTTACCATTTGTTGCATGCCTGCTATGTGGCAAGCACTGTGCTGTACATGTCTCTCATTTCCTTTCACACCATTCACTGTGGCATGTACTTTTATTAATCCCACTTTACAGAAGAGGATAAATAAATTGCATAAGGTCACATAACTGAGAGGTCATGAATTGAATTTGAATTTATGTCTGTCTGTCTCCAGAGATCAAGCTCTTAATCAATTCTAATAGTTAGACATAATTAACCAAAGTCCAAATCACTAGAACAAAACAAGACAGAGGGATTGTATACTATTAATCAGAGTAAGCTAGACTGCTGTATTGTTTAAATCCTGACATATGTAATAGGCTCAAACATAATAGATTTCTCACTCATGTAACTGTTCAAGGCAGGTATTCTGGATTGGTAGGTGGCTCAACTCCCTTCTGATTTAGGAAGCCATACTTCCCTGTCTTGTATCTCCCCAGTATCTCAGTGGCCCATGGAAAGGGAAATAAAACATTGAGGAGAGATAGAAGCACTCCCTTAAAAGCCTTGATCTGGAGTTGTGAGTACTTCTGCTCACATACTATTGTCTCGAATTTAGTCTCATGCTCACCTAACTCCAACTGTGTGGAAAATGTAGCCTAGCCGTGTACTTAGACAAAGAAAGGGAGAGTGGATTTCAGAGGATAGCTCAAATTTCTGCCACAGGAACCAAGGAAAAAGGATTGGGTAGAGAACTAGACAAGAAACCTTAGACAAGGTCTTGAAGATTCTCTTGATACTCTCCTGAAGTTATCCTAAAAATGCAGGTTCTTTTGGGGTTCATTTCAGTCAATAGGATACAATTTCATAGGCTTTCATTTTTACAGATTGGAAAGGACTACTTATTAATTGCCCATTAAATAAATTATTGAGGATTACTGATATTTAGTATTCATAAAATAAAACTGGTATACTTCTAGAGTTCATTGAAGTCTAATTCAGCAATCTACTAAAATATCTAGCTGTTTTTCTGTGCCTGACAGTGTGATAAAGATTAATTTGCAGACACATGCATGTACAGTCATGTATTGGATAATGACATTTTGGTCAACAACAGACTGCATATATGTTGGTTCCATAAAATTATAACAGAGCTGAGAAATTCGTGTCACCTGCTGACATCGTAGTGTAACACAGTATTCATGTGTTTGTGGTGATGCCGGTGTAAACAAACCTACTGCGCTGCCAGTTGCATAAAAGTAGCACATATAATTATGTATAGTACATAATACCTGACAATGGTAATGAACCCACTTTTACTGGTTTATGTATTTACTATACTATACTCTTAATCATTATTTTAGAGTGTACTCCTCCTTATATTGAAAAAAAAGTTAACCATAAAACAGCCTCAGGCAGGTCCTTCAGGAGGTATTCCAGAAGAAGGCATTGTTATAGGAGATGACAGCTCCATGTGTGTTACTGCCTCTGAAGACCTTTCTGTGAGACAAGACGTGGAGGTGGAAGACAGTGATATTGATGATCCTGACCCTGTGTAGATCTAGGTTAATGTATTTGTGTCTTAGTTTTTAAAAAAAAGTTTAAAAAATTTAAATAGAAAATGGCTTCTAGAATAAATATATAAATAAAATATTTTTGTACAGCTGTACAATGTGTTTGTATCTTACTGTGTTATTACAGAAGTCAAAAAAATCAAAAAGTTTATAAAGTGAAGAAAACTTTTTAAAATATATTTAGTATAGCCTAAATGTACAGTGTTTTATAAAGTCTACAGTAGTATACAATAATGTCTTAGGCCTTCACATTCACTAACCACTCACTCACTGACTCACCCAGAGCAACTTCCAGTCCTGCAAGCTCCATTCATGGTAAATACCCTATACAGGTGTATTCATTTTTAAATATTTTATACTGTATTTTCACTGTACTTTTTCTATGTTTAGATATACAAATACATATTATTGTGTTACAATTGCCTACAGGATTCAGTGCAGTAACATGCTGTATAGGTTTGTGGCCTTGGAGTAATAAGGCTACAAACCTATACATACCTATACTGTATAGCCTAGGTATGTAATAGGTTATGCCATCTAGGTTTGTATGAGTACACTCTATGATGTTTCCACAACAGTGAAACTGCCCATTTCTCAGAACTGTCTTTGTCATTAAGTGATGTATGACCGTAAATGGTTGGAATTCTCCAAATTGTTAGAAGGATCCTTTGTTATCAGTTCATTGTTGGTGTTGTCTTCACTTGGTCATGATTTTGGCTTGAGGTTTACTTTTTGGCTGCTATTTTTTGTTATTAATATTTGGGCACTGTTTTACTTGTTTTATACATTTAATTTTGCTTTAGGTCAGAAGATTCTGTAATATGGTTTCACTTTGTCATTTTATCTTGAACTGTTTAGCTCATCTTCAACAGAGTTGTATGGTAGATAATTCAAAATGAAGATTTCATTTAGTAGGAAAAAACATACAGAATTTGGATATCTCTAATGACTCTATTTTCTCTAGTTTTAAGCTGTGTATCATGGGAAACGAACTTCTTGCTTACTATGAGCTTAACAAAGTAACTTCTTCATTCAATTTTCCTCTTGGTTTTTAAAGTATAAATTATAGGACTTTAGGAAGATTACATAGAATTGTGTATTTAGGTACCAATACAGTGTCTTATATGTAGTGAGAAATTCAACAAAAGAGAAATTTAGTAAAGAGGAAATTAAATTTAAAAGGCGGTAGGGGAGTTCCTATATTACAAAAGCTGTCTGTTCACTAAATATAAGATTGCTATGTTCCAGATGCCAGATCATTTGCAATCATTTCCTTCTGTCTTAACACTCTTGGCCAGGCACATGGCTCACACCTGCAATCCCAGCACTTTGGGAAGCTGAGGAGGGAGAACTGCTTGAGCTCAGTAGTTTGAGACCAGCCTGGACAACATAGGGAGACCCCATCTCTACAAAAATGAAAAAATTAGCTGGGTGTCATGGCACGCACCTGTGGTCCCAGCTACTTGGAAGGTTGAAGTGGGAGGATTGCTTGGGCCCCAGAGTTTGAGGCTGCAGTGAGCCACGATCACACCGCTGTACTCCAGACTAGCCTGGGTGACAGAGCAAGACCCTGTCTAAAAACAAAACAAAACAAAACAAAGGCCATGTGCAGTGGCTTATACCTGAAGCTGAAGTCCCAGCAATTTGGGGAGGCCAAGGCTAAAGGATCACTCGAGCCCAAGAGTTCGAGATGAGCCTGGGCAACATGGCAAAACCCTGTCTCTACAAAAAATACAAAAATTAGCTGGGAATGGTGGCACATGCTACTACTGTACTCCAGCCTGGGCAAAAGAGTGAGACCCTGTCTCAGGGTCAATTTTTGTATGTTTGAAAATGGCTTTATTTGTCTTTTATTCTTGAGGCATATTTTGACCAGGTACATAATTTTGGAGTAGCCATAATATTCTCTTGGGACACTGAAGATACTCTTTCAGTCTAATTATTGCCCTTCAAGGTACTTTGTCTTTATTTTTCTGCTTTAAGAATTTTCTCTCTCTTGGCTTTTCTGATGTTTTACTGTGCTTTTTCTTTTTATTTATCTTGATGGAGGTATATAGAGATTCTTAAATCTGTGCCTTGGTATATTTTGTCAGCTTTGGGAAATTCTTGGTCAGTCTCTTCAGATATTGTTTGTACTCTAATACCTCCCCCTTTTAGTTCCTTGTAGTTCCTTGTCTTTTACTCTTTTTACGTGTTTTCTTCATTTTTTGTCCTCAGGGCTCAATTGTAGATATTTTCTTTGTGCCTGTGTTATCATTCAATGGTTTTTATCTTTAGCTTTGTCTGATTTTCTATAAAGCCTTCCTTGGGTTCTTAATTTTGACTCATATTTTTAAATTCTAGAATTTCCATTAAAAATAATTTTCAGTTCTTTGCCAAAATTATCAATCTTGTCTTTTAGTTCTTTGAATATATGATCATTATTTTAAAGTCCTTTCACTTACATTATTTGGATCTATTATGTGTTTGTTTCTATTGCTTGTTACTATTTTTCATTTTCATACGTAGTAACTTTTCTCCTGATTGAGATGATGCAAACCTAGAATTTAGTTCCTATCGGGGTGATCTAATTCTCCTTCACTATTATGTTTAGAATGTAGCCTTTTCAGATCCCAGTTCAAAGTGGGGATTTTATCTGACTGTCTTCCTTGGTGGGTTCTCTACTAATTACATGTTTTGTCCCCTAGCCTCCCATGGCCAACAGAAGCCCTGCTTAGTGTCTCACCCTCTCAGCAGAGGCCCCAGAGAAACTGGTTGCAAGTGCTTAGCTTTCTGGACTCCATTATTTCCCATTGCCTTGGTTTTTTTTTTGTTTGTTTGTTTTGTTTTTTTTTTTTAGACAGGGTCTTGCTATGTTGCCCAGGCTGGTCTTGAACTCCTGGGCTCAAGTGATCCTCCAGGCTCAGTCTCCAAAATAGCTGGGATTACAGGTGTAAGCCACCATGTCCAGCTTAGTTGGCTTTTTGTTATTCACAAATTTTTAAAAATACAGGTCACATATTCTTTATCCAAAATGCTGGGACCAATAGTGTTTCACATTTTGGATTTTTTCACATTTTGGAATATTTGCATTTATATAATGAGATCTCTTGGGAATGGGACCCAAGGCTAAACATGAAATTTATGTTTCAAATGCACTTTGTACACATAGCCTAAAAGTAATTTTATATAATATTTTAAATAATTTTGTGCGTGAGATCAACTTTGTGCTAAGTACTTACGTGTGGAATTTTCCACTTCTGATGTCACATATATATGCACATATATATGTATGTGAGTGTGGGTGTATATTGTCTAGTTGTCTTCAGCAGAAGAGTTTGAACCCTTTAATCTGCTGTCCTGGAAGTGGAAGTCTTGGCTTGTGTTCATAGTTAATGTGTCACTTTGAGGATGTGTAGTTTTGGAGGAAATGTATAGTAGTGGTTCTGCCTAGCTGAGATGGGTACTGTAGAGAGTTCCATATAATTACACCTTGACTACCCATTACCCACTAACAGTTTTCTTTTTCTGTCTTTTTTTTTTTTAGTAGTTATATTCAGTCCAGTTGTCTGCTTCTATAGATTTAACCCCGAGCTATCCTTTCCTCTTCATTGTCATTGTTCAGACCAGTATCAGCTTTTTCTAGACTCCTTTAATGGCCCCCTAACTGGCCTCCCACACTCTAGGCTGACTCTTTGTGATCTGTAATAGCTCCCTACCGACTACATCAGTTCTCTGCTCATAATGAATTGGTGACTCCCATTGTATGTTAGACAAAGCCCATTTCCTTTGTAATCTGGGACCCTAGTTGGATACCAGCTCATTCCCACCCTTCTTTCCTCCTACACAAAGTTAATGTTCCCACCATACCTAAACATTTGTATTTCTCTAAGCCTCTTGGCTGTTTTTTCATCATTATTTTCTAGGGAAATATAATTTTGTCTACTTAGGATACCTCTCATTGTGTATCTGGCAAACTGCTACTCATTCCTCTGAATCCTGTTCAGATGTCACATTCTTTGAAAATACTTTCTTATTCCGCTTGTGTGAGAGCACATTTTACATCGTTATCCTTCATTTACACAAATGTCTATTCTGCTGCATTCTGAGCTGCTTATAGAAAAGGATGGCGTTCTTTCCAAAGCTTGGCTCACACATGTACTTTGAACCATTGGTTGAGTCTGTCATATAACCCATCTGAATCACGAGAAATTTGCTTTTATCTTGGAAGCCAGAATTAGGTATAATTGGGAGAAAATGAAGTCTATAGCATATTTCTCTTTGCCATAATAACAACCCATTTTCACTCTTTATTTTAATTTTCCGCAGATTTGTCAAAGATGAAAGTGACCTTATCAGCTTTGGATACTTCTGAGAGTTCTTTCACACCTTTGGTGGTCATAGAACTTGCTCAGGATGTCAAAGAAGAAACCAAAGAATGGCTGAAAAACAGAATTATAGCTAAAAAAAAAGATGGAGGTGAGTAAAATAGTCACTGCTCAGACTTAGTCTGGCCTCCCACACTGTATGCTCAGCCTCCCACACTGTATGCTCAGTCACTAAAAATGTATTTGCAAATGTGTTTTATAATTTTCGTTGATATATTTTATTTACTAATGTTAAATTTTTTGCCTTTTATTATCTATCTGGGACTTGAAAGGAGGTCCTAAATCAACAGGAGGCTTTAAGTTCCCATTAAACTGAAAGCAGCATGAGTGGTTTTCTTCACAGCTCTAAATAGTATGCCTACCACACTGTTTGGTGCATAGTAGGTGCTTAAAAAATATTTGTCAAATGAATGGACAAGTATCTATTGTATGCTCTTTATGTGCCAGTTATGGTGCTAAGGGAGAGATAAATATGGTCTCTTCCTGCAAAGTTGTTACCATCAGGGTAGAAAGAAATTCAAAATAAAGAAAAGTACATGGAAGAGCTGTCACAAAGCAGTGCATGGCATGAACAAATGAATCGTGTATACTTACTGTAAAAGGAAAGGAAAGGGTTAGATGACACTATGGCAGTACTTTCTTCAGTGGCAAGGAATGACTTAAGATGCCAAGGTTTAGCTTTCTCTTGACAGGTGACATGGGTTCCCAGTCTGGGTGAGAAAGCAGCGGGTGTTTTAGTGTTTTACATGAGCAAGTATTTTGTAAACTATACAAAACAACACCTTAGTCTGCACAGTCTCTGAACACTGAACTAGACTTAGACTCTTTAAAAAAAAAACTGTTACTATAAACTGAAGTTATTTCTTAAGAATAAAATTGGAATCAAAGTGGAATTAAAATTTTTTTCAAACAGTTGAACCAGAAGGAAACTTAAAAGCAGGAGTATTTGCTTGCTGAAATGTGAGCATTTCACTGAACTTAAGTCTGTTCTTTAAAATTTTTGTGATTTAGGAACTATGTAGTGTTTCAGTGTGAAAGATTCCAGTGTATTCCCAGCCATCTTTTTGCTGATTGTGTGCCTTCAGAGACACACAGGGAAGGGATGGGCATCTTTCCACACTTTTTGGGCGATCATAAAAAATCTTTCCAAAAAAGTGTTCTGCATCTTCCAGGTGAAGGGAGTAGATTTATACTCATGTTTACTTTGATTATCTTCCAACCTCCTGTTAAATTGACAATAATAATAAAATGGTTAAAAAATATATAAAAGACCGAAGTCACATGGACCAAAAAAAAAAAAGAAGATACAAGAGCAGCAAAAATTGGAAGCTAGGAAACAGGCGGCTGAATAGTTATTGACTTGTCAGATTTGAGAAAGCCAAAAGTTAAGCTGACAGGGAAGGAAGTTGAGATGCAATTTGGTTTACTCTGCACAATACCCACAATGACTCAGGAATTAGGGACACTGGATCTATGGAGGTGGGGATAAAAGTAGGACCAAGAAGAAAAGATAAGTGTTTGAGATCCATATAAGAAATGATACAGAGTTTCAAATAGCTAGAAGGAGGATATTGAATGTTCCCAACACAAAGAAATGATAAATGTTTGAGATGATGGGTATGCTAACTACCCTGATCTGAGCACGCTACATTATAGGTATTGAAGCACTACTATGTACTTCATGAATATATACTATTATTATATGCCAATTAAAATAAAAATAAATAGATCCTTGAATCTCTTCCATATTCTACAACCCCAGCAGAAGACTTGAGGTTTATTCTCTGGAGATGGTCAGATGCATGGTTTTTGGCATAGAAATCTATGCACAGTTGAAGGCACAGATTCTGTACTGAAAATAAGATACTGAATACCATTCCCCTTTCCCCTACTCCACCACTCACATACCTAATTCAGTTTCCAAAATATTAACAACAAGATTCACACCTTGTAGGAAGCAGATTGGACAATCTTTCTTTGGAGAACCTGACCAGCTTAAGACAAAATAACGAAAGGTGCAGAAATCAGGGGGTTGCTAACGGAAGATTATTTGACAAGACTGCCTTGCATTAAAGGCCATCCTTGATGAGCTCCATCTAAGCCCTCAGAACTTCTGTTTAGACTCATACAGCCCCTTTCTTAAACGTGAACATGTAATAAAAGATCACCAAACATCTGAGAACAATTCCTAACATGAAAGAGAAATCTAAAACTAAACAGATAAAAGCAACAGACTATTCAGAAGAAGAAAACCAAAAGATAATAAACATCGCAGCACTCAGAGTTACGAAAAGATATAACATCTATAAATCAAGAATAGGATATTATAAAAATCCTTTAGGAAAAAAGCACTCAGTAAAATTATTAGAAGATAATATTGAGACAAGCCTCCAAGAAAGAAGAGCAAAAAGGTAAAGAATTGGAAAATATGAGAACAAATAATAAGAAAATTAAAGGACTAGTTCATGAGGTACACATCTGAATAAAAGGAGTTCTAGAAAGAGAACAAAGAAAAGTGAGGTGTGAGGGCAGAGTGAAGAAAGAGTTCTCCAAGAAGATGATGTTGATAGGTTATCTTTTATGTCAGTGGATCAAGGAGAGAGACAGTTGGCAGAGAACTTGGGGGTTTGTATTATAGATAGGTACATAATAAACTATGCAAATGATAAGACAGCAACTTTTGGGAAAATGGAAAGTATGACAAAGGAAAATCATAGCATACTGTAAGGCTTAGCTCTAAATAACATGTAGTCATAATCACCTACTGACTTGAAACCAAAGGATGACTTAACCATACTGTGAGAATAGGTGATGGGAATGATGAATGGAAATGGTGAAGAAAGAAAGGGAGCTAAAAATCCTCATCTTCAATGCTTAAAACTGAAAAATCAAGAAATAGCTCTATAAGCATGTTATTTGATGACATGAAAACAAATAACAAAGGAGTCATCTGAACAATTTGAAAGGGAAAGGTTAATGGAGGGGAGGAAGACCTTACATTAAAGGCCATCCTTGATGAGCTCCATATAAGCCCTCAGAAGTTCCATTTAGCCTCACAGAGCCTCTTTCGTAAACATGAACATGTAATGAAAGATCACCAAACATCTGAGAAAAATGCTCTTTTTCAAAACAAAATGTTGACAAATAGTTCTTCATAAAGGTTATACCAGGCCAGGCATAGTGGCTTATGCCTGTAATCCCAGCACTTTGGGAGGCCAAGGCGGGCGGATCACTTGAGGTCAGGAGTTTGAGACCAGCCTGGCTAACACAGTGAAACCCCATCTCTACTAAAAATATAAAAATTAGCTGGATGTGGTTGTGTGTGCCTGTATCTCAGTTATTTGGGAGACGGAAGCAGGAGAATCACTTGAACCCAGAGGTGGAGGTTGCAGTGAGCCAATATTGCACCATTGCACTCTAGCCTGGGCGACAGAGTGAGACACTGTCTCAAAATAAATAAATTAATTAATTAATAAAAAAAGGTTATGCCAGTTTCTATTCCACTAAAAATGGCTGGGATGCCTTTCCCCACACACTCACTGTGCCTATTTGGGTCTTCCAAACAAGAGATGGGATTTGATGAACAAGAAGTTTATTGAGAGAAATATTTGTGGAAAGAAGGAGGAGGGGGCAAGAGTGGGTCTAGAGAGCCTTCAGACTTTGTCAATTTGACACTTGGGAAAGGAGAGAGGAAAGGAAGGAGAATTGAGTAGGAAGAGCCTCAGACCACAGCCCAGTTCGGAGAAACTAACAGCCAGGCTTAAAGTTGCCCTTTAAAGGAAACTTAACGTTGTGCAGGAATGGCCTTGTTTCAGGTGTCCCCTCCGTGCCCAGCTGATGGCTGGAAGCAGCTGGGGGAAGGATCTTAAGGTGTGGCACCAGGAGCCTGGCGGTCAACCCTGTTCTTCAAAGCAGATTGTCTTGAAGGGAGAGCTGGTGGAGTGGGGTACCTTCACGGCTACCACGCTCACCAACCTATTACCAAACTTTCCATCTTTGCAGTGTGAGAAGTGAGAAACAGCATATTGGTATAGTTTTTACATTTGTCTTAATATGAGTGAGGTTAAGGATCTTATATTTAAGAGCCATTGGTATTTTCTGTAAATTGAATATACCTTTTACTAAAGTCTTTAATAGCTTTACTATAAATTACCTAGATGATAGTGTCTTAATATATTAATCCATTTGATAAAAGAAATATAAATTCTGCTCATGATCCTGTTATCATCTGATTAATATTTTCGTAATTCCTGTCAACCATCTCTAGAGGGTAAATAGTAAAGAAATAAATGTACCTTTAAAAGTTTGAGGCCGGGCGCTGTGGCTCATGCCTGTAATCCCAGCACTTGGGAGGCCAAAGCGGGTGAATCTCTTGAGCTCAGGAGTTCAAGACCAGCCTGGGCAACATGGTGAAACCCTGCCTCTACAAAAAATAGCTTGGTGTAGTGGCACACACCTGTAGTCCCAGCTACTCGAGAGGCAAAGGTGGGAGGATCTCCTGAACCTGGCAGGTGGAGGTTGCAGTGAGCCAAGATCGTGCCACCGTACTCCAACCTGGGCAATAGAGTGAGACCCTGTCTCAAAAACAAACAAAAATTGATGTAGGTAGAAATAATCTTTTTTCTTTATAATCTTTTAAGTAATAATTATATGTACATTATCAAATCATGATATCTCTTTATGTTTGGTAACTTATTTCAGAAAATTATTAAACCAAATAGAACATAGAAATTTATGGGAAAAATCACTGAAAAGTTATATTGCTTTTTGTTATTTAGTATTTAACATTCACAAAATCTGTTATAGTCCAGTGTAATTGTATTACATTTTTGGTTTTTCTTTTTACTGAAACATTTTGTTCCAAATTAATTTTCTTAAATTTTCGTCTATTTATATTAAACTGCAATCTTTGTTCTATATTTTTATTTGGTGCACTTTTATACCTAGAGCTCGGAAATATTGAATTCTCGTCTCATCTACTTCTCATTTGAATAAGTGGCAGGCTACTTAGTGGTACATTTTTCAGTTTTTCCATTTATTGAAAAACTATAAAGAACTGCCATCCCTAATGTACTTATGTTATTTACTTGGAAGATGGATTTAAATTGCTAATATAATTTCTTTTTCTTCTACCAGACTAGAAACATTATATTTATTTAGAAAGTTTTTAGTTTTGAAACTTTTATGTTTGTCTAAGATTGTGCTTATCTTTTGTTTTTGAAGGTGCCCAGTTGTTGTTTAGACCATTGTTAAATAAATATGAACAAGAAACACTAGAAAATCAGAACTTATATCTTGTTGGTGCCTCCAAGATTAGAATGTTACTAGGGGCAGAAGCAGTGGGATTGGTAAAAGAGTGCAATGATAACACCATGAGAGCCTTCACATACAGAACCAGACAGAACTTCAAAGGTTTTGATGGTAAGCCCTAAGTTCTTTGTCTCTGTTAGAATCCATTTATCAAAAAGAAGTTTATGATGAATAGATCAGGGATCAGCAAACTTTTTTCAGTAAAGGGTCAAATAGTAAATATTTTAGGTTTTGCAGTCCGTGTGGTCTCTGCTGCAATTACTCAACACTGCCATTGTGAAGCAAAAAAGCAGCCATAGACCATAAGTAAATGAATGGGCGAGGCTGTGTTCAATAAAACTGTATTTATAAAACCATGTGGCAGGCTGGATTTGGCCTGTTGCCATCCTTTGCCTCCCCTGGATGAACACAAATTAGAGGAACACATGTAACTTACTTATATTATTCTATTCTAATTCTTATAATTTGAGTATTCAGTAGCTTGATACAGAAAAATCCTTTTTTTTGAAAGCAGAATGATTGTCACCAATCAATTCTAAGTCAACAAAATACACCAAAAAAAGTATTATATTTTCTTTTTTTTTTTTTTGAGACAGAGTCTCGCTCTGTCGCCCAGGCTGGAGTGCAGTGGTGCTATCTCGGCTCACTGCAAGCTCCGCCTCTCGGGTTCACGCCATTCTCCTGCCTCAGCCTCCCAAGGAGCTGGGACTACAGGCGCCCGCCACCACACCTGGCTAATTTTTTTGTATTTTTAATAGAGACGGGGTTTCACCGTGTTAGCCAGGATGATTTCGATCTCCTGACCTCGTGTTCTGCCTGCCTCGGCCTCCCAAAGTGCTGAGATTACAGGCATGAGCCACCGCGCCTGGCCAAGTATTATATTTTCTAACTCTACAAGAAAACAATCATGTAAAAAGAAATTAACTATAAAAAGTTGCATCTCATAAGTAGAGATTATTTTCTACAAATAATCACATGTGAATATTTATTAGAAAAATTTTATAATAATAAGAAATACAGTAGTAGTTCAGTACCTTAGAAACCTCATTTCCTGAATTTTCTGGCTCCTGCTGAATGTGATAGGGTCGTTGGTTCTATACTGGCCCCAAAGCAGGTTCTAGTAGAGAATATTTTCAGGAAAGAACTGGGAAAGCCAGGGTGGATATGATAACAGGATGGGAGCTTGGCTTCAGAATCAAACTGATCCCTGCCAGGGCTTTCAGAGTTAGAAGATGTGATTAGACTTCTTTGGATTCACTTACTCTAGATTTTTATACCTGAGTGAATAAATGTTCAAGAGGAAATTTACCTTATTTAAGAGGTTTCACCTGTCAAATAGCAACAACATTTTCTTAAAAGACTTTCTTCTCTCTCATTAGTAGAAGGGATGTTTGACTGCAGAAGGGAATGGAATGGGCTTGAGAGTTTGAAGGAGGATAATTTGCCATATAGGCAAACTTCTTCAATTCCATCCCTGGTTTAACATAATAATACGTTAATAAGTTTAATGCATTATTAGAATAAAAGAACATACTGCTTTCTGCTCATTGGTACTAAATGAGATCAATTATATGCTTCTTGAATGTTTCTAATATAAGTATTAAAATGATTATTGTAGAATTGTATTACGTGAAGGCATAACAGAATTTTTTTATTCTTATAAAATATCTAAGGAGCTTTATGTTCTATTTAATTTACCAGCTTCATACTTTGATTACTTCTTATGTTAATTGCTTATTGTTTATACCATTATTTCTGTAATCTCAGGTAATTGGAATATTTTTATTTTGATTATTACTAAAATCTGGTAATTTCTGTTTTATTTTAGATAACAATGATGATTTCCTGACAATGGCAGAATGTCAATTCATTATCAAACATGAACTTGAAAATCTTAGAGCTAAAGATGAAAAAATGATCCCTGGTTACCCTCAGGCAAAGTTGTATCCAGGAAAATCATTGTGTAAGTCATTATGTCAACCAGTCTTTTTCTTAATAGACATAAATAGCAAATTATAGATGCCTTTTTTCCCTCTTACAGAAGAACTTACACAAACTTACAATAACTTGTATTTTTATGAACATATCTTTTCCCTTTGGAACCTCAGTATATTGCATCTTTAAATCAATATGTTTGTTTTATATTGTTGACTACTTATTTATCAAGGTCTCATACCATACAGTTAGCTTAAAATCCAGTGTGTATACATATACATATTACTCAATTAAAATGAGCAAAGTTTACTTTATGCCCTAACATTGTACATGAAAATCTGTGGAGGAATATAAAAGGGAAGACATGGTGTTTTCCTGGAGCACTCTTTCCATTTCCTCTGATCTCACTGGGTATGCAAATTAGAATTTTGCAACATTTTGGTTTTGTGTGATTTCATTTTAATGAAGATACTAGTTTGCAGAATGAAAGTTTACTACAATGCATAATTCCAAGTTTGCTTCAAACCCAGATAGTGGCAAAGCTTCAGAACATTTTTGCTGCCTAAAAGACACTTTAAACATGTAAGCTTCTGTGTCCCCTAGTCTGTTTTTTTTGTTGTTGTTGTTGTTTTGTTTGTTTTTTTGAGACAGTCTTGCTCTGTCACTCAGAATGGAGTGCAGTGGTGTGAACATGGCTCACTGTGGCCTCCATCTCCTGGGCTCAAATAATCTCCTGCCTTAGCCTCCCCAGTAGCTGGGACCACATGTTTACTTTTTAAAAATTTTTTATTTATTATTATTATACTTTAAGTTCTAGGGTACATGTGCACAATGTGCCAGTTTGTTACATATGTATACATGTGCCACGTTGGTGTGCTGCACCCATTAACTCATCATTTACATTAGGTATATCTCCTAATGCTATCCCTCCCCCATGCCCCCACCCTACAACAGGCCCCGGTGTGTGATGTTCCTCTTCCTGTGTCCATGTGTTCTCATTGTTCACCTCCCATCTATGAGTGAGAACATGCGGTGTTTGGTTTTCTGTCCTTGCGATAGTTTGCTGAGAATGATGGTTTCCAGCTTCATCCATGTCCCTACAAAGGACATGAACTCATCATTTTTTATGGCTGCATAGTATTCCATGGTGTATATGTGCCACATTTTCTTAATCCAGTCTATCACTGATAGACATTTGGGATGGTTCCAAGTCTTTGCTATTGTGAATAGTGCCACAATAAACATACGTGTGCATGTGTCTTTATAGCAGCATGATTTATAATCCTTCGGGTATATACCTAGTAATGGGATGGCTGGGTCAAATGGTATTTCTAGTTCTAGATCCTTGAGGAATCGCCACTGTCTTCCACAATGGTTGAACTAGTTTACCGTCCCACCAACAGTGTAAAAGTGTTCCTATTTCTCCACATCCTCTCCAGCACCTGTTGTTTCCTGACTTTTTAATGATCACCATTTTAACTGGTGTGAGATGGTATCTCATTGTGGTTTTGATTTGCATTTCTCTGATGGCCAGTGATGATGAGCATTTTTTCATGTGTCTGTTGGCTGCATAAATGTCTTCTTTTGAGAAATGTCTGTTCATATCCTTTGCCCACTTTTCGATGGGGTTGTTTGATTTTTTCTTGTAAATTTGTTTAAGTTCTTTGTAGATTCTGGATATTAGCCCTTTGTCAGATGGATAGATTGCAAAAATTTTCTCCCATTCTGTGGGTTGCCTGTTCACTCTGATGGTAATTTCTTTTGCTGTGCAGAAGCTCTTTGGTTTAATTAGATCCCATTTGTCAATTTTGGCTTTTGTTGCCATTGCTTTTGGTGTTTTAGACAGGAAGTCCTTGCCCATGCCTATGTCCTGAATGGTATTGCCTAGGTTTTCTTCTAGGGTTTTTAATGGTTTTCGGTCTGACATTAAGTCTTTAATCCATCTTGAATTAATTTTTGTATAAGGTGTAAGGAAGGGGTACAGTTTCAGCTTTCTATATATGGCTGGCCAGTTTTCCCAGCACCATTTATTAAATAGGGAATCCTTTCCCTATTTCTTGTTTTTGTCAGGTTTGTCAAAGGTCAGATGGTTGTAGGTGTGTGGCATTATTTCTGAGGGCTCTGTTCTGTTCCATTGGTCTATATTTCTGTTTTGGTACCAGTACCATGCTGTTTTGGTTACTGTAGCTTTGTAGTATAGTTTGAAGTCAGGTAGCGTGATGCCTCCAGCTTTGTTCTTTTGGCTTAGGATTGTCTTGGCAATGCGGGTTCTTTTTTGGTTCCATATGAACTTTAAAGTAGTTTTTTCCAATTCTGTGAAGAAAGTCATTGGTAGCTTGATGGGGATGGCATTGAATCTATAAATTACCTCGGGCAGTATGGCTATTTTCACGATATTGATTCTTCCTATCCATGAGCATGGAATGTTCTTCCATTTGTTTGTGTCCCCTTTTATTTCATTGAGCAGTGGTTTGTAATTCTCCTTGAAGAGGTCCTTCACATCCCTTGTAAGTTGTATTCCTAGGTTTTTTATTTTCTTTGAAGCAACTGTGAATGGGAGTTCACTCATGATTTGGCTCTCTGTTTCTCTGTTATTGCTGTATAGGAATGCTTGTGATTTTTGCACATTGATATTGTATCCTGAGACTTTGCTGAAGTTGCTTATCAGCTTAAGGAGATTTTTGGCTGAGACGATGGGGTTTTCTAAATATACAGTCATGTTATCTACAAACAGGGACAATTTGACTTCCTCTTTTCCTAATTGAATACCCTTTATTTCTTTCTCCTGCCTGATTGCCCTGGCCAGAACTTCCAACACTATGTTGAATAGGAGCAGTGAGAGAGGGCATTCCTCTCTTGGGCCAGTTTTCAAAGGGAATACTTACAGTTTTTGCCCATTCAGTATGATATTGGCTGTGGGTTTGTCATAAATAGCTCTTATTATTTTGAGATACATCCCATCAGTACCTAATTTATTGAGAGTTTTTAGCATGAAGCGCTGTTGAATTTTCTCGAAGGCCTTTTCTGCATCTACTGAGATAATCATGTGGTTTTTGTCTTTGGTTCTGTTTATACGATGGATTATGTTTATTGATTGGCATGTTGAACCATCCTTGCATCCCAGGGATGAAGCCCACTTGATCATGGTGGATAAGCTTTTTGATGTGCTGCTGGATTCACTTTGCCATTATTTTGTTGAGGATTTTTGCATTTATGTTCATCAGGGATATTGATCTAAAATTCTCTTTTTTTGTTGTGTCTCTGCCAGGCTTTGGTATCAGGATGATGCTGGCCTCATAAAATGAGTTAGGGAGGATTCCCTCTTTTTCTATTGATTGGAATAGTTTCAGAAGGAATGGTGCCAGCTCCTCTTTGTACCTCTGGTAGAATTCGGCTGTGAATCTGTCTGGTCCTGGACTTTTTTTGGTTGGTAGTCTCTTAATTGTTGCCTCAATTTCAGAGTCTGTTATTGGTCTATTCAGGGATTCACCTTCTTCCTGGTTTAGTCTTGGGAGGGTGTATGTGTCCAGGAATTTATCCATTTCTTCTAGATTTTCTAGTTTATTTGCGTAGAGTTGTTCATAGTATTCTCTGATGGTAATTTGTATTTCTGTGGGATCGGTGGTGATATCCCCTTTATCATTTTTTATTGTGTCTATTTGATTCTTCTCTCTTTTCTTCTTTATTAGTCTTGCTAGCGGTCTATCAATTTTGTTGATCTTTTCAAAAAACCAGCTCCTGGATTCATTGATTTTTTGAAGGGTTTTTTGTGTCTCTATCTCCTTCAGTTCTGCTCTGATCTTAGTTATTTCTTGCCTTCTGCTAGCTTTTGCATGTGTTTGCTCTTGCTTCTCTAGTTCTTTTAATTGTGATGTTAGGGTGTCAATTTTAGATCTTTTCCTGCTTTCTCTTGTGGGCATTTAGTGCTATAAATTTCCTTCTACACACTGCTTTAAATGTGTCCCAGAGATTCTGGTATGTTGTGTCTTTATTCTCATTGGTTTCAGAGAACACCTTTGTTTCTGCCTTCATTTCATTTTGTACCCAGTAGTCATTCAGGAGCAGGTTGTTCAGTTTCTATGTAGCTGAGCAGTTCTGAGTGAGTTTCTTAATCCTGAGTTCTAGTTTGATTGCACTGTGGTCTGAGAGACAGTTTTTTATAATTTCTGTTCTTTTTCATTTGCTGAGGAGTACTTTACTTCCGACTATGTGGTCAATTTTGGAATAAGTGTGATGTGGTGCTGAGAAGAATGTATATTCTGTTGATTTGGGGTGGAGAGTTCTGTAGATGTCTATTAGGTCCGCTTGGTGGAGAGCTGAGTTCAATTGCTGGATATCCTTGTTAACTTTCTGTCTCGTGGATCTGTCTAATGTTGACAGTGGGGTATTAAAGTCTCCCATTATTATTGTGTGGGAGTCTAAGTCTCTTTGTAGGTCTCTAAGGATTTGCTTTATGAATCTGGGTGCTCCTGTATTGGGTGCATATATATTTAGGATAGTTAGCTCTTCTTGTTGAATTGATCCCTTTACCATTATGTAATGGCCTTCTTTGTCTCTTCTGATCTTTGTTGGTTTAAAGTCTGTTTTATCAGAGACTAGGATTGCAACCCCTGCTTGTTTTTGTTTTCCATTTGCTTGGTAGATCCTCCTCCATCCCTTTATTTTGAGCCTATGTGTGTCTCTGCATGTGAGATGGGTCTCCTGAATACAGCATACTGATGGGTCTCGACTCTTTATCCAATTTGCCAGTCTGTGTCTTTTAATTGGAGCATTTAGCCCATTTACATTTAAGGTTAATATTGTTATGTGTGAATTTGATCCTGTCATTATGATGTTAGCTGGTTAGTTTGCTCGTTAGTTGATGCAGTTTCTTCCTAGCCTCGATGGTCTTTACAGTTGGGCATGTTTTTTGCAGTGGCTGGTACCGGTTGTTCCAATCCATGTTTAGTGCTTCCTTCAGGAGCCCTTTTAGGGCAGGCCTGGTGGTGACAAAATCTTTCAGCATTTGCTCGTCTGTAAAGTATTTTATTTGTCCTTCACTTATGAAGCTTAGTTTGTCTGGATATGAAATTCTGGGTTGAAAATTCTTTTCTTTAAGAATGTTGAATATTGGCCCCCACTCTCTTCTGGCTTGTAGAGTTTCTGCTGAGAGATCTGCTGTTAGTCTGATGGACTTCCCTTTGTGGGTAACCCGACCTTTCTCTCTGTCTACCCTTAACATTTTTTCCTTCATTTCAACTTTGGTGAATCTAACAATTATGTGTCTTGGAGTTGCTCTTCTTGAGGAGTATCTTTGTGGCGTTCTCTGTATTTCCTGTATTTGAATGTTGGCCTGCCTTGCTAGGTTGGGGAAGTTCTCTTGGATAATATCCTGAAGAGTGTTTCCAACTTGTTTCCATTCTCTCCGTCACTTTCAGGTACAGCAATCAGATGTAGATTTGGTCTTTTCACATAGTCCCATATGTTTTGGAGGATTTGTTCTTTTCTTTTTACTCTTTTTTCTCTAAACTTCTCTTCTTGCTTCATTTCATTCATTTGATCTTCAATCACTGATACCCTTTCTTCCAGTTGATCAAATCAGCTACTGAAGCTTGTGCATGCATCACGTAATTCTTGTGCCATGGTTTTCAGCTCTATCAGGTCATTTAAGGTCTTCTCTTCTCTATGCTATTTATTCTAGTTAGACATTCGTCCTATCTTTTTTGAAAGTTTTTAGCTTGTTTGCGATGGGTTCCAACATCCTCCTTTAGCTCGGAGAAGTTCGTTATTACCCATCTTCTGAAGCCTTCTTCTCTCAACTCGTCAAAGTCATTCTCTGTGCAGCTTTGTTCTGTTGCTGGCGAGGAGCTGCATTTCTTTGGAGGAGAAGAGGTGCTCTGATTTTTAGAATTTTCAGCTTTTCTGCTCTGGTTTCTCTCCATCTTTATGATTTTATCTATCTTTGGTCTTTGATCATGGTGATGTACAGATGGGGTTTTGGTGTGAATGTCTTTCTGTTTGTTAGTTTTCCTTCTAACAGTGAGGACCCTCAGCTGCAGGTCTGCTGGAGTTTGCTGGAGGTCCACTCCAGACCCTGTTTGCCTGGGTACCACCAGCGGAGGCTGCAGAACTGCAAATATTGCAGAATGGCAAATGTTGCAGCCTGATCGTTCCTCTGGAAGCTTTGTCTCAGAGGGGCACCCAGCCATACGAGGTGTCAGTTGGCCCCGACTGGGAGTTGCCTCCCAGTTAGGCTACTCGGTGGTCAGGGACCCACTTGAGGAGGCAGTCTGTCCGTTCTCAGATCTCCAGCTGCGTGCTGGGAGAACCACTACTCTCTTCAAAGCTGTCAGACAGGGACGTTTAAGTCTGCAGAAGTTTCTGCTGCCTTTTGTTCAGCTATGCCCTGCCCCCAGAGGTGGAGTCTACAGAGGCTGGCAGGCCTCCTTGAGCTGTGGTCGGCTCCACCCAGTTCGAGCTTCCAGGCTGCTTTGTTTACCTACTCAAGCTTCAGCAATGGCGGGCGCCCCTCCCCCAGCCTTGCTGCTGCCTTGCAGTTCGATCTCAGACTGCTGTGCTAGCAGTGAGCAAGGCTCCGTGGGCGTGGGACCCTCTGAGCCAGGCACAGGATATAATCTCCTGGTGTGCCGTTTGCTAAGACCATTGGAAAAGTGCAGTGTTAGGGTCAGGGTGACCCAATTTTCCAGGTGCCATCTGTCACGGCTTCCCTTGGCTAGGAAAGGGAATTCCCCGACCCCTTGTGCTTCCTGGGTGAGGTGATTCCTCGCCCTGCTTCGGCTCTGTCCGTGCGCTGCACCCACTGTCCTGCACCCACCGTCCAACGAGCCCCAGTGAGATGAACCTGGTACCTCAGTTGGAAATGCAGAAGTCACCTCTCTTCTGTGCCGCTCATGCTGGGAGCTGTAGACTGGAGCTTTTCCTATTCGGCCATCTTGGAACCTCTCATGGTTTACTTTTAATAGTGTAATACCACCTTCCAATCTTCATCCAGGTGCTACTGGTGGATCTTTGTTCTTAGAGCTCCCAGGATGGGGGCAGGCTGCTCCCAAGGTGGGGGCAAGTCTTTTGTTCTCTGACCTGGGGAGCCTCACGGATTCCAAGGAATGGATCCTTGGGCCATGCAGTGAGTGTTATAGCTCTATTATAAGCCGTGAGTCATGGAAGAGAACCGTGGAACCCAGCAACTAGTGTTCAGCTCCATTAGGATGAACCTGGGCACTTAGCTGCACAGGAACAATGGCGAGCTTCTAGCCCAATTGGGAGTGGCAATGGGTGCCTCACTGGACCAGAAGCGCAGCGGACACCCTGCCTGATCTGGAGGGATGGAAGTCAATGGTGGGTCTGCAACTGCGGCGAACAGCAGTGGTGGATGGTGAGCAAAAGCTCAGCTTGAGCCGGAGCAAACACGGACCAGAAGAATGTGCAGTTGCAAGATTTAATAGAGTGAAAACAGAGCTACCATATGATGGCAGGGGACCCAAAGGGGGTTGCCGCTCCCTGCTCAAATGCCTGGGTTTATATCCCGATCATTGTCCCTCCCCCTGTGCTCTCAGGCGACAGATGATTTGACTATTTCTTTACCTCCTGCTTTTAGCCTAATTGGTATTTTAGTGAGCCCTCTTTACTAACTGATGGGTTGGGTGTGAGTTGAGTTACAAGCCCCATGTTTAAAGGTGGGTGTGGTCACCTTCATAGCTAGGCTTAGGAATTCTTAGTCGGCCTAGGAAATCCAGCTAGTCCTATCTGTCACAGGCAGACAGATGCCCAAGAACCAGTTCATATTCACATTTTCCCAGTTGTCACCAAATATATTTTAGAGCTTGTTTGCTCAAACTGAGATCCAGTCTAGGTTAACCCATGTTGTTTGGTTATGTCTGTCTCTTTTAATATAGAATAGTTTCTCTTTTCCATTTTTTCCCTCATGGCATCAACTTGCTGAAGAGACCATGCCATTTGTCTCTTAGATCGTTTTCTCATTGTTCCCCTATCCTCTGTTTTTCCTGAAAACTGGAAAAATTTTTGGCAAGAATTCTTCTTAGGTGATGCTGTATCTTCTCTGGTCTTCCTGATTTCCTTAGACATGATGGGGAATAGAAGGCCTTCTGAGATTTTCTTTTATTTGCCTCTCTAGCTTCCTAACTCTCTAACTTCCTTCCTAACTTACTCTTTTGTGTTCAGAATTGTGCCTTACTTTTGACAGAGCTTTTTCAAATTCTAATCTTTCTCGACCTTCTTGCATTTTAGAGTATTTTCTTAGGATAAATTATTATTTTTACTTTATTTGTAAGTAAGATGTAGTATTTATTCTAGCCTACTGTGAACTGTATTCAGAGTTCCAATGAAAACAGGGTTTATCATCTGTACTGTGGACATCTAAATGATTCTTTTCAATTTGTATAACATATGGCAGGAAAATACTTCTCCCAAGCATCTTACAATTTTTGTGTTTATTTTCCATTAGTTTCTGTCAATTTAAAAAATAATACATGTATATGATGAAAATTCAAATAGTACAAAAATTTAGACAATGATAAGTTGTCTCTTTCCTGTCCCATGTTCCAAATCCCTTTGTTCCCTCCCTATTATATAACCTTAGAGAAATTCTGTTCAAGAGAAGACATGTTCAGACAAATGGGGAGTATATTGTGCATACCATTTTGGACCTTGCTTTTTTATTTAACAATATATTTTGATCATTATTGTAGAATACCAAATTAAGCCTAACTCATTCCTTTTCTAGGCCATGTAGTATTCCATCATATAGATGTCTTCATATTGATGAACATCTAATTGTTTTCCTTCAATGTTTTCATTAAAAATAAAGTAGGAAAATTCCCAGAAGTGAAATTGTTAGATCAAAGGTATATGCATCTTTTAGAGTAGATACTGCCAAATTGCTCTCTATAGTGATTGCTTCAATTAATTTATGTATTTATTTATTTATTTGAGACAGAGTCTTGCTCTGTTGCCCAGGCTGGAGTGCAGTGACATGATCTTGGCTCACTGCAACCTCCGCCTCCCAGGTTCAAGCAATTCTACTGTCTTAGGTTTCACCATGTTGCCCAGGGTGGTCTTGAACTCCTGACCTCAGATGATCCACCCGCCTCAGCCTCCCAAAGTGCTGGGATTACAGGTGTGAGCCACTGCGCCCAGCCGATTGCTTCAGTTCATAAAGGAATGCATGTTATATTGAGCATTCAGCATGATGTTGGCATTTGACTAGGTAATTTTTATCGTGTTTAGAAAACATTCATTTCTTCTACTTTATTAAGAAGTTTTTGTGTATAATGACATCTTTATTAAGATGTCATTATATTAATGACATCTGTGAAGACTATTTTTTTATAACCCCTGACATTATAAATATGGCAACCGATGTTAATAGAATTCCTAATATTAACTCATTCATTTATTCCCATGGTGAACCATACTTGCTTATATTATCTATTTTCCTGCTGACTTCCATTTAATATTTCATTATTTTTGCATCAGTATTCATATGACATGAGTACTTAGATTTCTTTTTTGTAGTATTTGACAGTTAATTTATATTACGTATACATTGTTAATTTTGTCATGTAGTTCTTGTGTCCCTTGTACTTTGTTTTCTTGATCCATCATAGCTCTAGATCTCTGTAACAACCATGAGAATTTCATTATGTTCCTGCCAATTTGTTCTTCGTATTTTCTTTTACCTTTGTTTTATGAATTTTGTAGCTATGTTTTGGCTGCATAAAGATCTTGGATAGATTTTTATTGTCTATTGCACCTTTTATCATTATGAAATATTATTCCTCATCTTGCTTAATGTTTTGTTGTTGCTGAATTCAGCCTTGTCTTGTGGTTCTTGCCTTATTTTAGTTTGCATCTGTTAGAATGTTTTTGCCCAGCCTTTTACTTTCAGCCCCTTTCAGTATCATTTTATGTGGGTCTCTTATATCAGGATATAGTCGGATTTTGCTTTGCACTCTAATCTGAGGATTTTTTTTTTTTTTACTAAGTAAATTTATACTAAGTAAAATATTTACTAAGTAAACTTAAATAAATGACATATTTTGTGCTATGTTATCATAGTTGATGTTACATTTTATGTTGAAATTGCTTTTTTGTGTGCTTAAAATATCTTTTATATAGGCTATGCCATCTTTTTTCCCATTTCAATGGAAAAGGCTAGGATATATATTTTTGAAAATCATGAATTTATATTGATATAGTCAATTCAAATTTAACAGTATAGGCTATTACTTAATTTCTTTGGTTTATATTTGTATCTTTTTACTCATATTGAAAATATTGATTCTTAATAACATTACCGTAATTACTAATTTGCTTTATTTTACAATTTACATAAAATAGCTTGTAAGGCATGCTAATTTTAATATTAACAATACAAGTTCTGGATGAAGTTTAAGATTTTCTGTTTTCTTTTTTGTTCTATTACTATGTGTAGTCAAAATCTAATCTGTTTTAAAAGTATGTTAGAATTTCTATATGAAACCATCTGGTTCTGATGTTTGTTTGTGGATTAGGTTTTTGGACAGTTTTCTCTAAGTGTTCTATGGAAATTGGTTTGTTTAGACTTTCTATCACTACTGGGGTCAGTTTGGGTAAATTATATTTTCCTAGAAAAGTTTCCATTTTATCACATAGGTTTTCAAATTTATGTGAGTTGATTTGTACAAATTTCTCTCAGCATCTTTTAAACTCCTGTTTTAATGGTATTTTTCCCTTGTCTTATTTGTGCTTGCTTTTTTTTTCTTGATTAAAAAAATTTTTCTCATTAACGTTTAAATATTGAGGATATTACTGTGTCACCCATTAGCAGGAGATCTTATGGGATGTCGGATCTTGATTCAGTAGGACTCTTAATCATGTTTTAACTTCCTTTCCTTCCCCATAAGCTGCTACCCCCAAAGTCTATTACTTTTCTAGACACTTCCCTTTGCATTTCCCAGAAGCAGTGCTTTACGGTCAGCTTGCCTCTTGTTCTGTGTACTTTCCAACCCTTCCCTTCAGCCCTTGCTGCTGTCAGAGCTATGATCCGTCAGGTCCCAGACTTGTTCTTGGAAGTTCCCACTTGGTGTGGGGCCTTCTCCTGAAGGAGGGTGATGAGTCCTCATTGGTGTTATCTGGGTTCCTACACCATATGGACTCCCCTGGCCTCCCCGTTTCTCTGTGCAGCTCCTGCTGGGACTTCCTGCACCATTCTAGACTGTGGCCCAGATCTCTTCCAGGTCTTGGTTCTTTATTGCCTGGCTTACATGTTGCAGTCTCCCCTGTCTCTGGGTTGTGCTGTAGGCATATGTTATAGGTACTTTTACTTGCTCTCCTTGTTGATCTGTATGGCTTTTAGGAGGTATCAGGAAGTTTGAATGTAGGCACTCTTGTTCTTATTTGTCTGCATTTCCAGTTATCTGCATATGTCTTGACGTTATTTTTTATCAAATTTTTTTTTGGTTGGACATAATGTTCTTTCAGTATACAGGGTAAGGATTACCATGATTTCAGGAAAAATTTCTTCAGTTATCTTTGAAGAGTTATTTGGTTGTGTTTGCTCTGTTCTCATCTTGAGGGGTGCCAATTTTATATATGTGGGCTCTTACATATTCTTTGTAGTATTTTCAAGTCTTTGTTCTTACATACTTTTCTTAGGCTTGTCTGCCAGTTTCCCGATTGTATTTTCAGTCTTTCCTTTTTTTGTTGCTTTTATCATGACTTTGAATCTGTAACAGATTTATTTTTCTCTTGCATTGCTTCTCTGAGCTCTCTCCTTCAGCTCTCAGAGGTCCTCTTTGAGTTTTAATTTCAAAGATGGAATGTTTGCATGAATTTCTTAAATTTCATGAAGAATTTCATGGTTTTTTGTTGCTGGATGCTATAATTTTCTGCTGTTTGTTCTTTGACTTTTGTTTATATATTTTTTCTTGTAGTATTTTTGGTTTTTCCCTTTTTTCCAGGCAGTATTTTTGCATAGCTCGATGCCAGTTTTCTTTGTGATTATTACTTATTTTTTATTACTTATGTTTTAATGAACCCTTATTTTTCCTGGACTGGCCATTTTTAGAAGAAAGTGTGTGTGGGAGAGAGAAGGGTCCTAGGGGCTTCCAGCAGGGAACTGTGGTAGTGAGAAGCTCAGATTTTACCTGGCAGTGCGTTCTCCTTGAGCCATTTTAGTCCCTGAAAAGAACCTCCATGGAGCCCTGTTCTTGCAGGGATTTTGTGTTTGGCATTTAGGCCTGTCTTTGGCCCACCAAGACCCACAGCTCCACAGCTAGTTACCTTCCATCCTTTGGTCCCAGCAGGTCACTCTTCCAACATGGCAGACTTGCTCTTCTTCCTCCAACCTGGCCTCTTATCTGGCTATGGTGCCAGGCAGGGAGCAGACGTACTCCAGGTGTCTGTCACGCACCCTCATTGCCTGCATTCTGAGCAAGGGGACTGTGGTTTACCATCCCCAGTTCCAGGAGAGCCTTGCCCTTTGTGTGCTTGGCCCAGGTTTGCAGAAGCATGGGTGCTCTTAGTTTACCCAGGGCTGATTTTCCAGGCCTCTTTTTATAGTTTGTGATTTGGAATTTTAGTTTGTTTTTTCATACTTGCATCAAAGTTAGGGATTTCTTTTTATGTTTCTTGTTTCCTTTTGTTTTTAATTTGGCATCATGAACAAGAACAGGGCAGAGGTATCTTTCTGCCACTATTTGTAACCAGGATTTCCACATTCTGTAGTTAAGCAGTTGTTTGATACTGTCCCAAAATTTTTGAATCTTTCTTAATCTCCTAGTGGGAAGGCATGTTTTCAGACACAGCTGGGTACTGCATCCAATAAAATACAAAGCAGACTGGGGCACAGTCCTGATTGCTAACGTAAGCATTCTGTTTCTCCCTTTTCATCCACATTGATAATGTGGAAATCACGGCTTCCACCTGTGAGTTTCTGCACAGGTACATTCTCTTGGATGTGGTTGGGACTGAGAAAAGAGTGTGTGTGCTCTTTGATCAGATGGGATAATGGAGCAGCAGTTTTTCAAATGCTTCCAGTTGCTTCAAAGAGAGAAATTTTAAGATGAATGAAAACCTTCAAGGAAATATGTAAATGGATTTCTCTAACTGTGTAGGTAGCCAGTCTGGTATCCTGAAGCAATAATAGAAATAACTTTCTTGCTGGCAGGATGAGGCTTTTGTAAACAAAGGTTGTTTTTTTTCCTTTCTTCCTCTCTTCTCCCTTCCCTTTCCTTCCGTTTTGGTACTAAATATGAATACAATAAAATCATTTTGATCATGGTCATTGGAAAGATTTTTATACTATTTGAGATAAGAATTAAGTTGTCAACCCTGGGATTTTAAATGCTGCATTATTCTGTTCTTTTATGCCTTTGAGAGTGTGATCCTTAAACTGCTGTGTTTTTTGCATCATTTTAATTTTATAATACTTGGTTGAAGAAAAGTGGTATATGCATAATTAAAACTATGACCTATTTTCAGAGTGCAAATTTTAGAACTAATAAAACTTAGAGTAACTTAAATACTAGATTTTCATTAAGTTAAACCATAGAAATAAGAGGAAAAGCTATTTTCATCTTACTTGAAGGCAGCTGCTCCCCTGGGCAGTCTCTTTGAGGCTAATTGAGAGGAGAGGCTTTAGTCTGCCCAATGTGATACCCCTCAAGACTGAAAGGTGGCCAGGGCTTTCATGAGAAACACTCCCCAGATCTTACGTTTAATTTGATTTTCATTTTACACACGCGTGTAAAGTTGCTTGCTGCTTGCTGTAATGTTGTGTTTTGATAGAACGCTTTCATTAAGTAGATACCAAGTTTTGTCACGTAAACATGATTTCGAAGCAGTTAGATGGCGCTGTGAGATGTGCATTGTAGGTCCATGACTATGCCAAATGTTATGCTTGGGGTCAGGTTCCAGCTCATGCTGAGGTCCAAAGGGAGTGGGTGGATGAGCCGATAGCTGAAGGGGGTCCGTAGGCAGGTGAAAGGTAGTTTTATTCAGCAGCTCTCTCATCAGCAGCTTACTTACACTAGCTCTCTCACACTGTTCGCCCTGTCTCAGCTGCTTAGTCCGGTGGCTCCCATACACAGCTGCGTGGTCGGCTCTCCCTTCAGGGTCAGCAGCCTAACTCTCTCTCTGGGTATGAGTGAGCCGAGCCGTGTCCTGGCTTCCCACTGTCCATCTATTAAAGCCACATTATGGCTACATGGCTATGATAACAAGTGGAGTTATATGCCTGTGCTCTAAACTTGCTGAGTCACTCTGGATGTTTACCTTGGGCTATCCTCAACCAAAGCACAGCCATGTTCCTTACATGCATATTGGGGTTCCCCCTCATTCCACCACATGACAAGCAACATGGAGAATTAGTAATTGGCTACATGTGTCTTAGTCCTCAAGCATTCATCTTGACAGCCATTCATTTCCTGTTTTCATGTGGTCTAAGATCTTTTCATGCCCTCAGACTCTGCCTTCTCCTAGTGCTTAACAGTCAATCATCATGCAAATAACCTAATGAAAGAGTTTTAGAAAGAGGAGTTTTTAAGGGATCCAAGGTTTCTTAACATTTTAACCATATCCTAAGGGATATTACTTGATTTAGATCAAAGCTGTGTCTCAAAATGTCTATTGGATGATTATCATGTTTTGATTGATGGGACCACCTGGCACATATATTATGTCTTTAATATTATATAGATATTCTTTTAGAACCTTATGATAGCATTTTCTTTAAGAAAGATACTGTTTTCTTTATTAAGACAAAAGTGATCTGTTCACACCTGAGTGCTAGAGTTAGAGTACTAGGTGCAGCAGCAGCTGTGGGGACAGGGACTGTCTTCATCGTGCAAAGGCTGCTGGCCACCACTTCCTGCGGGCATCTGTGCTTATCACCCCCTGCTGGATCGGAGGTAGCATGACCTGCTCCTCTCTGTCCCACAGAAATGCTGTAAGGCGTTATGAGAGGGATTTTGCTTTTACTTTTGAAGTAAACACATCACATAAACCAAAGACAGAAGCAGTACTGTGTTAGTATTGTTATTGCATTAGTTAATTTGGAGGGTCCTACTGTAAACTACATTACTGATAGTCTCTCTTAAACTAGATTTTGATTTGTTTGGCTCACGGTTCAATGGCTATTACAGCCATATCCCCAGTACTTGATAAGAGATCATTCAGCACTCTTGAAGGAAGGAATCTGGCTTAAGTTTTTGCTTTCTTTAAATAGGCCCACATGGCATCATGGTTTCCTTTGAAGGTAAGGCTCCTTCCTAGTAATTACATTCTTAACTGACATGAGAAGTTTGAAGGATTAAAAAAAAAAAACCAAAAAGCAAACTTCTATTTTTAGAAGCTGAAAACAGAACCATGACTTTGGCACTGATGAAGAGAAGATCAGTAATTTAGGACCTGCAGCTTTATATTCTCTCTGAGTCTTCAGTTCACAGTCCTATTTTTAGAAACTGGTTTTTATGCCTGCCTGGGAAGTCTTCTACAGTAGAATGGAGTCATCTTTGTAAAGAGAACTTAGAAATAGTAAAATAATTTATATGCTGTAAGTCAGTTCCGTTAAAAAACTTGATGTAGTAATTTACAAGAGTAGTGATAGGAAGAAGGAATCAGCTGTAGCCTGTACATCCCCAAATAAGGAATAAGAATCAGAACAGTCATGTGTGATCAACTCTAACTCTTCTAAGCTGAAGAAAAATCCACTGAACCATGTTAGAATTAAAATATTAAAAAATGGATTCGACAGTACCAGAGGCTGAGTAACTTCAACCATGTCTTTTTACCCTAGTTACTGATACTTTGAGTATATACTTTTTTACAATCATGAAGGAGAATTTTATCACAAACCTAGCTTTTAAAAACTTTTCTCCTCGTGTAACTTATGAAAATATAATTGTGGGAAGAAACATATATGAAGAATCTTTTTTTTCAGACTTTTCCTATTGTTAGTACCAGATATCTCTTGATTATCTTTTTCTTTTTCATGTCTAAGAAGTTGGGTTTACTTTTAAGTTACTCTGAAGATTTTATGATGGGGACCTGTCCTAAGAATACATTGTCTCTATGTAGTGTTTCTACACTGAAAACTTTGTGTTTCTTTTTTTTTTTGAGACGGAGTCTCGCTCTGTCACCCAGGCTGGAGTGCAATGGTGTGATCTCACTGCAAGCTCTGCCTCCTGGGTTCATGCCATTCTCCTGTCTCAGCTTCCCGAGTAGCTGGGACTACAGGCGCCCGCCACCACGCCCGGCTAATTTTTTTGTATTTTTAGTAGAGATGGGGTTTCACGGTGTTCGGCAGGATGGTCTCGATCTCCTGACCTTGTGATCCACCCGCCTTGGCCTCCCAAAGTGCTGGGATTACAGGTGTGAGCCACCGCGCCCAGCCAAAAACTTTGTGTTTCTATTCCACACTGCAGACATTTATTTGCCAGTCCTCAATAAGGGGTTTTATGCCTGATATTTTTATCATCTGTCTCTGGTAACAGGTAGATAAGAGATAAGAGAGGTAGCTCTCTGAAGACTTGAGCTGATAAACCTTAAAGAAGCTCAAAACTTATCAATGGATGAAAACAGCAAAGCATCCTTTCTTAATGCAAATTTTATCTTTTTTTTTTTTCTTTTTTTTTTTCGAGATGAGGTCTTGCTCTGTTGCCCAGGCCGGACTGCAGTGGCATTATCATAGCTCACTGTAGCCTTGAACTCCTGGACTCCAGCCATCCTCCCACCTCAGCCTCCTGAGTAGCTAGGACTACAGGCTAGCTACTCACCACCACGCTCAGCTAATTTTTAAATTTTTTGTAGAGATGGAGGTCTTGTGATGGTACCTGGGCTGGTTTTGAACTCCTGACCTCAAGCAATACTCCGCCTCAGCCTCCTAAAGTGCTGGAATTATGGGTGTGAGTCACTGTGCCTGGCCAAATTTCATTTTATAAGCAACCATATTCTTAGTAAGAGACTGTATTAGGAACTCATGTGGAAAATATTCCATCTCCCCAAATATGGCACAAGGCACTGCATTTGAGTTCTCCATATCTACAGAACACACTTCCTCTTAAAGATCTGAAGACACTCTTCTCCACCCACTGAGTCATTCTAAGTAATTACTGTGGATGACAGAATTCCAAATTTTCATTTAATATTGCTGGGAGATACGGTCTTTGGTTAAATTCATTTGTCTCTTCCAGATATATGCATGAGTGTTCAAACCATACTAGTCAAATGACTGCTAAAAGTAGGAAGTCTTAATTTGATTTTGTTATTTGCTATTTGTGAGTGTAAGCTTTTGTTATCAGATTAGAAGAGATGAAAAGGATTGAAAATACTCTGTATCAACAAGAATGAAAAGAACTGAACATTTTCTTACCTTCACTGTAGTGGAAGGACAGATTGGTAAATTTTTTCTGGAGACAATTTTATAATATGTATCAAATATTAAAATACTATGCCCTTGGACCTAGCAGTTCCCCCTCTAAGTATATTTACTAAGGAAATAGTAGACAGGTAGGGAAAGGTATTTGTACAAATTTTAGCATTATTTACAATAGCAAAAGGAAACATATTTTTAAATAGAAGATTAGTTGAATTACAGCATTTCATACAAGGGAATATTATGGTATTGTTAAAAGGACATTTCATATTCTATTTTTACTGGCATCAAAAAATATTCACTGTATACTACTACATGAGAAAAGATTATGAAACAACATAGTGTGTATAAAATGATTTTATTTTTGTTCTTAAAATATATATGGATATATTTTTATGTCTGGTTATACACTATATTGCTTTTTACAGTGGTTATTTTCAAGGGGAAAGAGAGACTAACGGGCCTCTCATAGTCTTAATTTTTACACTTCTATATGGTTTAAAATTTTATATTTACTTTTTTGCTTCATAGTCAAAGAGAATAGTAAAGATATTTACATTCTGAAAAATGAAAGAATATACAGGTTTGGAGTAGGCAGTATGACATTGACCTTTGCGTTGTACTCCTCTGTGGAGTGTCCTTATAGTATTTGCTGAAGCGTATCATGCACAATCTCCAGTCCATTTCATGCAGTTTGGCACATTTTCCCTGTGCAGTGAGAAGATTGCTCACGTCTGGCATCGTGATTCAGGTGTTTCCACTGCATGACAGTGAAGCCCTGAAGAAGCTTGAGGACACCTGGTACACTCGGTTTGCTTTGAAGTATCAGCCCATAGGTATGTGTCAGTACTTGTTCTCTTAAAGAAGAGGAAGGCCTCTGATGAAAAGTTACGATCTAGCAGTGGAGTCAGCTCCCTTGGGCAGATATTTAGTGCTCTACTGGGCAGGGATCACCAGCTACATGTGGGAAAACATTTTGATGGAGGGAATAAGATAGGTTAGATGACCCCTTTTTTCTTTTTTTAAACTTTTTTTTTTTTTTTTTTGAGATAGGGTCTCACTATGTCACAGGCTGGAGTGCAGTGGGATGATCACAGCTTACTGCAGCCTTGACCTTCCAGACTTAATCAATCCTCCCATCTCAGCCTTCTGAGTAGCTGAGATCACAGGCGTGCACCACCATCCCCAGCTAATTTTTTGTAAAGACGGGGTTTTGCCGTGTTGCTCAGGCTGATCTTGAACTCATGCTCAAGCGATCCTTGTGCCTTGGGCTCCCAAAGTGTTGGGATTATGGGTCTGAGCTATTGTGCCTTGCATTTTTTGATGTTCTAATACTACCATAGATCAGTGGAATCACAGGCTTTTACTACCCTTCACCAACAACACAGACAGTTCAGAGTGGCCTTCCTGAATGTGTGTCAGAGTTGGAACCAAACAAGTTTTTTTGTTTTTGTTTTAGTTTTTGTTTTGAGATGGAGTTTCACTCTTGTTGCCCAGGCTAGAGTGCAATGGTACAATCTCACCTCACTGCAACCTCCACCTCCCAGGTTGAAGCAATTCTCCTGCCTCAGCCTCCCATGTAGCTGGGATTACAGGCATGTGCCACCATGCCTGGCTAATTTTTTGTATTTTTGGTAGAGATGGGGTTTCACCATGTTGGCCAGGCTAGTTTCGAACTCCTGACCTTAGGTGATCCACCCACCTTGGCCTCCCAAAGTGCTGGAATTACAGGTGTGAGCCACCGTGCCCAGCCTCAGACAAGTTTTAATAAGAATTTAGTTTGACTATAAATGACTATTTTGTATTTGAAAATTTCTATTTTTGAGGAGCCAGTTATTTAGAATGAAACAAGCTATGCCACACTTAGGGCAACTAGCAGGCCAAACATCTTTTGAGGTGATTTGTAATTACCTTGGCATGCATTACTGGATCTGTCAATTTTCTTTGAATATAATTATAAGAATAATTATTAATTTATTTGGTATGTGCTGGACATTATTTAAAATTTTGTCAATATGGATGTTCAAATATTTTAGTCTGGTTATGTTTTTTAAGCTGGTAGATTTCACCTTTGCATTACTATCATTTTTTTTTCTTTAAAGGACATTTTCCTTTTGGTTTTGTTTAATGGTATCCTAAA
This sequence comes from Homo sapiens, assembly GCF_000001405.40. NCBI lineage: Eukaryota > Metazoa > Chordata > Mammalia > Primates > Hominidae > Homo > Homo sapiens. The sequence goes on along the minus strand of NC_000003.12, from coordinate 43,579,048 downwards.
ATAATTTTCTTTCTGTTTTCTATTTCTGAAAACAACTATTATATAATGTTTTACCAAACAAAAATTGTTGTAAGATCAAACCCTAAATTACATTTTGAATTTTGTTTATATTCTCTGAAAGGAAAAGTTTTGTTATTGTTAATTCCAGGTCATACAATAGTCATTTTATATTACACTTAACAACTGTTTAACTTTGTTTTGGCATTTAAGTGGCAGGAAATTTGAATATTGCCTCTAGGACTTGTAAAGTGACTATCTGTTAGCTACTCCTTTTTTTTTTTTTTTTTTTTTTTTTTTTTGAGATGGAGTCTTGCTCTGTGGCCCATGCCGGAGTGCAATGGTGTGATCTCAGTTCACTGCAATCTCCACTTCCCAGGTTCAAGTGATTTTCCTGCCTCAGCCTCCTGAGTAGCTGGGACTACAGGTACACACCACCATGCCCGGCTAATTTTTGTATTTTTGGTAGAGACGGGGTTTCCCCATGTTGGCCAGGCTGGTCTTGAACTCCTGACCTCAGGTGATTCGCCCGCCTTGGCCTCCCAAAGTGCTGGGATTATAGGTGTGAGCCACTGCTCCCGGCCTCTGTTAGCTACTTCTTAGAAAGTAAGGGGAGAAAGTGAGTCGATGGTGAAGGCTAGGCATGGGGTGGTAGTGGATTTGGGGTCGCTGGGGACTGAGACTGGTGATAGCATCTGGGACATAGGTGGATCTTGAGGCTCCTTGAGATTGAAAGGGGAAGGTCATCTGCTGTGGAGCCAAGTGTCATGAGCATCTTTTAAAAAGAAATGATCGGATGTTCTTTAACCTGATTTAAATTTGAGGTGAAATCATACCTACTGTTTTCATTTGCTCTTGGGTTAGGGGGAAGAATTAAGGATAGGAGAAAATAGCCTATCTCAGTTCATTCTAACTCATTTTTGTAGACTGCTCAAATTATCTTAAGAAAAATATGTTAACTGTGTATTATTAACTAAGAAATAATAACACCAACTGTCACACTTCCTCTCACCCCCTGCTTCCCACCCTGGTCCTGGTACAAGATGCTCTTATGATCCAAGCACTCCCCATGTGGATGAGGCTGGCAAAGGATGCAGTGTTGGTGACCCCTCTAGAGTCATTTAGCTTGTGTTGAGTTCACAGAACATTAGCAGTCATGTTGCTTGGACCTTCTTCTGCCCAGTGCATATATGAAAGTGTTGATAAATGTGTTCCATGGCTGTTCTGGAAGTTTATGTGTAGAATCCTGTTTTGTGCTTTTGAATAATTTTTCTTTAGTGTATTGAAAAATCTTCCATAACACATTGATGAAAGTTTATGTCTCTGGGTAGGGAAGAGCAGAATTTTGTGGATGGGGAGTCTTCGTCAAAAAGAACATTTATAACACTAAGTGGGAGAAAAGTGGGGAGCATAAATTAAACCCCCAAATTAATGTTCAGTGGACATGGCTGAACTTAAATTAGGACCTTGGAGATTTTGGGTAAGCTACAAGATGAGTTTTCCTTTGGGAAGAAGGTATCCATCAGGTGAGGGGAAACAGAGTCCAGGCACCTGGCGGAGCACACCCCCCAGCTAAGGCCTGGCCCCTAACCTGGGGGAAATGTTGGACCTGCCATGCAGACAAGCAGGGTCTTTATACTGCATGGAGGGTAGATTTACCACCACACGCTGTTTGGGAAGTGAGGGTTGAATGATCCCCACTTAACTAAAAAATGAATAAGCGTACTTGAAATGATTTTTTAAAGTGTTTGGTAGTCTATACTTATGTTCTTTCTTTGTTTCCACTATAGACAGTATTCGTGGCTACTTTGGGGAAACAATTGCTCTGTACTTTGGATTTTTGGAGTATTTCACTTTTGCATTAATCCCCATGGCTGTCATTGGGTTACCTTACTACTTGTTTGTGTGGGAAGACTATGACAAGTACGTGATCTTTGCCTCGTTCAACCTCATCTGGTCCACGGTGATTCTGGAACTGTGGAAGCGTGGCTGTGCCAACATGACCTACAGGTGGGGGACACTGCTCATGAAGAGAAAGTTTGAGGAGCCCCGGCCAGGATTTCATGGTGTCTTGGGTATCAATTCCATCACTGGGAAGGAGGAGCCTCTGTACCCCAGCTACAAGAGACAGTTGCGCATTTACCTGGTCTCCCTGCCATTCGTGTGCCTCTGCCTCTATTTCTCACTGTATGTCATGATGATTTACTTCGACATGGAGGTTTGGGCCTTGGGTCTACATGAGAACAGCGGGTCTGAGTGGACCAGTGTCCTGTTGTATGTGCCCAGCATCATCTATGCCATTGTGATTGAGATCATGAATCGTCTCTATCGATATGCTGCCGAGTTTTTAACTTCATGGGGTAAGACTTGAGGCTTTATATTCACGTCTTACTTGCCTGTAAGAAATGTTGCCTAGATCATGGGATTCACATAGCTGCTACCTTGCAGAGAAAATAGATGTTGCTCTTGGCTCATTATAGAGACATAAGGAAAAATTTATCAGCTTTGTGAACACTGATGATCTCCATGCCATGGTTATCGTAACTCTCATTTATTATGTGTTAATTACTATGTTCTAGGTGCCCTGCTAAGCACTTTATTCACAGTATCTCACCATCACCTTCTCAAGGGTACCGTGAAGTAGAAGTTATTTCACCCTTTTATGGATAAAGATAACTGATGCTTAATGAGGTTCAGACAGCAAATAGTGGAGCTAGACTAATTCAGACCTATCTTTCCAAAGCTTGTGCTCCTAATACATAACATTGTGTTTCATGCCGAGGGTAAAATAGATTGAAATTGTTTCACTGGCTAGAGCCACAGAAGAAAGAAAAAAAAAATGTCTTCATGATACTCAGCTGAATCAACTATGACCAGTTTCCTAAAATGGAGTGTCTAGTTGGTGTGAGGCACTGAGGACTGCTGTTGAGTTCATTGAAGGCAGGTGTTTATGGATGTATCTGTGGTAAAAAAGGAACTTGGTTATAAGTTGAAAATGGTCTTGATAGGCCATTGACTCTTTATTTATTCATTCAAACCAATGAACAAATTCGCTATATTATTCCCTAGGAAGAAGTCAAAGCCTTAACTTTATGGGACATAAATATGTTTTAGGGGCCAGACGCAGTGGCTCACGCCTGGAATCCCAGCACTTTGGGAGGCTGAGGTGGGCAGATCACAAGTTCAGGAGTTCGAGACCAGCCTGGCCAATATGGTGAAACCCCGTCTCTACTAAAAATAAAAAAATTTAGCTGGGCGTGGTGGCACACGCCTGTAGTCCCAACTACTCAGGAGGCTGAGGCAGGAGAATCACTTGAATCCAGGAGGCAGAGGTTGCAGTGAGCCGAGATCGTGCCACTGCAGTCTAGTCTGGGCGACAGAGCAAGACTCCGTCTCACAAAAAAAAAAAGATGATTTAAATTATTTTTATTAGTTGTATGACAATATCAGCTGTCATTTATCAAGTACTTTCCTTGTGCTAATACTAGGCTAAAGTTTTATATTATTTCTGATCCTGAGAGTGACCCTGGGAGGAAGATGGTCAGCCTTGTTTTGAGGGAATAAGGCTGAGTATCAGGAGGTTAAGTAACTTACCCAAGGTTAGGCAGTGGCTGAGTAGCTGAGTTGGTGTTCAAATATAGGTCAGTCCAACACTCTATGTGTAAGATGACACTTCTCTTCAGAATCTTCCTTTTTGTCATTTTATCTTGCTGTTTTGGGATCTATGCAGTATTACCTTTTCTAGGTGAAGATAGAAATTTGAGTTTCCTTTCAAGTTAACCCTTGTAAGCCACATGAAACTTTACTTACAGAACTTTATTTACAGAAAACTTTATTTATTGCCCTCTTCTCTAGAGGTTACTATTATTAGTTTTCACTATTACTTCTTATACAGGGTCTTTGGGTGGCTGTCTGTAGGATTGTTTGCCAGCACTTCCCAAATTTCTTTGTAGCAGTAATTTAAAAAATAATTTCAGACTACAGTGCTATTGCAGTACCCTGAAAAATGTGTCCCTGTTTGATGCTCTTGGTGGTAAGGCATAGCTGTGATTGACAGCCTAGTACATTTACTGACTGAGGCTCTGATGTTGGACATCTCCGCCCTCAATGCAACTCACTTTACCTCATAACAGTGCTTTCGTATTGTTTTCTTACTGAGAAGTTACCTGTGTGTTTTAATGTTTTAGAGAATCACAGATTGGAATCTGCCTATCAGAACCATCTAATTCTGAAAGTTTTAGTGGTAAGTACAGCGTTTATGTACAAATCCATTTTATGAAACTGGTATATACTACATAATATATAGGAATACAAATATGAAGAGTTGCTTCTAATCTAAGATATCAATATATTTTGTGCAAATAGGCAAGGATTGATTAATAAATATGTGTACCTCTGTGTTCAGTAGCCTTATTACAAATGTGCATGTGATGTAAGACTTCAAAATATAGGAGTTAGTATTATAGCCAATTTCCAGTTATTTAAAAACTAGGCCAGGTGTGGTGGTTCATACCTGTAATCTCAGCACTTTGGAAGGCCTATGCTGGTGGATCAAGAGTTCGAGACCAGCCTGGCCAACATGGTGAAACCCTGTCTCTACTAAAAATAGAAAAATTAGCTGGCTATGATGACGCAGGCCTGTAATCCCAGCTACTTGGGAAGCTGAGGCAGGAGAATCGCTTGAACTCAGGAGGTGGAGGTTGCAGTGAGCCAAGATGGTACCATTGCACTCCAGCTTGGGTGACAGAGCGAGACTCTGTCTCAAAAAAAAAAAAAAGAAAGAAAGGAAACTAACGGGCCAGACACGGTAGCACATGCCTGTAATCCCAGCACTTTGGGAAGCTTGAGGCAGGTGGATCACTTGAGGCCGGGAGTTTGAGACCAGCCTGGCTAGCACAGTGAAAACCTGTCTCTACCATAAAATACAAAAAAAATTCACCGGGTATGGTGGCACCTGTAATCCCAGCTACTGGGGTGACTGAGGCAGGAGAATCGCTTGAACCCAGGAGGCGGGGGTTGCAGTGAGCCGAGATTGCACCACTGCACTCCAGCCTGGGTGACAGAGCGAGACCCTGTCTCAAAAAACAAAAACAACAACAATAACAACAAAACTAACCCACTTTTTAGATATGTTTCTATTCTTTTCCTTTTGGTGATTTCTTTGAATGTTTTGCTATTTAGCAATCCTTCCTGTCACCACAACCTGTTTAGTGATGGAATATTACATTAAAAAAAATTTTTTTTGTTAGATTTCCAAAGTTCAAAAGGTTCCCAGCATGTTTTGACAGGTGGGAGGAAAGAGACAGAGAGAAAGCAGTATGTAACCTGCTTGCTGTTTGTTAAAAGCTGACATGTCGTGCCTCTTTCTACCATTATTATAAATAATAAAGAAGTACCAGCTTGAAAACACCTCATTTATCGGGGGTTTACCTCAGTCATCTGTAACATAAGTGAGAATCAAGAAAGTTACCTGAAGAATCATCTGAACTTTCAACTGGAATTGATTTAACACAGTCCGTGTACTTTACTCCCAAGAGAAGGATGCAGGCCCTCTTTTAGAATCTCTGTTCTAGCTGTAGAAATCATTCTAAGAAGTTTATCTATCTGGTTTTTCGGTCCTTAAAAAATCAGAAATCACCATCATGAGGGTGTTTAGATTTCTGGAAGTAGGCAAACCTACAGAGAAAGAACAGGTAAGGAAATGAAAAGCTGTCATAAGAGATAAGAATTCAACAATTGGGCAATAGGAAAGGGAAAAGTAGCCCTACATATCCAAAAGGCTTCGAAGGCCTCCTTCACACCGTGAAATGGCTGATACTTAAAATGTTGGTGCTAAATCAGCTAGGAAGTTCTGTTCTGTGCCCTCTGTGTAAGAAAGTAAAGGAATATGGGATACATTAAAAAGTTCATTCGAAAAGGTTATATAACAGGAGGAGCTTTTTCCCTCAGAGGTAAAAACATTGTTTGTCTTAAAGAATTCAGTTATTTATGAGACTTTATTATTCTCTGATGATGCCAGATACAGTTAGGTAACTTCCTTGTAAAAAAAAAAAAAAGCCGTTGGTTAAAGTCTTCTTCCTCCACGGTGCTTCTTAGGCCTCTCTCTTCCTTTTTAATCTTAAGGGGATGGTGTTTCTTAGCCTTCCCAGGCTTTTGCTTTTCAACTTCTGCTCTAACTTAGCACCCCTGTCCTGCGGTCGTGTTGATCTTACTGCTCACTTTCTAGAATGACTCCCCATCTCCGCAGTAATTAAGCACTCACACCTGTACACATAGCAGCCTTTGTCTAAGTGATGCTACTGGGTTGGAAGTAGTCAGCATGGGGGCTGGGAGGCAGAAAGGAAACCCATTGGTGCAGGAAGTAAGCTATAGGTTCTTGAGCAGGGAACTCCTGGAAGAGATGGCACTTTTTGTGGCAGGATCCCCTTGATTGGTAATCCCCTTCACCCAGCCTGCTTCTGTGTATCTGGCAGGGCAGGGGAGTTCATGCTTATGGTGACAAAGATGCTTCCCAGGCCAGACTGGTTGTTATAGCCTCCCAGTTACCTGCTGTCTCTCTGCGATAGAGAGAATCTCAGGTACATAGGCATGAAGAGGCCTCTTATATCAGGCCCTTGTGGCAGGGGCCCCCTTGCCAGTGCCACCCATCTGCCCCACTTACTTTTGATGAGGTTTCCAGGCATAGGCTTGCTGTGATAGGGTCCTTCTTGCCAGTGCTGCCTGGCCATCCTGGGATCTCTCTGTGGAGCAGGGGAGTCCCAGGCCCAGCAAGGAAGAAGAGCACTTCCCCAGGAAACTTATTGTTGGTGGGGGGGTCCTGATTGATTTCCCCTTGCCAATTTAGCAGGGCTCCCCTGGCACTGACAGGATTCCTATTCAAATGTGGGAGGAATGAGCCTACTTGGGCTACCTGGGTGGTAGGTTGGGGTTGGGAAATGTCAGGCCTTGGTCTCCTCCTTCTGTTGGGTGGGGGAACTTAAGGTGTGCACGTGCTGTGCTGTTCCTTCAGCTCTGGGGTCCTAAACCATCTCGTCTTCCTTTAAGCACCTTTCAGAGTTCTCCTTTGGTTGCCTTGTTTGTTATTTCCAGAGTTTGTTTATTTAATAAGGAGACATGGGGAGAAACAAGTCTTTACCATTTCATTTAGACTGGAAGTCTCCCATTACATTTTTCTTTTTTTTTTTTTTTTAATGTAGGAAAATACTTCTTTTTTTTTTTTATACTTTAAGTTTTAGGGTACATGTGCACATTGTGCAGGTTAGTTACATATGTATACATGTGCCATGCTGGTGCGCTGCACCCACTAACTCGTCATCTAGCATTAGGTATATCTCCCAATGCTATCCCTCCCCCCTGCCCCCACCCCACAACAGTCCCCAGAGTGTGATATTCCCCTTCCTGTGTCCATGTGATCTCATTGTTCAGTTCCCACCTATGAGTGAGAATATGCAGTGTTTGGTTTTTTGTTCTTGCGATAGTTTACTGAGAATGATGATTTCCAGTTTCATCCATGTCCCTACAAAGGACATGAACTCATCATTTTTTCTGGCTGCGTAGTATTCCATGGTGTATATGTGCCACATTTTCTTAATCCAGTCTATCATTGTTGGACATTTGGGTTGGTTCCAAGTCTTTGCTATTGTGAATAATGCCGCAATAAACATACGTGTGCATGTGTCTTTATAGCAGCATGATTTATAGTCCTTTGGGTATATACTCAGTAATGGGATGGCTGGGTCAAATGGTATTTCCAGTTCTAGATCCCTGAGGAGTCGCCACACTGACTTCCACAATGGTTGAACTAGTTTACAGTCCCACCAACAGTGTAAAAGTGTTCCTATTTCTCCACATCCTCTCTAGCACCTGTTGTTTCCTGACTTTTTAATGATTGCCATTCTAACTGGTGTGAGATGGTATCTCATTGTGGTTTTGATTTGCATTTCTCTGATGGCCAGTGATGATGAGCATTTTTTCATGTGTTTTTTGGCTGCGTAAATGTCTTCTTTTGAGAAGTATCTGTTCATGTCCTTCGCCCACTTTTTGATGGGGTTGTTTGTTTTTTTCTTGTAAATTTGTTGGAGTTCATTGTAGATTCTGGATATTAGCCCTTTGTCAGATGAGTAGGTTGCGAAAATTTTCTCCCATTTTGTAGGTTGCCTGTTCACTCTGATGGTAGTTTCTTTTGCTGTGCAGAAGCTCTTTAGTTTAATTAGATCCCATTTGTCAATTTTGTCTTTTGTTGCCATTGCTTTTGGTGTTTTAGACATGAAGTCCTTGCCCATGCCTATGTCCTGAATGGTAATGCCTAGGTTTTCTTCTAGGGTTTTTATGGTTTTAGGTCTAACGTTTAAGTCTTTAATCCATCTTGAATTGATTTTTGTATAAGGTGTAAGGAAGGGATCCAGTTTCAGCTTTCTACATATGGCTAGCCAGTTTTCCCAGCACCATTTATTAAATAGGGAATCCCTTCCCCATTGCTTGTTTTTGTGAGGTTTGTCAAAGATCAGATAGTTGTAGATATGCGGCGTTATTTGTGAGGGCTCTGTTCTGTTCCATTGATCTATATCTCTGTTTTGGTACCAGTACCATGCTGTTTTGGTGACTGTAGCCTTGTAGTATAGTTTGAAGTCAGGTAGTGTGATGCCTCCAGCTTTGTTCTTTTGGCTTAGGGTTGCCTTGGCGATGCGGGCTCTTTTTTGGTTCCATATGAACTTTAAAGTAGTTTTTTCCAATTCTGTGAAGAAAGTCATTGGTAGCTTGATGGGGATGGCATTGAATCTGTAAATTACCTTGGGCAGTATGGCCATTTTCACAATATTGATTCTTCCTACCCATGAGCATGGAATGTTCTTCCATTTGTTTGTATCCTCTTTTATTTCCTTGAGCAGTGGTTTGTAGTTCTCCTTGAAGAGGTCCTTCACATCCCTTGTAAGTTGGATTCCTAGGTATTTTATTCTCTTTGAAGCAATTGTGAATGGGAGTTCACTCCTGATTTGGCTCTCTGTCTGTTGTTGGTGTATAAGAATGCTTGTGATTTTTGTACATTGATTTTGTATCCTGAGACTTTGCTGAAGTTGCTTATCAGCTTAAGGAGATTTTGGGCTGAGACAATGGGGTTTTCTAGATATACAATCATGTCATCTGCAAACAGGGACAATTTGACTTCCTCTTTTCCTAATTGAATACCCTTTATTTCCTTCTCCTGCCTAATTGCCCTGGCCAGAACTTCCAACACTATGTTGAATAGGAGTGGTGAGAGAGGGCATCCCTGTCTTGTGCCAGTTTTCAAAGGGAATGCTTCCAGTTTTTGCCCATTCAGTATGATATTGGCTGTGGGTTTGTCATAGATAGCTCTTATTATTTTGAAATACATCCCATCAATACCTAATTTATTGAGAGTTTTTAGCATGAAGGTTTGTTGAATTTTGTCAAAGGCTTTTTCTGCATCTATTGAGATAATCATGTGGTTTTTGTCTTTGGCTCTGTTTATATGCTGGATTACATTTATTGATTTGCGTATATTGAACCAGCCTTGCATCCCAGGGATGAAGCCCACTTGATCATGGTGGATAAGCTTTTTGATGTGCTGCTGGATTCGTTTTGCCAGTATTTTATTGAGGATTTTTGCATCAATGTTCATCAAGGATATTGGTCTAAAATTCTCTTTTTTGGTTGTGTCTCTGCCCGACTTTGGTATCAGAATGATGCTGGCCTCATAAAATGAGTTAGGGAGGATTCCCTCTTTTTCTATTGATTGGAATAGTTTCAGAAGGAATGGTACCAGTTCCTCCTTGTACCTCTGGTAGAATTCGGCTGTGAATCCATCTGGTCCTGGACTCTTTTTGGTTGGTAAGCTATTGATTATTGCCACAATTTCAGCTCCTGTTATTGGTCTATTCAGAGATTCAACTTCTTCTTGGTTTAGTCTTGGGAGAGTGTATGTGTCGAGGAATTTATCCATTTCTTCTAGATTTTCTAGTTTATTTGCGTAGAGGTGTTTGTAGTATTCTCTGATGGTAGTTTGTATTTCTGTGGGATCGGTGGTGATATCCCCTTTATCATTTTTTATTGCGTCTATTTGATTCTTCTCTCTTTTTTTCTTTATTAGTCTTGCTAGCGGTCTATCAATTTTGTTGATCCTTTCAAAAAACCAGCTCCTGGATTCATTCATTTTTTGAAGGGTTTTTTGTGTCTCTATCTCCTTCAGTTCTGCTCTGATTTTAGTTATTTCTTGCCTTCTGCTAGCTTTTGAATGTGTTTGCTCTTGCTTTTCTAGTTCTTTTAATTGTGATGTTAGGGTGTCAATTTTGGATCTTTCCTGCTTTCTCTTGTGGGCATTTAGTGCTATAAATTTCCCTCTACACACTGCTTTGAATGCGCCCCAGAGATTCTGGTATGTTGTGTCTTTGTTCTCGTTGGTTTCAAAGAACATCTTTATTTCTGCCTTCATTTCGTTATGTACCCAGTAGTCATTCAGGAGCAGGTTGTTCAGTTTCCATGTAGTTGAGCGGTTTTGAGTGAGATTCTTAATCCTGAGTTCTAGTTTGATTGCACTGTGGTCTGAGAGATAGTTTGTTATAATTTCTGTTCTTTTACATTTGCTGAGGAGTGCTTTACTTCCAACTATGTGGTCAATTTTGGAATAGGTGTGGTGTGGTGCTGATAAAAATGTATATTCTGTTGATATGGGGTGGAGAGTTCTGTAGATGTCTATTAGGTCCACTTGGTGCAGAGCTGAGTTCAATTCCTGGGTATCCTTGTTGACTTTCTGTCTCGTTGATCTGTCTAATGTTGACAGTAGGGTGTTAAAGTCTCCCATTATTAATGTGTGGGAGTCTTAAGTCTCTTTGTAGGTCTCTAAGGATTTGCTTTATGAATCTTGGTGCTCCTGTATTGGGTGCATATATATTTAGGATAGTTAGCTCTTCTTGTCGAATTGATCCCTTTACCATTATGTAATGGCCTTCTTTGTCTCTTTTGATCTTTGTTGGTTTAAAGTCTGTTTTATCAGAGACTAGGATTGCAACCCCTGCCTTTTTTTGTTTTCCATTGGCTTGGTAGATCTTCCTCCATCCTTTTATTTTGAGCCTGTGGGTGTCTCTGCACGTGAGATGGGTTTCCTGAATACAGCACACTGATGGGTCTTGAGTCTTTATCCAGTTTGCCCGTCTGTGTCTTTTAATTGGAGCATTTAGTCCATTTACATTTAAAGTTAATATTGTTATGTGTGAATTTGATCCTGTCATTATGATGTTAGCTGGTTAGTTTGCTCGTTAGTTGATGCAGTTTCTTCCTAGTCTCGATGGTCTTTACATTTTGGCATGATTTTGCAGTGGCTGGTACCAGTTGTTCCTTTCCATGTTTAGTGCTTCCTTCAGGAGCTCTTGTAAGGCAGGCCTGGTGGTGACAAAATCTCTCAGCATTTGCTTGTCTATAAAGTATTTTATTTCTCCTTCACTTATGAAGCTTAGTTTGTCTGGATATGAAATTCTGGGTTGAAAATTCTTTTCTTTAAGAATGTTGAATATTGGCCCCCACTCTCTTCTGGCTTGTAGAGTTTCTGCCGAGAGATCTGCTGTTAGTCTGATGGGCTTCCCTTTAAGGGTAACCCGACCTTTCTCTGTGGCTGCCCTTAACATTTTTTCCTTCATATCAACTTTGGTGAATCTGACAATTATGTGTCTTGGAGTTGCTCTTCTCGAGGAGTATCTTTGTGGCGTTCTCTGTATTTCCTGAATCTGAACGTTGGCCTGCCTTGCTAGATTGGGGAAGTTCTCCTGGATAATATCCTGCAGAGTGTTTTCCAACTTGGTTCCATTCTCCCCATCACTTTTAGGTACACCAATCAGATGTAGATTTGGTCTTTTCACATAGTCCCATATTTCTTGGAGGCTTTGCTCATTTCTTTTTATTCTTTTTTCTCTAAACTTCCCTTCTCACTTCATTTCATTCATTTCATCTTCCATTGCCGATACCCTTTCTTCCAGTTGATTGCATCAGCTCCTGAGGCTTCTGCATTCTTCACGTAGTTCTCGAGCCTTGGTTTTCAGCTCCATCAGCTCCTTTAAGCACTTCTCTGTATTGGTTATTCTAGTTATAGATTCTTCTGAATTTTTTTCAAAGTTTTCAACTTCTTTGCCTTTGGTTTGAATGTCCTCCCGTAGCTCAGAGTAATTTGATCGTCTGAAGCCTTCTTCTCTCAGCTCGTCAAAGTTATTCTCCATCCAGCTTTGTTCCGTTGCTGAGGAACTGCGTTCCTTTGGAGGAGGAGAGGCGCTCTGCTTTTTAGAGTTTCCAGTTTTTCTGTTCAGGTTTTTCCCCATCTTTGTGGTTTTATCTACTTTTGGTCTTTGATGATGGTGATGTACAGATGGGTTTTTGGTGTGGATGTCCTTTCTGTTTGTTAGTTTTCCTTCTAACAGACAGGACCCTCAGCTTCAGGTCTGTTGGAATACCCTGCCGTGTGAGGTGTCAGTGTACCCCTGCTGGGGGGTGCCTCCCAGTTAGGCTGCTCGGGGGTCAGGGGTCAGGGACCCACTTGAAGAGGCAGTCTGCCCATTCTCATATCTCCAGCTGCGTGCTGGGAGAACCACTGCTCTCTTCCAAGCTGTCAGACAGGGATATTTAAGTCTGCAGAGGTTACTGCTGTCTTTTTGTTTGTCTGTGCCCTGCCCCCAGAGGTGGAGCCTACAGAGGCAGGCAGGCCTCCTTCAGCTGTGGTGGGCTCCACCCAGTTCGAGCTTCCCAGCTGCTTTGTTTACCTAATCAAGCCTGGGCAATGGCGGGCGCCCCTCCCCCAGCCTCGCTGCCGCCTTGCAGTTTGATCTCAGACTGCTGTGCTAGCAATCAGCGAGACTCCGTGGGCGTAGGACCCTCCGAGCCAGGTGCAGGATATAATCTCGTGGTGCGCCATTTTTTAAGCCCGTCGGAAAAGCGCAGTATTCTGGTGGGAGTGACCCGATTTTCCAGGTGCCGTCCGTCACCCCTTTCTTTGACTCAGAAAGGGAACTCCCTGACCCCTTGCGCTTCCCAAGGGAGGCAATGCCTTGCCCTGCTTCGGCTCGCACACGGTGCGCGCACCCACTGACCTGCGTCCACTGTCTGGCACTCCCTAGTGAGATGAACCCGGTACCTCAGATGTAAATGCAGAAATCACCCGTCTTCTGCGTCGCTCAGGCTGGGAGCTGTAGACTGGAGCTGTTCCTATTCGGCCCTCTTGGCTCCTCCCCGCTCCCATTACATTTTTAAATGCTGCATTACAGTTGTAGTAAAGTACTCTAAAGCAGTGCTTAACACTTATCTTTTTTTTTTTTTTTTTTGGCAGTTCAACTTCCTCAATTGCTTTGCCTCACTCTTCTATATTGCCTTTGTCTTGAAAGATATGAAGCTTTTGCGCCAGGTAAGTAAAAATAACAGAAAAATACCAATTTTTTAGGTCATAGAGGTGGTTTTCTATCTTTAGATGCTGTAATTGCCTTCAAATTATTTTTACAAATAAAATCTTTTAAATTTTGTATGTTTTTAAGCCAAATTCTAAATAAAAAATTATTAGGAATGGCATTGTGTATTATGCTCAACTGAAATGAGTTGAACCTAACCAACCTGAAAAATTAAGTATAGGGCAGTAAAATCAATTATATAGTTCACCTCAAAGCTTGTAAGCAACTCTAACAGCAAAAATATAGTATTCATTAACTGAACTGTTTTGTGTGCCTTGGATGGGGATGATTGGTGTAACCTTAGGTCTCGCAAATTTAATTTTTAAGTTAATAAGTTGTTAAACTTTAGAGACCAGTGGATCCTATGCAGTGCTGTATCTTTTCTAAAGTGTCTGACATTTATTTTGGTGTGTTGTCATTTCTGGATCACATAATACCAATGAATAATAAATTAAGAACAAATTATTGATTTCTAAATTCTCCTTTTTATATTTGAACCAGTTATAAGTAAATGGCTGTTTTTTCCCAGTTTTAATATTCTGAGATTGTTGGTGAGCAGTCTCAAAGGCTAGACTCCACTTGTTAAAAATTATTTTTCAAAATAGAGAAAGTTTAAAGTAGTACATTTGGAATTGATGAGTTGGATGTACATGTAACAGTGGTCCCATGTAATAGTGTATTAGTTGGATGTGACTTCTCATTTCTTCTGCTTTAGAGAGTCTCCTTTACTTAGCAGAAGATAGGGGAATGGAGGAGGACCGCTTAAAAAAACAGTTGTAATACCAGCAAAGGTGGGGTGTGATGGAAACATTCATATCTATCTGAGAAAAGTGGAGATTGATACATCTCTGGAAACCAGCTCTCTTGATAGCTTTGCCAAGAAACTTAACTCATCCCTAGTAAATCTTCAGAGAGGAGCAAAGATTCATGTACATAGATATCCAAGCACCAGCATTATAATAGCCAAAATTGGGAGTAATAGTTAATTCAACAGCAGTGTACAGGCCAAGTAAAAAAGAATTTTTAATGATACGGGAAAATGCTCAAACATATTAAGTGAGAAAAGCAGTAAACAAAGTGTATCCATATAGGATAATTATAGTTTTATTTTTATATATGATTGGAAAGAAATATCCCAAGAAGTAGCAGTGGTTTTGTCATGGTTGTGTAATTATGGGTGGCTCTTTTTTTCTATTTTTTTTTTAATAATACATACATAGTTGTACATTTTTATGGGGTACATATGCTGTTTTGTTACATTCATAAAATGTGTAATGAAGGCCGGGCATAATGGCTCATACCTGTAATCCCAGCACTTTAGGAGGCTGAGGCAGGCAGATTGCTTGAGCCCAGGAGTTCAAGACCAACCTGGGCAACGTGGCAAAATCCTGTCTCTACCAAATATACAAAAAGTTACCTGGGTGTGGTAGCACTTGCCTGTAGTCTCAGCTACCTGGGAGACTGAGGTGGGAGGATTGTCTGAGCCTGGGAGCTCCAGGCTGCAGTGAACTGTGATCACGCCACTGCACTGCAAAGTGAGACCGTGTCTCAAAAAAAAAAATGTGTAATGATCAATCAAGGTATTTAGAGTATCTATCATCTCGAGTATTTATCATTTCTATATGTTGGGAGCATACAATACATTATTGTTAACCATAATCACCCTACTCTGCTCTCATATGTTAGAACTTATTTCTTCTCTCTAATTGTATGTTTGTACCTCTCGATCAGCTTCTCTTTATCCTCCTCTCCCCAACACACACCCACCCAGCCTCTGGTAACCGTCGTCCCACTCTATCTCTATGAGATCAACTTTTTTAGCTCCCAAGTGTGAGTGGGAGCCTGTGATATTTGTCTTTCTGTGCCCGGCTTATTTCACTTAACATAATGACCTCCAGTTCCATCCGTGTTGCTGCAATTGACAGAATTTCAGTCTTTTTTATGGCCAACTAGTATTCCATTGTGTATATATACCACATTTTCCTTATCTATTCATCTGTTGATAGACACTGAGGTTGATTCTGTTTCTTTATTGTTACAAATAGTGCTGCAGTAAACATGGGGGTGCAGGTGTCCGTTTGATATGCTCATTTCTTTTCCTTTGGATAAATACCCAGTAGTCAGAATGCTGGATTCTATGGTTGTTCTATTTTCAGGTTTTTTTTTAGATGTCTCAAAAAAAAAAAAAAAAAAACCTCTCGCCATACTCTTTTATATAATGTCTGTATCAATTTCCATTTCTACCAACAACAGTGTATAAGAGTTCCCTTTGTTGCACGTTCTTGTCAGCATCTGGATTTTTTGGGTCTTTTTAATAATAGCAATTCTATTTGGAGTAGGATGATATCTCATTGTGGCTTTGATTTGCATGTCCCTGATGATGAGTGGTGTTGAGTATTTTTTCATATACCTGTGGCTATGTAAATGTCTTCTTTAGAGAAATGTCTATTCATGTCTTTTGCCTACTTTAATGGGATTATTTGTATTTTTGGTATTGTTTGAGTTCCTTGTATATTCTGGTATTCTAGGTATTAGTTCCTTGTCAGATGAGTAGTCTGCAGATCTTTTCTCCCATTCAACAGATTGTCTCTTCACTGTGTTGTTTCCTTTGCTGTGCAGAAACTTTTTTCTTTAATATAGTCACAGTTGTCTATTTTTGGTTTTGTTGCCTGTGCTTTTTAGGTCCTAGCCATAAAATGGTGGGAACTTTGCTTAGACCAATGTCCTGTAGTATTTCCCCTATGTTTTCTTCTAGTAGTTTTATAGTTTTGGGTCTTATGTTTAGATCTTTAATCCATTTTGAGTTGACTTTTGTTTGTGGTGATAGAGAGGGGTCTAGTTTCATTCTTCTGCATATAGATACCTGGTTTTCCCAGCACCATTTATTGAAGAGGGTGTTTTTTCTCCAATATACATTCTTCTTTTTTTTTTTTAGATGGAGTCTCACTCTGTTGCCCAGGCTGGAGTGCAGTGGCACAGCCTTGGCTCACTGCAGCCTCTACCTCCTAGGTTCAAGCGTTTCTTGTACCTCAGCCTCCCAAGTAGCTGGGATTACAGATGTGCGCCACCACGCCTGGCTAATTTTTGTATTTTTAGTAGAGGTGGGGTTTCACCATGTTGGCCAGGCTGGTCTCAAACTTCTTTTTTTTTTTTTTTTGTTTGAGACAGAGCCTCGTTCTGCCGCCCAGGCTGGAGTGCAGTGGCGCGATCTTGGCTTACTGCAAGCTCCGCCTCCTGGGTTCACGCCATTCTCCTGCCTCAGCTTCCTGAGTAGCTGGGACTACAGGCACGTGCCACCATGCCCGGCTAACTTTTTGTATTTTTAGTAGAGACAGGATTTCACCGTGTTAGCCAGGATGGTCTCGATCTCCTGACCTCGTGATCTGCCCGCCTCGGCCTCCCAAAGTGCTGGGATTACAGGTGTGAGCCACTGTGCCCGGCCTCAAACTTTCCATCTCAGGTGATCTGCCCGCCTTGGCCTCTCAAAGTACTGGGATTACAGGCATGAGCCACTGCACCCTGCCTCAATATACATTCTTAGTGCCTTTATAGAAAATCAGTTGACTGTAAATATGTGGATTTTTTTTCTGTTTTATTTTTGTAGTGAGGGTATGTATTAGTGGTATAATTTAAATTCTTTAAAAAAGAATTTAGCCAAACTTTTTTTATCCAGAGTTGGCAACATCATTTAGATTTATATGTTGCAGTCAGGATGAAATGTCGAAGAACACAATTGCAAGTTAATTCATTTTTGTAATGATTCTTTTTTTAAAGTTGTAGAATTGACAAATAATTGTACATATTCATGAAGTACTTGGTGATGTTTTAATACATAAAATGTATCGCAGTCAGATCAGGGTAGTTAACATATCCATCCTCTCAAACATTTATTATTTCCTTGTGTTGGGACTGTTTAATTGACCAGTTTGTTTCTTATTATAACATTATTTGTATTATAATCTTATTTATCTTTTAATCTTGGTCTTTCATGTGAAAAACCATAAATTAGAAACACCATTCTAACACCTAGCTTTTCTAATACTAGTTTTTATAACACAATAGTATGCTATTTATTGAAGATTCCATTTTATTTGTTGCATAATTGTATTTATGCTATAAATACTGTAGTTTAATTTATATATAATTTATACAAATGCTATAGTTTTATTAAGCTGTATTCCCAAAATGTGATTTGTGTGCTTCTCTTTAGAGCTTGGCCACTCTCCTAATTACCTCCCAGATCCTCAACCAAATTATGGAATCTTTTCTTCCTTATTGGCTCCAAAGGAAGCATGGTGTGCGGGTGAAGAGGAAGGTGCAGGCTTTAAAGGCAGACATTGATGCTACATTATATGAACAAGTCATCCTGGAAAAAGAAATGGGAACTTATTTGGTAAGTTGGAATATTGCTGAATTAAACATTTACTGAGAGTGAATAATAGCCATGCACTGAGTTCAACAAATGTTATACATTCATGATCTCAGATGTGACTATTCTAGAAGTGCTTTCCAGTCAGTTTCCTCATCATGAACCACTTTAAAGTGAAAGGGATAGAACTTTGCATTGAAGCACTGCTGTCTGAAATCTAAAGTTACGCATAATGACACCAAAGGGCAAATTTGGAGAATTACATGACTGCTTTGCTTTGCGGAGAGCAGGGTAGAATAGTTGCCCCAGAGATGACAGAACGGGAGAGATGGTCCCTGAAGAGGCAGCAGCATTGCTCGCTCTTGACACTTCAAACTCATGGAAAATGATGGCTGCACAAACAAAAGATAGAGACTCATTGATGAACAATGGAATGCCAATCTGAAGATTGAATTTTAGTTTACATTAGTGCTATTGTATAAATATAAAACAGTTCTTTTAAGACAGAGACTTTCTGAATTACTTTTAGGAACTACAAGCAGATCATTAGAGATTTACACTTTTAATATTTGAAAGGTCTAGCTCATAAAATCTATGTGTTCAGCCAACTTTTATTGAGCTCTGACTACATTCACTGTTTCTATATTTCACATTTTTTTTAGGCCATTGTTTCTTAACATCCTGCACCTTCCTTGTTGCTACAGTATTCTTTCTGGTGAAATAGATCCTTCAGTGGGTCATTTACTGAGAGCCCATTATTGTGAAACTTTCATAGTCTTGTTTTTCATCTTGAATGAGTTTATCTCCTGATTTTTGAGTGTCTTGACTGACTTTCATAATTTTTCTCATGTGCTTAGGAATTTGTATGTTCATGTTGAGTAGGACTTTGTCTTTTTCTCTCTGCTCACTTCTGCCTTATTTTTTGCAGTTGCCCCCACTGAGCCTCCAAGCCCCTCATCCAGAACCAGGTGTTTGTAGCCCAGAGCTCCCATCTTGTGGTGGTGATGAGGATTTTATAGATCTGGTCACAGAGCCAGTAGGTGGCATGCTGTTGACATAGCTGTAGTTACCAGGCAGCAGTTGTAGCTTTTTTAAAGCCTCCTTTGAAGGGCAGGGAGCATTGTCCCAACCCCTGGTTTTGCTCAGCAAGCCTGGCTCCAGTTACACTCCAGGGGAGAGGGTGCTCTTGGTTCTCCTCCCCATAGGATACAGATCCTAGCCCCTTCTGTCATTGCTGTGTTTGAGGGAGATGATTCAAAGTATAAACACATAGTAAACTTTGAACAGTAACATTGTTTATATTTATATATGAAGCATAGAGAAAAGACACACACCTACTCTGTCTCACAGAGGAAGAATTAAAGAGAAGGAGCATGTGGGCACAAGTGTGGAGCTGTCCTTTCTGGATTGGTTGAGTGCTAGCTTACTATGGGATAAAAGTTAAATTATGTCATTTTACTATGGGATAAAAGTTCCCATTATGTCAGGATCCTTTCCTTGCCTATGCTTGGGGGTGGTATTCTTGGCCACATTTCTTTTCCTTTTTTCACTGTCTTATAGAAACTGCACCAGCAGTCCATCCCCTGTACTCTCATTCCATCCCCCCTCATCTTTGGAGGCCTTCTGTCACCAGCCATCACCTGGTACTCTTGTATCTACTTCTTCTCCTCCTAACTGCTCCACCAAGTCAGCAACTTGCCTATTTTGAACTAAGCAAACTCTTCACATCTTCTGCTGTTTTTATCCTGTCTTTCCTTCCCCTCACAGTTTTCTGCAATAATTCTCCATATTGTTGTCTTTAGTTTCCTACTTCTCTTTCTATAATCAATTAGAATCTGCTTTCAGCTGTTCTTTTTCTCTGAAATAGTTTGGGCAAACAACATTATCTCCTGAAGTACCCAAAACACGATTCATAATCTTCTGAAGATGGGTTTCTCCTGCTTTGCCCCTGGCTCAGTGAATGGTTTTTAGTACAGTCCTCATCTGAGCAATTCTAATTTATCTAAGAACTGTATGCCAGTGATGTGACACTGCCAAAATCTCAGATCTTACCTCTTTTGACATTTCAGGGTATCTGACAAAACCTTTATGAAGGACGGTGAGGGAGGCATGGCTATTCCCATGTCAAAAATAAGCAAATGAAGCTCTATGTCATTAATTATTTGGTGACTAAATCAGAAAGAAGGTTCAAGACCTTGCCTTCCCAATTCAGAATCTTTCTGTTATACACCACAGGTTCTCTGATGTGAAGTAAAGGAAATAATATATTGATTTCTCTCTCAGGCTCTGGGTCTGTGACTGAACTCTAGGGTTTACAGTGCCACTCCTTTTTGGACCTGCAGGGTTCTGCGTGATCTGGCCATTTCCCACTCCTGATCTCTTACAGGTTTCTTTTTCACCGTCTCCACTGGAGTGATGTTGGATATTTGCCATTTCAGTTCTCTCCATGTATTTGGAGGCGGGGATACTTTTGGATCACATTTATTCTAGATGATTGTTTCCTATGCATGAATCCTTTCTTCTGGGTCCATTTTTCTCCTAATTGAAATCAATGAATTTAGAACTGTATTTTCTGTAAGCTCATCCTGACTGTTATATGTGAGTCTAAAATAATGTTGCCAAGCTTTGGGAAAAAGCAATTTGGCCGAAACTTTAAAAACATTACTATAAAAGTAATACTTTCTCACTCCCTGTAGAAAACTTAGAAAATGCAGGATAGAGTCAATATATAAAAAGAAATTCTCTGTAATATTCCCACCCATGGTAATCCCCTGGGTCTCCTGATTGCTGTTCCACCAGCCCAGGACTAAGCTGTGTTGCTTCCTAGATCTTCACTGTCCTCTGCTGTCCTTTTCCTGTGAACTGCCCACTCATATCCAACTGCATAGCTGGGTGAGGCTGAATTTTCATGACGACTATTCCAAGTAGAACATCATATTGCTGCACAGTAAATGAACTGCCTTCTACTAAATGATACATTACAGAGGTTTGCCAGAAATGTAAAAAGTGCCAGTCTGCATTAACATTTTTTGAAATGTAATTATTTTTCAAAAGACATTTATGTTAATATGTTATTATTTAAATGTATTAATGGAAGATCTTTAAAATTTCTCAGCTTTTTTTTTTTTTTTTTCTGGTGAGACAGGGTCTCACTTTGTCACACAGGTTGGAGGGCAGTGGTGGCAATAGTGGCTCACTGCAACCTCAACCTCCCAGGCTCAAGCGATCCTTCTACCTCAGCCTCCTGAGTAGCTGGGACTACAGGCATGTACCATCATGCCTGGCTTATTTTTGTATTTTTTGTAGAGATGGGCTCTCACTGTGTTGCCCAGGCTGGTCTTGAACTCCTGGATTTAAGCAGTTCTCCCACCTTGGCCTCCCAAAGTGTTGGGATGAGCCACCATGCCTGACCTAATTTCTCAGTTTTAATTAATAATATGGTAAGCATCAAAGCATCAACTAGATAAACTCACATAAACAAAACGTCTTTTTTTTTTTTTTTTTTTTTTGAGACAGAGTCTCGCTCTGTTGCCCAGGCTGGAGTGCAGTGGTGCGATCTTGGCTCACTGCAAGCTCCGCCTCCCAGGTTTATACCATTCTCCTGCCTCAGCCTCCCAAATAGCTGGGACTACAGGTGCCTGCCACCATGCCCGGCTAATTTTTTGTATTTTTAGTAGAGACAGGTTTTCACCATGTTAGCCAGGATGGTCTCAATCTCCTGACCTCGTGATCCACCCGCCTCGGCCTCCCAAAGTGCTGGAATTACAGGCGTGAGCCACTGCGCCTGGCCAAACAAAATGTCTTTAATGTCCTCAATAATTTTTAAGAGTTTAGGGCTCCTTAAGACCAAAAAAGCTTGAAAACTACAGCTCTAGAACAACCTCCTTGCCGTTTTTCAAGGAATTGGCTTTTGTAAATCTATTGTTTGATCTTATTTCTCATAAGATTTGAGTGAAATGATTTTGGAAGTATACCACCATTGTACCCCATCAGGATGTGTTGACGTCTGGTTGCCCATTTTGTGGGGTCACCTTGTTTGATCATTCGGTTGGCTTGGTAAAAGGCAGATTGCACAGTGTTTTTTTTTTTCCTTCATTTTATAATGAATAAATTATCTGTGGGTCAATACTTTTGAAACTTTCCTTTTCCTTTTTATAAATAGTATCTCTTTAAAAATACAATTTCTAATTGTTTGTTGCTGGCATATGGGAATGCTGTTAATTTTTATATCTTTTACCCACAATTTTGCTGAACTCTCCTGTTATTTCCAAAACATTTTCTATAGATTTTGTTGGATTTTCTACATAGACAGTAATTTGAGCTATAAATAATGACCATTTTCTTTCTTCCTTCAGTTTTTACCCTTTTTATTATCTACTAGGCTTACTGGTATGTTCAATACAATTTGAATAGAAGTAATTATCACAGGAATCTTTATCTTATTTCTGATTTTTTTATCTTCTCACCATTGTGTGTTATGTTTGTTCCGTGTTTTTAGTAAATAACATTTTATCAGTTTAAAACTTCTCAGCTGAGTGTTGATAGCATGGTCCAACAAAAAGAGAGAATAGGGTAGATTGTGTCTTGGTTAATATATTCTTAGTGTGTGTATGTGTTTTCTTTGTTGAATTTTCATTTTTTTTCCTTCTTGCTGTTGGATTATGTCCTTGGTTTGCTAAATTTCTTGGCTCAAAAGCACTCAGAAGTGTAAAAGGTGCTGATACAGTGTTAACGTGTAGCTATCATCACTCAGAATCACCCCGAGAGATGGAAACACAGAGTGTGGGGAAACACAGAGTGTGGAGCACGCTGCTGTGTTTGGAAAGGGCTCCCCTGGTGCTATACACTAATAACTCCAAGAAGGCCTTTGCATGATTTTCAGAGGCTTCCCAATAGCACACCTGAGAAAAACTGCCTGCACATCTCTGCACAGGCTTGATCTTTACAGCCTGAAACAGTGCAATTTTGAATGCTGAGCATAGGGTATCAGGATTTCTTAAGACTGAATGTGGTAAAAATGGCTTGATTGCTAAGATTTTTACTCTTTTCCCAACTCTTGATTTATTCATCCTTCAGAGAAAGAGATTGATGCAATGTCACTGGGTATATTTAAGAACCATAACTAGATGCTGCAACACAACATGAGAACATACCATCTAGAGCCAAATGCAACCAACCAAGTTATTTAGAAACTGCTCGCCCTTGAATCCCAAGTTGAGCATGTAACCTGCCAGTTCTGAGGTTTATGTGTTTAGTGGTACTTTCTGGTGAACCTCGAAAATAGCCAGTGAGACTCAGAATCGGTGGTTCATACTTGATTCAGATATCCAGAACATCTGGAAGAAGCACCTTTTGCCATTCCCAATACCCTATTGTTGTGTTTGAGATTTTCTATTTAGTAAAATATAAAATAAGAAAAACTGACTGGAAGTGGACTCTGACTTACACTAATACTGAGCCTAATATGCATATCTTAGTGAAAGACTGATTCAGAGATGCGATAATAATAATGTTTATTAATTTGAAAATATTAATGCTTATGATTGCTTTAAAATATTGTGATGAATACTTTTCTTAAACTGAAATTATTATTGCATGTGTGTGGGATGATCATGAAGCCTGAGGGTGTCAGAAGTTGGAGAAACACTGGTGTATGGTGGGGAAACTCTTTGAGGTTTTTTTGAATAGTTAGAGGCCACAGCTTTGATTAGTATTGCAAAAGGATATTCCTATTGTATGATATTAAAATAATGCATGCTTGTTTATATTTTCAGGGCACCTTTGATGATTACTTGGAGTTATTCCTGCAGTTTGGTTATGTGAGCCTTTTCTCCTGTGTTTACCCATTAGCAGCTGCCTTTGCTGTGTTAAATAACTTCACTGAAGTAAATTCAGATGCCTTAAAAATGTGCAGGGTCTTCAAACGTCCATTCTCAGAACCTTCAGCCAATATTGGTGTGTGGCAGGTAATTGTTTGAGAAAAAAATTATTCCTTTAAAAAATAAAAATACGAGGTGTTATGACAGGGAAAAAAAATTAAAAAGTAAGCCCTACAGAGAGATTTAGGAAAACTGAATTTGTTTGTTTGGCTACAAACTAGCTGTGTGGCCTTGGATAACCATTAACTTTGTCTAGCTTCACTTTTCTTGTTTTTAAAATTGGGGGTTAGGGGAGATAAATATAATTTCTAAGACCCCTTTTAGATGTGAAACTCTGACAATCTTCTGGGAAAGTAGCCAGCTAAGACTTCATCTCAGCCAGTATTAATGAGACCCTCTCTGCTACAGTGTCAGTGGAAGCCACATGGGGAGCCTAGACTTCTGCTCCTATCTGGCAGTAATGAGACTCCTTTTTTAGTTTTTGCTAGTCTAGTTTTCTAGTCCTGGGGTGGTCTCAGAGGAAGCCTAGTGGAATATAAGGAGTTTCACCACAACCCTGCACAGTGGAGGCCACATGGGAACATATATGAGGCACCTGTCCTTCTCTCCCTGAAGGAAGAATCAGTAGAGGTCTAGTGGGAAGCAGAGCACCCATCCTTGCCCAGCAATAATGAGGAATCCCCCCTGGATGCCAGTGGTTTCTACATGGGGAACCTGGACTTCTACCTCTACCTGGTAGTAATAAGGCGTTATCCCCTCTTCCCTTGCTGGAATGGTGTCAGAGAAATCAACTAAAACAGAAGGTTTAAATGAGATATAGAATCTTATCTCTCCTAACATGTCCAGGTTTCTATTTAAAAAATCACTGATCAGACCAGGTATGGTGGCTCACACCTGTAATCCCAGCACTTTGGGAGGTTGAGGCAGGCGGATTACCTGAGGTCAGGAGTTCGAGACCAGCCTGGCCAACATGGTGAAACCCCATCTCTACTAAAAATACAAAAATTAGCCAGCATGCTGCTGGGCGCCTGTAATCCCAGCTACTCAGGAGGCTGAGGCAGAAGAATCACTTGAAGCCGAGAGGCAGAGATTGCAGTGAGCTGAGACCATATCATTACACTCCAGCCTGGGTGACAGAGCGACACTCCATCTCAAAAAAAGAAAAAAAAAAAAAAAAAGAAAAATCACTCATCATAGAAAGAACCAGGAAGAAATCAAGCTTAATGAGAAAAGACAGTCAGCAGATGCCACTACCAAGGTGACACAGGTTAGAAATATTGGACAGAGATTTTAAAACAGCCTTATATAAAAGTTTCAATGAGTAATTATGACCATATCTGAAACAAATGAAAAAACAGAATTAGGATATCTCAGCAAAGAGATGGAAGATATAAAAGAGAATCACATTGATATTTTAGAAGTGACAAATACCATAATTGAAATAAAAAGCTCACTGAATGAGTGCAACAGCAGAATGGAAGGGATAGAGGAAAGAATCAGAAACTGGAAAATAGAATAAAAGAAATTATCAGCTGGGTGCTGTGGCTCACGCCTGTAATCCCAGCACTTTGGGAGGCCAAGGCAGGCAGATCATGAGGTCAGAAGTTCGAGACCAGCCTGGCCAACGTGGTGAAACCCCATCTCTACTAAAAATACAAAAAATTAGCTGGGCGTGGTGGTGGGCACTTATAATCCCAGCTACTTGGGAGGCTGAGGCAGGAGAATCACTTGAACCTGGGAGGCAGAAGTTGAAGTGAGCTGGATTGCGCCACTGCACTCCAGCCCGAGCAACAGTGTGGGACTCCATCTCAAAAAAAAAAAAAAAGAGAGAAATTATCCAGTCTGAACAACAGAGAGAAAATATTCTGTAAGCACAAACATAGCCTCAGGGACCTGTGGGGGTATAAAAAAGAGCTAACATTCATGTCACTGGAGTTACAGAAGGAGAGAAGAAAGAGGGAGGGGCCCAAAAAGTACTTGAATAAATAACGGCTAAGAACTTTTTAAATGTGGCAAGAGACCCAAAACTGCAGATTCAAGAAGCATTGTGAACCCCAAACAAGATAAACCAAAGAAATCCTTGCCAACACACATCGTAAACACTTGAAAGCTAAAGACAGCATTTCAAGAGCATCAAAAGAGAAATAACATCTTACCTATAGGGGGAAAACAATTAGAATGACAGGCAATTTCTTATTGGAAGCTATGGAGGCCAGAAGAAAGTGGCAAAATATTTTTCAGGTCCTTAAAGTATTGTCAATATAGAATCCTGGCTGGGTGCAGCGGCTCATGCCTGTAATCCCAGCACTTTGGGAGGCTGAGGCAGGTGGATCACCTGAGGTCAGAAGTTTGAGACTAGCCTGACCAACATGGTGAAACCCCATCTCTACCAAAAATACAAAAATTAGCTGGGTGTGGTTGTGGGTGCCCATAATCCCAGCTACTTGAGAGGCTGAGGCAGGAGAATTGCTTGAACCTGGGAGGCAGGGGTTGCAGTGTGCTGAGATTGCGCCATTCCACTCCAGCCTGGGTGACAAGAGCAAAGCTCCATCTCAAAAAGAAAATAGTGTGTGTATATATATAAAATACACACATATACATACATACATACATACATACATACATACATACATACATATATATATATATATATATATATATATATATCCAGAGATAATATTTTTCAGAAATGAAGGAAAAAGCAAGACACTTTCAGATGCAGGCGAACTAAGAGAATTTGTTGCCAGTACACCTATCCTAAGAGAATAGCTATAGGAAGTTCTCTTAACTAAGGAATTATGAAAGAAGAAATCTGGGAACCTGTAGAAGAAAAAACATGGTAACCAAAAATATTAGTAAACAAAATAGACTTTTCTTCTCTTATTGAGTTTTCTATGTTATGTTTGATGGTTGAAGCAAAACTTATAATACTGTCCAATGATTCTAAATATATGTAGAAAAAAATTTTTTTTATTTTTTTATTTTTTGTAGGCATGGGCTCCCACTATGTTGACCAGGTTGGCCTCAAATGATCCTACCACCTTGGCCTTCCAAAGTGCTAGGATTACAGGCATGAGCCACTATACCCAACCTATGTAGACAAGATACACTGTCTGATTCTTTTCCCTATATCAAGACAAGTATATTATAAATAACAGATGGTAGAGGGAGGTAAGGTTTCTGTGCTTCACTCAAACTGATAAAAGATGACACAAGTAGAATGTGATAAGTTACGGATATATAATACCTAGAGCAACCACTAAAAACATTACACAAAAGATATACTCAGGAACATTATAGATAAACCAAAATGGAATTCTGAAAAATGTTCAAGTAAACCACAGTAAGACAGGAAAAAGAAAGCAGAGAAATGAAAAACAGGGAACAAACAGAAAACAAGGAAATGACCAGCCGTACATCCTAACATATCAATAACTACATTACCTGTAAATGGTCAAACAACAATTAAAGACAGAGATTGGGAGAGTGGATTAAAACACATGACTGAAGTATATGCTGTCTCTAAGAATCTCAAGTCAAATATGATTTAGGTAGGTTTAAAGTAAAAGAATAGAAAAAGATATATATGGAAATATTAATCAAAAGAAAGAAGGAATGACTATATTAGTATCAGATAAAATAGACATCTGTGCAAAAATTGCCAGAGAGGACCATTCTATGATGATAAAAGTGTCAAATTACCAGGAAGACATAGCAATCTTAAATGTATATGTGATTTTGGAATATGCAAACAAATCTATATTGACAAAAAGCAGATCATATTTTGTTTGGACACAGGTGTAAAGAGAGGGCTGAATTGCAAGGTCATGAGGAATCTTTTGGGGGAAATGGAAATGTCCTGTGTCTTGTTTGTGGTGGTGGTGGTTTCACAGGTAAATACACCTATCAAAAGGTAATGAAGTATATACCTTAAATGCATGCAGTTTATTATATGTAAATTATAACTCAATATAGGTGATTTTAAAAAAAACCTGAAAGTTTAGTTACAAACATATTGCAAGTTCAGGAAGCCAGGCACTGTCATATGCTGCTGGTGGAAGCATGAGCTGGTCAACCCATGGAGTGCAGCTTCGTATTTATCTATCAAAATTACAAATGCATGTCCCCTTTGACTCAGCCATTTCACTTTCCAGAATTTAGCCTAATTCCACATTTGTTAAATGATGTACTTATAAGATCACCAATTGTAGCACTGTTTGTAATAGCAACTAAATGCCCACCAATAAGAAAATGGTTACATAAATTCTGATACGTCCATGTAATAAAATGCAGAAGCAGTGTGGCAAAGAATGAGGGAGCTCTTTTAGTATTGACACAGAAAGTCCCTCAAGACACTTTAAATGACTAAAGCAAGGGGCCTGACAGTATGTAGTATGCTGAAAAGGGAGTAGGAAAGAGTGTATATATTCAATATGCTTATTTTGCATACAAACTGTCTGGAAGAATACATAAGAAATTGCAAATAGTGGTTGTCTTCTAGGGAGAATGGGAGCTGCGAAGTGGAAGAAAAGGGGACAAGGGAAAAAGACACTCTTCACTATGTACTTAGAATTTTTTATTTTTAAGCCATGAGAATATAATCAAAAGTAAATAAATAGAAATTTTAAACTAAAGTAAAGACAGTCTTAGATTTCTTATGAAGAAAACTGTGGAAAAATAATCAGACTACACAAAGATTTCTAAATTGTAAGATGGCAGAAGTTCTCCATGGGACAAAATGTATTCATATTAAGTTTGGATTCAGTCATCTTTTGTTTTGCTTCTTTTAAAATTAATGTTTCTAATAGTACTTGTGTTTCTTGGAATTAATGGGTAAATTATTAAGTGGTGATCACCATATACTTTGTATTAAAGAAAAAAAGAGCAATGGTCACAACATTTCTCCATCCATCCTTGGCAGTATGCACCAAAGTCTCCTTCAGGGAATGCTGGACCAGTTTGTCTAGTAGGTCTCAGTGGGGCCTAGCATCTATATTTTTCTAAAGTTCTACATTTGATTTGCTAAATGATGCTAGAAAAGGATCACCATTTATCACTGGTGCCTTGATTATAAAGCTGGTTATAGCTGAGTCAGATGTGGTGTGTGATGTCAAAGTAGAAGGATGGTTTCACAACATAAGTTCTGTTTGAAATCTTACCTGTTTTTTAATGTGAAACATTTTTCCCTGGCAGCCCTACTTTAGATTCCCCTTAGATGTGAGTAGAGTAACTTTAACAGTATTCCCAATTCAGGTCCAGGGCTGCCTCCAATTAGGAAGATAGAACATACTGCTTTGGGATATTCATGCCAAAAGTATCTAAAATACTGCCTAACAGTATGGCTTTTTTTTCAGCTAAAAAAATCATACCATGACAGAGAAAAAAATTTAAAATGTACTTGGAATGTTTAGAACTAGGGTAAGACATTTTCCTTGATTTTTAGATAACATGAAAAAGGATGAGGAAATATGGAAGCAGTCATTGCAATTTTTAATTTCCATTCTTTTTTCTTTTAGTTGGCTTTTGAAACGATGAGTGTTATATCTGTGGTCACTAACTGTGCGCTGATTGGAATGTCACCACAAGTGAATGCAGTCTTTCCAGAATCAAAAGCAGACCTCATTTTGATTGTAGTAGCAGTGGAGGTAAGTAAAGATTTAAACTTATTTTAAGCAGTATCCATATTACGTTTCTCTATTCCAAAGCAGTGCTGTCTCGGGCTGTCCATGACTGACAATTGAGCAATATGGATTTACTGGTAAGAAAGCAAAAACAGTTCAAGTAATAGAAAACATGAGGATTCAGGCTGTGTATTCATGGTTATTGCCCAAGTATGAAAAACTGTCACCACAATGCAAACAGGAAGTGACTTTTCCACTATTATGCTGGCCTGCCCAGTGCTAAGTAGGTAAATCCTATTTGAGGATCAGGTGCCATGGCTCACGTCTGTAATCCCAGCACCCAAGCCAAGGCAGAAGGATGACATAAGGCCAGGAGTTCAAGACCTGGGTAACATAAGACCCTGTCTCCACAAAAAATTTAAAAATTACCTGATGTAATTTGGTACCTGATGGTAATTTGGTACCTGATGTAATTTGGTACTGTAATTTGGTTCATTCTTGTAGTCCTAGCTATTTGGGAGGCTGAGGCAGGAGGATTGACTGAGCCCTAGAGTTCAAGGTTACAGTGAGCTATGATGGCACCATTGCACTCCAGCCTGGGCAACAGAGCGAGACACTGTCCCTTAAAAAAAAAATCCTATTCAAAATCAAATTCCATACATTTAATATGTATTTTTAGTCTATTTTAGAGAAAAGACAGTTCTACTTTCTTAAGCAAATCCTAAAAACACTTTTTGATAATGACTTAAGTCTCATTTGCTACAGGTGTGAAATTCATTGTGAAACACTCTCAAACTTCAAAATGTAATTTGTAGGACGATAGATAATTTCACATGCAAAGCCCAAGCAGGCTGTCTGTGCTCTTTTTACGTTTTTCTTTTATCATGTTTCAGAATATGGATCCCTGTAACATCTTGGAAATTAAGCACTAACCAAATGTAAATGGAATAATTTGTAGGAATTTTTTTTGTTGCTTGTAATTATAGTTGTCAAGAATATTGTAACCACCTTTCATTTTTAGATATTTTAAAAACAAAACAGTTATGGAACTCTATAAAAGCAGAACTTAGGAGGATCCTGAATGGTGTTTCATATACTTAAGGCCTTAGGACTCAGGGCTGACCAGAGGAAAGGAAATCATGAACTTGCACATTTCCAGTGTTGGCTAAAGAAATATATTCTGCTTTGCTCTTTTTGGCTCTTATTGTATTTGGTAGGAATCTGTGTTCATGATAGATGCTATATGTGGAATATGCATTTTGGAGAATGATTTTAGACAGCAGTGAGTGGGAGGGAAAAGAAAATGGCCCTGACAGATACAAGTAGTCTATTTTGAATTTTGTAAGTTGAATAGAATTTTGGAGAGCTATTTGCAAGGCTGATTTATGACCTGTGGAAGTGAGAAAACAAGACAGAGTTACCTTTGACAGGGAGAGACCAGCTGGCTAGGCTTGTAGTGTGCTTTCTTGATTTAGAATATGGCACTTCACTTCACAGATCTAAAAATTTGTCTTTGCCAGTATACTCAGAGTTAATTAAAGGCTTTTGGGACTGACTGAAACTTAAAACTCATGAAACTTACAAGGGATTGACCAGAAAGCCAGGTGGTTAATTTACAATAAAAAGATACTTTACCAATACCGTAACAGTGGATGTTAAAGTGAAGGTGGATTGGTTATTAGAAGATTTCTTGGTAAATTTAGAACAAGAGCAGGAGTGGTGTAATATCCTGAAATACGCAGAAAACCTGAAAACCATCCCTACCTCCACACAGAGCAGAGCTCTCTCATGAGCCAGCTCTTGGTGTCCATCGCTAGCTTCTGAGCAATGCTGGATGAGCTCATTACAGTCTACATCTTGATTTTTGCCCTCACTTTCTCTAGATTCCTGGCTGGCTCAATATATTACCATTGATTAGCCTACTGCTTTCTTTTGTATTTAGTGATACCTTAATCACATATTGAGGGCCTGGTTCTTCTTACTTAATTCGGGAGACTTACTGGCCTATAAATACTGTTCTGCAGGTGGCTAGTCTCGTGTTAAACAGGATGGTTTTGCTAGTCTAATCCTCACTCGATTCACTTAATCTGCACATTCTAGGGATACTTGGCTGTTACCCTCTAGGTTCTAACCATTATGCCTCCTCTTATTTATTTATTTATTGTCTCTTCACATTGTATAAAAACAGCTGTTTTAATTGTCATTGTCTAAACTGGCAAAGTAAGAAGCATCAAGGAAGGCTAGGAAGAAGCCAGGAAGCATCAAAGAAGGCTCCCTGCAGGTTTCAGGGGGATCATAGCCCTGCCAACATCTTGATTTTGGACTTCTAGCCTCCAGACTATGAGAAAATACAGTCCTGCTGTTTTAAGCCATCTATAATAGTTTGTGATAACTTTGTTCTGGCAACCCTGAGAAACAAATGCATTTTCCTTTCTGTTGTAATAACTTTTGTTAGCCAATTTTTAAAGGGTCAGTCTGCTAGCAACAAATTCTCTTAATTTTTTCTTCATCTGAAAACTTTTTTTCTCTTTCATTCTTAAGTATAGTTTTGCTGGACATAGAATTCATGGATGATAGTCTTTTTCTTTCAGCATATGAAAAACATTTTGGTATTTCCTTCTAGTCTCAATGGTCTCAGAAGAGAAATATATCATTCCAATTGGTGTTCGCCTGTAGTTAATGGATCCTTTTTTCTCTGGCTGCTTTTAAGATTTTTTTCCCTGTATCTTTAATTTTTGAAAGTTTAATCATAATGGGCCTTAGTGTAGCTTTTTGGGAGTTTATTCCATTTGGGGCATGCTCAGCTTCTTAGATCTGTGGGTTTGTGTCTTTAACCAAATTAAGGAACTTTATAGCCGTTATTTCTTCAAGTACTCTTTCAGCCCCACTCTCTCTCTTCTCCTGGGATTTTCATATGAATCTTGGGTCTTTTGTATTTTCCCACAGGTCCCTAAGGCCCTGTTCAATTTTTGTCAGCCTGTTTTCTGTTATTCACATTAGGTGAATTCTGTTGATGTATTTTCAAGTTCACTGTTTCAACATCTTCTATATGTCCACACTACTATTGAGCCCATATACTGAGGTGTGTTTTTTTTTTTAATTTCTATTACTGCATTTTTCAGTTCTATAATTTTCATTTGGTTGTTTTTATAACTTGTATTTCTTTTGCATGTGGATGTCCAGTTTTCCCAGCACCATTTGTTGAAAAGATTGTCTTTTCTCTAATGCGTGGTCTTGGCACCCTTGTTGAAAATCATTTGACTGTATATGCAAAGTTTGCAAAATCATTTGACTGTGTATACAGTTTATTTCTGGGCTCTTTATTCCATTGGTCAGTGTTTCTGTTTTTATGCCAGTACCATACTCTTGATTTCCATAGCTTTGTAGTATGTTTTGAAATCAGGAGGTGTGAGACTACTAACTTTGTTCTTCTTTCTCAAGATTGTTTTGGCTGTTTCAGTGTGTATTTATGTCAATGTGCTTGCAGTAAGCTATGGCTATTTATTTTATGATATTTTAAAATGTTAACTATCGATCAGAAGTTGGATTATATTGGCACAGATGGGTCCTCTCTTTCTGTCACAGTGTGTATTTGAATATTTGTTTTGTTTATACCTTATTGACTTTCATACATTTGAGAGGGCCCTAGCTTTGGTTTCTCAATAGAAAATTTTGTGTGTCAGGACAAAACCAAGCTCAAGCTGTTTAAAATAGCCAAAAAATTAGAAATTTACCAATGCTATTCTAGTGTTGCTGAGACCTCAGCTGAATGCCATCTGGTCTTGTAATGAATCCAAAAAGTGTAACATTTACAAATAGAATAGAAAATACAAATTTTTGGTTTGCTACCATTCAGTTTGTAAAATCATGTTAAAATTCTAATTCTGAATTTTACAAGGTAACTATGTGAGGTGATAGATATGATAATTAGATTAATTTTGCTAATCATTTCATAGGATATACATATTTCAAAATATGTTGTATAACTTAAATATATTTCAATTTTTATTTGTCAGTTATACCTCTATAAAGCTGGAAAAAAAGAATGTTACAGAATGTTCATCAAAACTATCAGTGGGGTCGGGCACGGTGGCTCATGCCTGTAATCTCAGCACTTTAGGAGGCCGAGGTGGGCAGATCACCTGAGGTCAGGAGTTCGAGACCAGCCTGGTCAACATGATGAAACCCCGTCTGTACTAAAAATACAAAAATTAGCCGGGCATGGTGGTGCGTGCCTGTAATCCCAGCTACTCGGGAGACTGAGGCAGGGGAATCGCTTGAGGCAGAGGTTATGGTAAGCCGAGATTGCGCCACTGCGCTCCAGCCTGGGCGACAGAGAGAGACTCTGTCTAAAAAAAAAACAAACAAACAAACAAAAAAAAACCATCATTGGGTCAATTAACATGTTTCTGTTTATAAGATTTTTCTCTTTTATCTGAAAATCTTTTCAAATAAGGAAATTAAATCTTAAAATTAACGTTAAAATAGAATTTTTTACTGGAGTCTACATAATGTTCTTATTGATTTAAAAAAGTTTTGCTAGTAGCATATTAAATTAACAGCATGCTATACTTTCATATGTTTATTCATGGCCCCTATAAGAGCAGAAATTTTACTAACTCAAAAAATGCCATAGTCTATAAATATATAAAAATTCTCATAAATTTTTAACGTCTTGATGGAAAAAGCAATTTAAGATGCTTTTTTTCCAAATTAATTAACCAAATAAATATCTAGATACATTTACATGATTAGAATTTGTTAACAGAACAAACACGACTTAGAAAATGTAACAATTTTATAAAGTTGATGTTGAGTGTTAATGTTCTCAAAATTTAAAATTGGATGAATTGATAGTTTCTATTGCTTTTCTGGATCACATTTCCAAAGCCAGGTCACTTTATTTTTTACGCAGGTTTCTGATTCTTTTTTTTTTTTTTTTTTTTTATTTCAGACAGAGTCTTGCTCTGTCACCCAGGCTGGAGTGCAGTGGCACAATCTTGGCTCACTGCATCCTCTGCCTCCTGGGTTCAAGCAATTCTCATGGCTCAGCCTCCTGAGTAGCTGGGATTACAGGTGCACACCACCACGCTTGGCTAATATTTGTATTTTTAGTAGAGACGGGGTTTCACCATTTTGGCCAGGCTGATCTCGAACTCCTGACCTCAAGTGATCTGCCTGCCTCAGCCTCCCAAAGTGCTGGGATTACAGGTGTGAACCACCATACCCAGCCCTGATTCTTCATTTTTTTTTAAAGCTTGATTTAGTACAGATGAAACTGAGTAAAGGCAAAAATGATCACTGCTGTATTATGAGAACTGTGTCATTTGTCACAACTTTTGTGTATTTACTGCCATCTAGTGTTGCCTTTAAAAATTGATGACACTTGAACACTACTTTCATTTGCAAAATAAAGAAATTTTTGTAGACTGAACCAGAGAATAGCCTACCAATGTAATAGATGAAAACATGTGAAAATGCCATTTTTTGTGGGTTAAAAATAAATACTGGCGGTGTCATAAAGTTCAGCTCTCAAGATTAAATCAATATTCAAATAATTTCCCTTAAGTAATTATCATCCTTCTTTTTGAGGCAAACTTAGTTTGCTTTTTTGATGTAATTTTTAGCAAAAGATTACTACTTTACCTGCAGAATTATGTATGTCTCCAATTTCTAAAAAATAGAAATGGCCTGATATCTTCCAAATATTAAATCTTAGATAATACTTCATTTTAGTAATGACAGTTTTAATTCTAAATTAATTGACAGTTTTAATTCTAAACTTGGCAAGATGTACCTATCAGACATGTTGAATTACTGACAATTTACCTACTAAATTTGGTTCTTTTTCTAAGGTGAAGACGAGTTAACTACTCATCCCAGAAATTACACTGCATTTCTAATGTTTAGGGCCTGGTGACCACCAAGCCTGCCTGTACCATGCATGTTTAATTCGTGGTTTAAAAAATATCATTTAATTACAGTTTCTTTTAAAAAATAAGTTTTCATGTGGCACCCCCTCTCCATCTGCCAGCAGCTGCTTAGAAGCAGAATTGAGGCCGGGCGCAGTAGCTCACGCCTGTAATCCTAGCACTTTGGGAGGCCGAAGCGGGCAGATCACAGGTCAGGAGATCAAGACCATCCTGGCTAACACGGTGAAACCCCGTCTCTACTAAAAATACAAAAAAATTAGCGGGCGCTGTGGCGGGCGCCTGTAGTCCCAGCTACTGGGAGGCTGAAGCAGGAGAATGTCGTGAATTCGGGAGGCAGAGCTTGCAGTGAGCTGAGATCCGGCCACTGCACTCCAGCCTGGGTGACAGAGCGAGACTCCGTCTCAAAAAAATAAAAAAGAAAAGAAAAGAAGCAGAATTGAGTCTTATCTGTAATACCAGAAGTATCCTCTGAGAATGAACTGAGCCTTTCCAGGTTCTTTTGTGCCCTGACTCACAGGCTTTATTTTCCTAGTTTCAGATTTGAAAGTTGCAAGCATTATACAGATAATTCCTATATATTCTTTATCAGGATTCACTGATTTTGAACATTTTGTCACACATGTGTTCTTCCTCTCTCTCAACTAAGAGAGAGGGAGGGAAGGAGAGAGAGAAACAGAGGGAGAGAAGAGAGAGAGATTTATAGATATTTGAAACTATACAAATGTGGATTCTATCCCTATACTGCCTCTTAGGGTATCACCTTGTCTTGTGAGCCCATTCCCTTGACTTCAGAGTGAGGCCAGTGCAGCCTCCCTTGCATGAGTGTTCTAAAGAGTAGAAATAACACATGTATAACTCTGATTATGTGTCTGGTATTGAGCAGGTGCTTACTAATTTGCAGGTCTTGTTACCACTCTCACAAGGCGAGGCATAGATGAGGTTGTATATGTGAAATGCCAAACACAGGGCTGAGTACTTGGTCAAGGCACAGGGGATGTGAGCTGCAGTTCTAACCAGCTTAGTATCAGAATGAAACTTTCGTTATCTTTATTATCATTTTCATGATTATTTGGTTAAGCAGGTAGTGTCACAGCATAGAGGTAGCTTGGGGTGTCAAAGTCTGGTGGTAACTGAATTAGAATCCCAGCATTTCCTTTTAATCTTTGAGTCTCAGTTTCCTTGGATATAAAATGGAGACATTGGTAGTGTACACAAGAAGTGTCAGGCACCATGTTTGATGCAGAGGAGGAAGTGGAAAATTGATAACAGTTTATAGCACCACTGTTGTTAATGAGTTCCTCTTTCAGCAATTAGTTCATATGACTCTGTCAGCTCTAGATTTGTTGTCATGGGCCAGGCTCTCCATCATAGCATTGCATTGGTTCCGTCTGTGTTACAGTTTGCTGCTTACATGTTTATCTCCCTCTCTTACGTACCTTCTATCTGTGGCATGGCTGTTTTCTTCTCTCTGCTGATCTTACTTCCACGCCTCAGCCTAGCCCTCCCTCCCTCTCATTCATCCCTCATCAAGACTTGCTGATTCTGACTTCTGAATATTTGTTTCGGCTCTCTCCCTTGTCACTGAGTTCATGTTCTTACCATTTCTCATCTAGACATACTTTTTAAAACAGCTGTGGTGAGCATAACTCACACACCATACAATTCCCTTATTTAAAGCATACAGTTCAGGAGCTCTCACCTAAACTTTTACAGCAGATCTTTTTTACAGAAGGAAAGCCTTCTGGCTTTCCTGCTTTTCCTCCTTTGGCCCATGCTCTCTACTGCTGGAGTGGTTATTCCTAAATGAAACTCTGATCATATTTCTCTTCCGCTGTGGCCCTCACATGGGTGTCCATGGCTTACAGAAGAAATGCGTTAGTCGAATGCCAGATGTTTGTTAGTCTCCTTCCCCTTCACTTCCCCTGGCTTCCATTCCATCCTTGGATAACCTAGGACCCTTTGTGAAAGTCACTGTTATCATTTACTAAAACTGTATGACAATCACGTGGCTCCATTACCAGATCGAGCTTCCTGAGAGCATGAGCAAGGACAGCATATGATGAAGCCTCAGTAACTGAGAAGCTTCATAAAGTAACTCAGTAGAGTTACTTTAACTCTTTGTTTTCAAGTGATTAAGTAACTGCTTGTTAAACGTTTATTAATTAATGAATGAGTCATATATAGTTTTTTTATTCAGTGTACATATAGTTAGTGCCAATTACTTAAGAATTAATTTATAATTATAAGGACTTTGATAATGTACCTTTGAGAAGTATACTAAGAAAACCCTTAAGTAAAATATTAAAATTATATCATTTATAAGAAAAGGCAAACTATATTGGGCAGTATGGTATAGTGGTTGAGAACATAGGTTCTGGGTTCAAATCCTGGCTACACCACTGACTAGCTCTGTGTCTTCAAATGAGTACCTACTTCTACAAACTTAGGAGGATTAAATGAATAAATGCATGCAGTATGTTTAGTACAGTGCCTGGCAAGATTAAGTGTTTAGTTTTGTTAGCTATTATTGTCATTGTTTCTGAAAAACAATCTGTTGTCATAGAAGTCTCTTCACCTAATTGAAAGGTTTGATTAAGTTCTGAGAATTCAGTTTAAAACTTAGCCTACAAAGGAGCCCACAACAAACTAAGTTACTAATCTGGTCACCATTTCCCATTGTTGAGCATGAGTTGGGTTGGTTTTTTATTTTTGGATTAGGGTGCTTTTGAATAGAATTATGGAACTGGGTTTTTTTTCTTCCTCCTCTTGTTTCCTTTATTCCTGTGATAATCTTGGAATTTACTAGTCTTTCCATGGGCTCTTTAGCTGTTATCTGGATAAAACATTGCTCTGTGTTCTCCTAATGTTGTGGGAATAATTAGTCAAATCAAATGCTTACATTGAATACATATTTATTATGTGCTAAAATATGCTAGGCATTACTATGATACATCCCTGGCTTCAGGAATGCTCACAGACAGAATTATGCAAGAGATACATTTCAGTGCAATAGGAGGCCTCTTTCTTCACCTCCTTCCCCTGTTAACCCAGCTCTCTCCATTCCCTCCTAACAGTGCCCTGACTAGTGCAGGCTCTGTTGGCCTGCTGAGTGGGCATTGGTGTGAGGATGATGGGGAAGATGTCCACTCACTGAGTTTATGGCTCACCAAGAGGCATTTTGTTCCCAAATCTGTTTATGTGTGGTATTCTTGTTACTGTAATTGGCATAATTTAATGAAATGGAATGGAGAATGATGAAAAGTGTGTGCTAAAATAGAGCCATCATTTCTATGAAAACCTTTGGAAAGACTTCATAAAGACAAATTGCTGTCAGATTGAATAAAGATGAGACAATTATAAAAGATTAGGGAAAAATCATCAGAATATGGACAGCCAGATTCTGTTTTTACATTGCTTCACAAGTGTCTTTAAGTTTTCACTCTCCTTTAAAGAAAACAAACCTGGGCATCTTAGACATTGTCTTATAGGTGTTATTTAGGCGCAGCAGAGAGTGAGACAGTCCATCACTGGATCCTACTCAGAGGAAGGGCCCTAGCTCTACAGCAAAAGATTTGCAAATTAGTGTACATTTAAATGTTTGCTAAAACAAAATGAATATATGCATTTTGTATGATTCTGCATTTTAGCTGTTTTGATTAACGAAGGAATTATTGGCCCCAATTGTGTCATCTAAATGGGCTTCTGTTCCTTGGGAGTGCTAAATTAGGATTTTAAGTTTGTCAAGTAATGGGAAATACTTGTTTTGTTGAAAAACCCAATGCCCTTGGAATTGATGGTTAATGTATAATCTGTTTAAATATGACTTAGTTAACATCCAGTTTTTGCAGATTACATTGCAATTTTTTAAGGTCTTACAGTGGGTAACCTAACCTGTTTCTTGCCTAAGAAAGTTTAGGAGAAGGCAAGTCTCACCCCTCTGCAAGAGATCGTTTTACACTCAGAATAGAGTTGTTTTCAGAAAACAATTGTCTGAAAGGAGGTAAGCATTAGAAAATTCAACAGCTTCTCTGTACTCTTAAGCCATAATTTCAAAGTCTGGCATCATTATTTTGTTTAAAGTGAAATCACAGAACATCATATGTATCCATATTCAAATGTAAATACTTCAGATATCCACAAACAAAAAACTGATTTGGGTTATTCATCTTTGAGGACTGTTGCTCTTGTCTCTTCTCATTTCATGCTTTCAAGACCTTCTGTCAATTACCTGCTCCCTCTGCTGTCTCCTACTGCACCCCAGCCTGTGCTTCCCGCTCTCAACAACAGACCTGCTAGGTGCGTCACCCTCCTCTGGGACCTGCTTGCTAACCTCATTCTTGCATGACAGTTAACTTTCCTTTCAGATGCCTGAACTGATCCAGAGTCAAACTGACCCTCTTTCTCTGACTTCCTATCTATTTTAATGGGGAGATAAAAAAGCACGTTTGGTTTTATTTTTTTTTTCTAGGTTGGAAAGCAAGTGTTGCTTTAGAAAGTTGAAAATAGACTTGCAACACATAAGAAACCCCTGTTCTTTGCAATATTGAGTTGTGTGTTGAGCAGTCTCAAATCTAATGGGAATACATTTGAGGTGGCTCTGTGTGGCAGGGGACCCGTTGAAAAAGTGGAATGTGGGGGCAGCTCCAGTACCAGGAGGGAGCAGGAGGGGTGAAATAAGAGACTGTAGGTTTTCTTAGGGAGAGTGGAGAGTATGAATTGGGGGATAAGAGGTAATGGATGGGGAAACTGATGGAGGGCTCTAAGGTCATGATGAAAACTTTATAGCCCATTTACATTTTATTCCAAAATGGTATTTTAAAAAACACTTTCAAAGTCATGACTGCAGTATTCATTTTCATTCACTAACATAAATTCTACTTGGCCATTCCAGTGATCTCTAAAAATGAATAGATTGTGGATTGAATTTACTGTATCTTCTTATTGTGAGATTGAACTTCCAATCCTCTCCTTACCAGGAGCAGCCTCTTCGTTGGGTTGAGGAAGCTGAAACAGTTCTTGTCTATGAAGCACCTGCCCCTGTGTGTGTAGACAGCAGGCCGTTCTCCATCCTGCATCCCCCTCTGCATCTAGCCTCTCCTGTCTCTGGTCCAACCACCCTCAAGTCCAAAAGACCAGCTGGAGTCTGCCTCAGCTTCTCCTCTTGATTGTTCTCAAATCCACCTCATTTTTTCCGTTTCTTCAGTCCTGTGGGTTAGATCCCAGTTCTTTATGCCTGCCATCGTTACAGTTTTTTTCTTCTGCCAGAATTACAAAGCTGCCATAGTAATTGTTGTTAAAAAAACCTGTTCTTTAAGGTATCCTTCTGTATTTTCACATAACTTGTTTTATTTCCGTTTTAAAAATTTTTTCTGAATTTCTAGTCAGTGCTGGAGATACAAAGAAAATAAATTCACCCTTCTTTTGGAAGAGCTGGACTCACAAGCAAGATCATTTCAGTACAGTTTTTGATACCTCTTTTCTTATTTTTTTTCCTCAGTTAAAATGCTGTTCTTAAATTCATATTTGTCAATGTGTAGACCCTGTTCAATAACCCATTTCTTTAGGAATGGTTTCCCACATTAACAATACCCCAAACTCAAAATGCTGTGTTAGTATGCTACGTCAAATTTCACTTTTAGAAACACTTAGCTGTTTTTTTTATACTGAAATTTTATATCAAAAATAGGGCCAGGTCTAACTATCATTTTTTAGTATCATAGACATTTATGTATTTTGGGTTTGGTGAAATGGTATAAATTTGACCAGATCTTAATGTTTCTAGTTATTTTGATATGTTGTATTTGTTCTTATGTCTTGTTACTTCTGTCCCCCCACCCTTTTTAGTCTGTAGCTTAAAAGCTTCAGAGGGTCTTTAGTTTCTTTTGTAGTCCTCCAGGGTGCCATGTGGCTAAGACTGGATTAAATTAGAAACTATGTGACGGTGGTTTGTGGACTCCAGGGTGCTTACAGATGTAAGATGTTAATACTACTACTATAATTTCCTCCTAACTAATAAAATGTGTTCCCAGTCCCATTATGTTATGTTACTGAAATCGACTATTTCTAAGGATATTAAGAACAATGAACAGAAAAGAAAGGTTTTTGAATATTGGTTACTTTCTAAGAAAATTTCTTCCTATCTGACGTATATTAGTTACGTGTGTGTGTGTGTGTGTGTGTGTGTGTGTGTGTGTGTGTGGTTTATAAAGTATGCCTGCTCTGAGCCTGAGATCATGGTTCTGCTCTGGTGGATGGAGCAGGAGGTGGAAGGTGAGCTGCAGAATGTAAAGATATGGTTGCCCCCAAGCTGTCATCATTGGGCCCCAGCTGTGACCATTTTTAGGAAGCTTGTAATGCTTCTATTATCCTTTCCATTTCAGCACTTCACACAGAACTAATTGGCACCATCTGTGCTAATAATTAAGCCTGTGATGTGGTCACTGGTGCACAAGGAACTCAGGTTGAGGGAATATTTCACAGCAAAAAGGAGGTGGGATATGAGTAGAAAGAATACAGTTTGTTGATATTCTTTTATGCTGGAAAAGGAAACCCAAGGAAAGAGGAGCTCTCTGATAGACCAATGATATTCTTCCACAGCCTATAAGCCTCTTACCCACTGAGTGTGTAGGAAGGACATATGAGCAAGATGACAGGTAGAGCTCTTGGCATTGTCTTCTCTTTGCTATTAAATTTGTCCCGGAGATTGCTGTAATATACATCTAGTCTACGTTTGGACATTAAAACTTAACCGAGGATGGTTGCCAAGGACTCAGAGTAAGGTGAAAGGTGAGGGCTTTTTTTTTTTTTTTTTTTTTGAGTGATGAAATTGTTCTGTATCTTGATTATGGTGATGGTTTCACAGCTGGGTGCATTTATTAAAACTGAAAGTGCTATACACCAAGATGAGTGATTTTCTATTTAAGTTAAAAGGTAAATTTTAAAATGTATAAAAACTTGTTGAAAAAATGCTTTAGAAAATCTTTTGTGGCTTAGGACATGTTTACAAGATGAAAAAAGTAGATTTTTTTTCTTTTTCAAAATTAAGAACAAGGCAACCGAAAACCAGTTAATCTAAAATTTGATTTTATATAGTAAATGGCTCCTTTCAAACACCAAATAAGATTTTATAATTGAATTTTTAGGCATATTGCTGAAAGGAACAAAAGAAGAGGGCTTTTAAGCTTTTCTTTCTTTGAGCCCCAGAACTCCATTTTACCATTAAAGGAGCTGCTCATCTTGAGTATTGTTTTGCTGATGAGAGGAAATTAATGAGGTGAGGCATCATTCTCATACATTTGAGAATTCACTGATCAAACTTAAGAACAAAAATGATCTATTGTTTTATGTTTTAACACTCTTTCAAAATGTAGGTCATGTCCATAAATGCAAATGACTATGTAGAAAGTAATATGCTACTGCTGCTAACCGTTTTGAGGGCACAGGGTATTCATGTGCTTCTAGAATCATCAGGATTTGCAGAAGGGCAATAGGAAGTGGCACACTGGGAGTGATTGAGAATTCTAGTGCTCTAATGAGTGAGGGATCACAGTTGATATCAGTGGAATCATTAATAAATATAAAGTTTGTATTTGGTACTTTTTAAAGAAATAATTTCAAATTGAAAGAAGCATTTTAAACAACTTGGAATGTTACATTTACTTTTGTGTTTTACTTTTATCAGGAATGTTTAAATAATCTACAAAGTATCCTAAGCCAAGAAACTTTTTAAGAGTTTAAGCTGAAGAAGCGTTTTTAAAATACAAAAGACTAATAAGTATGTGATTATGGTCCAAGTGAAAGTTAATTTGTCAATTGGATAACAAACATTTGTCAGTACTTATCTTATAGTTTTTATGCTTTAAAATGAGGGACAACAGACTTTCAAAACTAGGGTGCCAAGTCCTGCTTATTCATTCCTCTTCAGGAGAGTTTTATAATCTTTAAAGTCTTTGGGAAGACTTAAAGAGACTTAATCTTTAAAGCCTTTATCAACTGATATCATAGTTACTAGTTTACACAGTAGCTGAGATTAATGGAATTTGGATTTTCAGGATTTTTCTCCTGGTTGTCTTTGTCACTGTGTTACTAAAATTTACTGTCATTTATACTCACAGTGCTACTCTAACTGTGGCCCACACTGTGCTGGTCTGAGAACTGTTAGTAGTTCACAGTAAAATAAGGAGCTCATACTAAAATATAAATCAACATCCTGCTTCCTTCCTTAAGAATGTCTAGGAGGCCAGGCGCTGTGGCTCATGTCTGTAATCCCAGCACTTTGGGAGGCCAAAGCAGGTGGATCACGAGGTCAAGAGATCGAGACCATTCTGGCCAACATGTTGAAATCCCGTCTCTACTAAAAATACAAAAATTAGCTGGAT
Organism: Homo sapiens; assembly: GCF_000001405.40. Classification (NCBI taxonomy): domain Eukaryota; kingdom Metazoa; phylum Chordata; class Mammalia; order Primates; family Hominidae; genus Homo; species Homo sapiens. Next base: position 43,535,432 of record NC_000003.12, on the reverse strand, counting down.
ATGGTGGCACGTGCCTGTAGTCCCAGCTACTCAGGAGGGTGAGGCAGGAGAATCGCTTGAACCCTGGAGGCAGAGGTTTCAGTGAGCCAAGATGGCACCATTGTACTCCAGCCTGGTGACAGAGCGAGACCTCTTCCCCCCTTCAAAAAAAAAAAAAAAAAAAAAGAATGTCTAGGTATGGTGGTTTACTTCTGTAATCCCAGAGCTTTGGGAGGCCAAGGCAGGCAGATTACTTGTTTGAGACCAGCCTGGCCAACATGGCAAAAACCTATCTCTACTAAAAATACAAAAATTAGCCGGGTGTGGTGGTGCACTCCTGTAATGCCAGCTACTCTAGAGGCTGAGGCACAAGAATCGCTTGAACCTGGGAGGCGAAGGTTACAGTGAGCTGAGATTGTGCCACTGCACTCCAGCCTGGGTGACAGAATAAGACTCTGTCTCAAAAAAAAAAAAAGAAAAAAATCTACATATAGGAAAAAAAAGTTAGCAGAGCTCTGAGTGTGCTTAGTGACACAGTTGATTTACATTCTGGTACAAGTCATCTCTTGTTCATGGGCTGCTAACAAGTAGTGCTTTGACCTGTACTGGTTTGCAGCACTGTAATTACATATATGGTTCTCTCCTCCTTAAGACAGTTGTTGGGTTTGGATAACATTCAAGCTACTGAGCAGGAGCAGTGCCTGCTGTGTTGCTCCCATCCTGACTCTCAAGCTGTCATGCTCCACTGCCTTACTGTCTGTTTCCAGGTGGACATTGGGACAGTGGGTCGGGGTGCAGGACTTTTCTGCAGAGAGGTGGCTTTCACCCTTTGGCTCTGTGTATTGGTGTTGTCAGGAGTGTTGTCTGAGTCAGGGAATTATGTTCTACAGAGACATGGCTGCTCCTCCCTCCCTCCCCCCAACCCCCTTCTCTCTCTCTTTCTCTCTGTCTCCCGTTCTCTCTTGCGCGCTCTCTCTCATGCGCGCACGTTCACATGCACACACACATGCTCACATACACGTGAACAGAGTTCTGAAAACAGAAGGCATTCAGATGGCCATTTCAATCATTGGGAGAAAGAACCATTCTCAAGCATTTCTACTCAGCTCTTTGTCTTCTAAAATGTAACATTTAATCAAATTTTTAGAGAAATAATTATTTCCCATATATACCTCCCATGTGGACAGTGGTGGCCTGCCTCATGTCTTTTGATAGTTTCATTTTTGTTATTAGCTGACAGCATGTGCAAACTAGAAAGGTATTCTCTTACATAAATAATTATCTTCTTTATTTAAATTTTATGTACTTATTCTCTGGGTAATAATGCATTTACATGATTCAAAACTCAAAAGGCTCAAAAACACAGTGATAAGAACCCTCTCCTGTCTCCCAGTCAACAAATTCCCTTCTGTGGAGGCAGCCAGTGTGATTGGTTTCTTATGTTTGCTTCCAGGCATATTTAATGTGCAGATAAACAAGTATACAAGTGTATGTAAATAAGCATTAATTCATAAGCAGAATTTAGTTAATTTGTTTTACACTTAGTTGTTTAGTACAAATAAGAATGCTATTGGCAATTAACAAAATTTTCAATGTAAAGGAATCCATGTGTAAGATGACCTCTGATGCTATTGAACTTTGGAATTTATGACTTGAATGGTATTTTACAAAGCAGTTTGACCTTTTCAGAATAAGAGAAATTCTTCCATCATGAATAAATGACAGGTTGAAGTACAATGATTGGTGTGCTTATTATTTCAGATTTGGATCAGTTTCACCATCATTTAGCAAAAGCAAGAACTGCTTATGAATAACAAATATTTTTGTCCTGCTTTTTGCCAAGGATAGTACTGGTACTGGACTGGGGTCAAAGCTAAGGAGCTGTCTATTTGTGCATTTATTAAAGTTTTTAAAATAAGAATGAATTTCTTTACTGTTACTAAGGCCAAAGCTTGTTTAAATAGATAATTGTGGAACTATGGAATAAGAATCTGTTAGTAGAATAACTCAACAAAAATGCATTGGATTAGGGAGCTTTCGAGTGTTTTTTTAATAAGCTGCATAAAACTTACATGTGATATAAGTATACTTTTTGGCCTACAAATTCTACTTCAAATAATTTATTTCGAGGAGAGATACTTGGAGGCAGGGGCATGGCTTAGCCTCAGTGATATGGTTCTTTGAATGAAATTGCCTTAACCTTCCTGTTTTTGGCTCCTTTCTCATTCCTGCTTTTGCTAAATCAGCTTTTCTCTCCAACCCTTACATATCCGTCAGCTTTCTTGGTTTCACTTGACAACATGCTTCTCACTTCCATCATCTGAAATGTGCTACCATTTTTTTTCTGCTAACAGCTCATTTCTTGTTTGAGTCTTTACCGACTATTTTGATGAAGTCTTGGGCTCTATCATGCCTGGAAGCAAGGGGAGGTATTATTGAGCTTCTCCTGGATTTAGGTCCTGGCTTTGCCATAGAGGACACAAAGACAGAGAGTATAGAGAACGTTTGTGCCATGCAGAACAGGGATGACCAAGTAAAGAATCTTGCCTTTAGAACAGGGCATGTGCTTTACATGAATTCCCCTCCTCACTTAGACTGAAACCTTACCATATCACTTTGTATTTGAATCTCTGGGTTGGAGATTCCTAGATGTTTTGGGGAGATTGCTGTTGTTGTTTTGCATTACTCTTTTATGGGAAAAAGCATTAAAATAATATGAATTAAAATTAATTTTGCTTCATCTAACTATAAAGATATAGCTTGAGAGATTTTTGGTGGGTGATGAAACTGTTCTGTACCTGATTGTGGTGGTGGTTATATGAAACTATACGTGCATTAAAATTCATAAAACAATACACCAGTCAATTTTATTATATGATATAAAAAACAATTTAATTTTGTTTTGAGAATTTTATGTATCTCTGCAAATAAAGATACATCTGTGGAAGTCATTAAGGAATCAGTATTATACTGGATGAACAGTTGTATAGCCTCCTTTATGAAAATTGGGATTTCCAATGACCTAGTCAGATTATTTCTTTCTATCTACTCCTCCCTGCATGTATACACCTACCTGTGTTTTCATATTTAGTATAAAATTAGTTCTAAACTGAGCAAGGATGGCAAGGCAGCGATGATGGCTTTTTCTCCCCTAATCTTTGGAAAGAATTTTAAGCCATTAAACGTGAGAAGTTTAAGCGAAGGCATAGCATTTGCAATTATCAGAGCATCAGTGACTATTGCCTCTTTATTTAGACAGTCTGAGTCCTCTGTCCTTTTGACTATGGGACCTTTATCCTTTTGCATTACTAAGAGCTTTAGGGGAATATTTGAGACTTTCATCCTAGCTGCTTGTGATTCAGCTCTTCTCCTTGTTGGCAAGGTACAGTTGATGTCATACATAGGGCTGGCAGATGAATCAGCAGGATGCTGCTTGGCAATGTGGACGGGGTGACTGAGTGAAGAGGGTTTAAGTTTGTTGGGTGAAGCATCACTGAGCTTGTGACAATGCTCTTGGCTCTTTCATGACTATGGGTTTTGTTTTTTTTTTTTTGAGACAGGGTCTTGTTCTGTCACCAGGTTGGAGTGCAGTGGCCGATGGCCCAATCTCGGCTCACTGCAACCTCCGCCTCCTGGGCTCAGGTGATCCTCCTGCCTCAGCCTCCTGAGTAGCTGGGACTACAGGTGCTCACTACCACGCCTGGCTAATTTTTGTATATTTTAGTAGAGATGGGGTTTCACCATGTTAGCTAGGCTGGTCTCGAACTCCTGACCTGAAGTGATCTGCCCACCTCAGCCTCCCAAAGTGCTGAGATTACAGGTGTGAGCCACTGCGCCCGGCCTCATGATTATGCTTTAATTACCATGTAAATGACAAATCGTCAGATCACACATTTTTATTTTAGAGACCTATATATTTATTTTTTATACCAATAAGAAACCTAAAATGCAGCATAGTAGCTTTTCATTTCATATTTTAAAATGTTGATGCAAGAAAAGACTCTTCCATAGACATTAGAAGATAGAGAACTTTATCTGAGTCATGAGAATCCCTTATTTTACCTTTATTCTCACAAAATAATTTGAAAAAGCTGGAATAATTTATAAGCCACTATTAAGATGACATAGATCTTGGTGAATTCTTTAGATAAAGATTAAGCCAGAACGTGTAATTTAAAGATTGTTAAAAACATTTCTCCAAAGTAAAATAATTTGCTTAAAAATGTAGGTTGGTTCTTGAAGATCTGTCATTTTGTTTTGTCTTCAAAATAGTTGAAATATTAGCTCTACAGCATGTAGACATACTTGAAAGTTAGAATACTTCTGCTAGTGACCACAGACTTATTTTTTGTCTTTTTGCCTAGAGTTTATTAGTCATATTACACAGGTTTTAGTTAAAAGAATACCCAAGTTTGGCCTTTTACATACATAACATGCCTTTTGATATCAACACTTTTTCTATGACCTAACATAGGATTAGGTTTTTGAATATTCTGTGTGTGCCCAAGGAGAAGGTATATCCTCTCTTATCAGTGTAATGTTTTATTTGTACACACACACATACACACACACACACACATTAGTCCCAGCTTATCTGCAAAGGATGGTTCCAAGACTCCCAGTGGATGCCTGAAGCAATAGATAGTATTGAACCCTGTATACACTGTTTTTTCTTATATATACATACCTATGATAAAGTTTAATTGATAAATTAGAGACAGTAAGATATTAACAACAATAGTAGAACAATCATTATAATATACTTTAATAAAAGTTATGTGAACATGGGGTCTCTCTCTCAAAATACTGCTTTAATAAAAGTTATGTGAATGTGGGGTCTCTTTCTTTCTCTGTCTCTCAAAATACTATGATATTTTTGGACTGCAGTTGACCACGGGTATCTGAAACTGTGGAAAGTGAAACTGCGGATAAGGAGACTACTACATACCTATTATATATCTGTGTATGCATATATAGAAAACCTTTATAGTTTATATATACCATATATAAAATATATATAATATATAGGCTATATGTTTTATATAAGAAATATATAACCTATATAACCTCTATCCTGTTAAACATAACGTGTAGATCTTTTAAATTACTGCTTACTTTTCGTTCACTTGTTTTGGTTTAAGAGTGTTGTTAAAGTCTATTCAATAGCGTATTCCTGTTAGAAAGCATCTGTTGTAGTTTGTGATTTATAAATGTAGTTACTGTGTTATTTGGTGCATAGGAATTTATAACTGCTACATTTTCATTTTTAATTGTGATCTTTGAGGTTATAAAAATATTTCTTTAATGCTTTTGGACCTTAATTCCACTTTGATAATAGGATTGCATCCCCTATCTTCTTAATTTCTATTTTTCCTTAGTATATCTTCAGTTTTCGCCTTTCTGAATCACTCTAAGTGTGTCTCTTGTATACAGCATAGAATTGGGTTTAGTTTTGCAAGAAAGTGTCAGGTATTTTTCTTTTGATTAGTGTCTTAAGCTCATTTGCATTAATTGAGATGCAGAATATGTTTGGTCTCAACTTTATCATATTATTTTATGTTATATATACTCTGGTATTATGTTATATTTACCATGTTTCTTTCCTTGGTAGGGAGCAAGTATTTAGGAAAGTTAGTTTTATACCTCTATAGTTTTATATTCTATAATATCCTAATTTCCTTTGTTTTTACTTAGATTTCTACTGTTTGGTTTGTCAGTTTAAAATAATATCCTTTATTATGTATTATCTACTTGACAATTTATGTATTCTGCTTTCTCCCTTTTCTCTTCTGCTCTCATTATTTCAGTTGTACTATTTCTACTTTGTCAGAATGTTTACCATTTACATATATGTTTTTTAGTTCTAGATAGGTTTAAATCTTTTTGTTGCTTGCCATCAGTCATCTTGCCAAAGTTTTCCTTTTCCCCTTTGTTCTATGAAACGTGTTCTTCAGTATAGCAGTTCTCAAACAATAATGAGCATACTCATCACCTGGACCTCTTGGGCAGGGCCTAGATTCCCACTCCTAAAAAAATCCCAAATGGTATAGATGCTGTGGGCCATGAACCCCACTTTGAGTGGCAAAAGATTTCTCAAGAAGAGTTCTCAAGTTCTTGAACATAAGTTCCATATTAGGTTCTATAACATGTATACTTGAAGGACAGCTTGGCTGGATTTTAAAATACTTTGGTTCAAAAGGTTCAAAGTTCTTGAAATTTCTTGAAAATGCCCCTCCACTGTTGTCTTGCATTGTTGCTGTCAAACTCTGATGTGAATCTGCTTTCCTTCCTTTAGCAAGTGACTTGGTCATTTTGTTTGGAGGACCAAGTGTTTAATATTAGTGTAATTATTTTATAGGCATATGTCTTAGAGTTGATTGGTTCAGATCACAGATACACATGGGCCCTTTCAAATGTGGTTTCAGGCTTTCTTTTGTTTCTGGAACATTTTCTTAAATTACAGGGTTTTTTTGTTTGTTTATGTGGGTTTTTTTTGAGACAGGATCTCACTCTGTTGCCCAGGCTGGAGTACAGTGATGCAGTCCAGCTCACTGCAACCTCCACCTTCAGGGCTGAAGCAGTCCTCCCATCTCAGCCTCCTGAGTAGCTGGGACTAACAGGCACACACCACCATGCTCAGCTGATTTTTGTATTTTTTGTAGAGATGGGGTTTTGCCATGTTGCCCAGGCTGGTAAGTTACAGTTTTTAATATTGTGTTCTGCTGTTTTTTTCTTCTGAGTCTCCAGCTATATGTTGGATCTTCTTTGCCTGTCTTCCTTGTCATTTTTTTCATTTTGACACATATTTTTCTTTTATTTTTGTCCTCTTAGTTTTTCAAGCTTTTCTTCAGTGTCCCTTATTATATTTTCATTTGGGTAGTTTCCCCCTTGCCATTTTGTAATTTATCACTATTTCTAAGATGATTTTGTTCTCTTCTTCCTTTTCTTTACTGAATTTAGCCACTTTCATTTCATATCTTCCATTTTGTTCATTTGTTAGATATTTTTGATCTGAGTTTTTGTACTTCTTATCTGAAGTTTTTTTTCATGTTCTTAAATGCTTATTTAAGGTTATTTAATTCAGGTTTGATTATTGAGTTATAACTTTCATCTGGTTATGTTTTGTTTGGTTTTTGTTTGCTTTCATGTTGTTGAGGAACAAAATCAAAAATGGAAATACTTTGATTCTCAATGTCTGTTTTATTTTCATAGTAACCTTGTACAGATGTTATCTGCTTTTTTTTTTCGTTTTTTTCATTTTGAAATTTTCCTAGACTAGCAATAGTAGCTCTTGTTGGAAAGAATAAGGAGTTTTTGGGTAGCTTACTGAGTTTTTTTAGTTTGAGAGCACTCTTTTCTGCTGGTATAGTAAAATGTTGTTTCTTTTAACGAGTATCTTCTTGGTAGTGAGAGGTGTGAGTATTGTTCTTGTGTCTTTAGGACTGTTAATTTCTACCTTTTGCTTTCTTCTTTCCGATAATCTTCAGCCTCCAGGAGATACCTGAGCCTTCCGTAAATCTTTCCTCCCCATCCTTCCCTCAAAATGGTGCCTTCCTAAAACTACCACATCTGATTCTGTGCATTTTCAAGCACTATCCTTTTGATTCTCTAGAAACTCTCTGATCTAGCAGTTCACAGACCTTTTCTTAGTGAAAATTTCTTTTTCTGGGGGTGATTTTATCTGTGTTCCAATATCGCTAGATCTCTATTTCCCTCTCTTTCATAGTGTCTGACTTGACTTGCCACTTAGGTGTGGGCTTTGGAGCTAGTCTTGCTGGATTTGGATGTTTATTTCCCTATTTTCATGTAACACGAAGTTCATGCCATTGCTTATCTCCTAGTTAATGTTGTAGGTATGAGGAATGGTTAGTTTGTCTTCTCTTCCTATTGATCTGTTTGTTTTTGGTTTTGAGTATATATGGAGAGATTTGGATTTAGACGGCTCCATTGTCCTATGAGAACCCAGAACTCTGTAATAATGTTATTATATCTAGAAAAAATTGAATTCATTTTGGTGTGTTCAGGCAATTTAAATATATTTATATATGAACTAAAGAGTACTTCATCTTCTGTTTAGTGTGCAGCATATTTTATTTTATATTATTTGAATTATCATACTTATTTTGATTTATACCTAGTTCATTACAAAATCTATTCTTGTTAACATAATGGTAAACCTCTAATATGTCATCTGTAAGGAGCATGCTGGATATGTTGTAATAGTTTAATTGGATAAGGGGCATTTTGAAATAGAATTAGTATAAATATACAAACAGCCATTGGACACAATGTGAAAATCTTTCCCAGAAATCAGTTTACACAGATGAGTCCATAAATCTATGATTTAAATCTTGTGTAACTTTGCCCCAAGCCACTAAATAGAAGCATGCTGTGTGTGTGTGTGTGTGTGTGTGTGTTTTACATCCATTGTATGTACCATATATATATATGTACCATTGTATGTACCATATGTGTGTGTGTATATATATGTATACACACACATATGTATGTGTGTATTTTATAAATATATACTGTTTTTCATTATTGTTGAGGTCAACCAGTAGACTAGAGATTATTTTAGACCCTAAGAGAACTTAAGGGACCTCTGCTGTTACTGATTAAAGTAGGGCTAAAATAAGAATATAGATGCTATATTCTATATTATTTATAGGCTATCTTAAGTAAATATTCAAAATATTTTAAGGAATTGCTTGTTAAGGTGTAGCATAGATACAGATACTGGTTATGAATGTTAGGCTGAATGAAGTGTCAAGAAGTGAACATATTCATAAGACATAGGACGTTTTACCAGAAGCCCCTTCATGCTCTTCCTAGTCACCACCAACCCAAAATAACCACTTTCCTGACATCAATTGCCATTTAGTTTTGCCTCTTTAAATTCTGTATATGTTATACTATACATTCTCTTGATATATTTTCAATCGTCTCAGGATGTTGAAATTGTTTCCCAACTCTGGTGCTCTTTTAGCAGTTGTTTCCCTGGTCAGTTAATCCTCTGTGTTGCCGTGTGGGCATGCATGCTGACGCTTCTCCGTGGCTGGCAGAGAGCCACAAGACTCCACAGAGGCCCTGTTTCTAGTGTTACAAAAATAATCATACATGTTGCATATCTAAATCCAGTGAGGAACTTGTCAAAATGATGGTTGATTAGAGAGATTAATAAAATATAAAGATATTTAAAGATTTGGTGGCTGCACAGGACAATTAACATGTTGCTAATTCTGAAAGTGAATCTAAAATGGGAAAGGTAATTTTACAGTCCATATGTTAGTCATGTCCCTGACTAAAGAAGTAAGTTGGCAGCCTTTTTAAGGTTTCATCATTTTCATCATTCAAGTGCTTTTATTTCTCTAAGTGTACTGCATTTAATGACTTTTTTACTTAATACTTTCTAAGTATATTATGTGAATATGCTAGAATATATTAAATGTTGTCATTTGAAGATAGAATAATGACTCTGTTGCAAAACAACTAAATAAATCCAAAGTGGAGCGATGTTGTTGGTACACTACAGTGGCAGCAGACCCTTGGATTTAGAAGGAATGATTTCCAGAAAATCTGAGGTTTGAAGTGACCAACTGTCATTAGATTTCTCATAAATTGAGGCATTTTGATATTGAAAACAGAAGGAGGAAAACTCACAATGGAGAGGAACAAATTTGAAAACTGGGCCACCGCTCTTTGAAAATGCATCAGCTCCCTTCACCACCACTTGCAAGCTTATTTTAGGAACTTAGAAAGAGGAAAGAAGAGAGACAAAACATCTTTCCCTGCCTAATAACTCTATCCCATTTACATTACTTCTTCCCACTAATTATGGTGAAAGTACTTTGTGGTGATGAGAAGGGAAGTTCACTGGCCTCTGACCATGGGGTTAACTGTGCCTCGTGGGGGTGCTCACTTAGCAGATACTTGGGTGCTCACACCTTGTGCTAAGGCTGAGCAGAAGCAGGAATGGTTGTTGGCACTGGAGCTTTATCTAGCATGAACACAAAGCACCAGATAGTCATGCAGATAGATGTAAAAGGATTGAGTTTAGAGTAGGGGAACATGACCTTGTCCGGAGTCTGAAAGGTGTTTTTAAGGAGAAGTATCCAGTAAAATGGAGCCTGAAGTGAGAGATGGGGATGAGGGACTGTGGAGGGAATGCTTTGGGCAGAGAGGATAGCCTGCCCAGGGACCATGGAGTCCCAGAGCTATGAAGATGCAGGAAAGAATGTGAGGTGAGGCTAGAGAGGACACAGAGGCCAGATGACCTGGCTGCACAGGCCACATTGAGGATACCTTTTTCTCACTTAAGAGCCCTGGGCAGTCATTGGTCGGTGGGGGGTAAGAGTATGGCTGTGGTGATGACCTCAACACATTTGCAGTTTGTAAAACCAAAACAACCCTTGTCTTGCTCAACTTGGAGGATGGTTCTCACTCATACCCAGCATGGAGAATGTTTAAGAGGGGTTGGAAGAGTCAGTGAGTTAGGTGGTAACTGCAGTGGTTCTAGGGAAGGATCCTGGTAGATTGGAACAGGACAGGCAGTGACTCTTCTGGAGAGGCATGTACTGGAAGCAGTATTCAGAGTTCTTGGTGCTGTGTTGGATACACTGTGTGTTAGGGGAGAGGAAATATCATGAGTGACTGTAGGTTTCTGGCTTGGGTACTGGAGGAGGGCCAGTTATTGAGATAAAGGATGCTGGAAGAGATCTGTGTTTTGGCAGAAGAGCCCAGATGTGTTCATTGTCCCGCTGAGTCTAAGGTACCTGTGAAACAGGCAAGAGGAGCCCAGTGGGCAGTTGGGTGGACTAGAAACCCAGTTCAGTGAATCATCTGCATCAGTAAATCCATGTTCCCTTTCCTTCCCCCTTTCTCACCTGCCCCAACTGTGCAACACATAATCATTGCACAGGGTACTTGGGGAGGGAAGGAAGCATCTTGAGGAAACCTTCCTGGTCTCTAGGGCCAGGCCAGATTACTGCTGTGGGGTGGACTGTAAATGCAGGAACTGTTGCAGGCATGCTGCAATTACCACTTATAGACAGCTCTCAGGATCTACATGGGAAAGGTAGGGTAGGGGGAGTTAAAAGGAATTGAGTTGGAAACTTGACAAAACTGTTGCCTAAAATTTTCTTTGAATATTTCCCCCAACCAAGCACAATGCTTGTTTGAAGCAAATGACTCAGTTATTCTAGAAAGTCATTCCTTCTATGAGGGATTCGTTTCCTGGTTTTCTTCCTACCTCTTTGGCTATTCCTCCTTAAGCCTGTTCCTGAGCTTCTTCCTGGGCTATTCTTTCTTAAGGTTCCTTCCCAATCCTCTTCTTCTTCATTCAATCATTGGTTAAACTCATCTGCTCATCTCCGTGGCTTCCACTGTAGCCCCTGTGCTCATCTACTCCAGGTGTAGCCCCTAGGTGAGCTTATCTACCCCATGGCTTCCACTGTGGCCCCTGGGTGAGCTTGTTTACCCCATGACTTCCACCTCCACTGTAGCCCCTGGATGAGCTCATCTACTCCATGGCTTACACTCTAGTCTCTGGATGAGCTCATCTACTCCACAGCTTCCACTGTAGTCCCTGGATGAGCTCATCTACCCCATGACTTCCTCTGTAGCCCCTGGGTGAGCTTGTCTACTCCATGGCTTGCGTTACCTTTACGCCTAACAGTGCCCATTGGACATCTACATGTGTATTGTGTATGTATTTACCTTCGTTGCTTTCACTTGAATGTCTCCCAGTGATCTCAAATTGAGCAGTCCAAAGCTGAGTTCATCTACCACCATCCATCTAGTCATAACCAGAACTTGGGGTTAGTCATCCTCACTCCTCACACTCAAACAGCTACTGTCCAGGTGGTTGTTTCATCTAACCCATTTCTTCTCCACTCAGTGCCTTGTGTGTAGCCTTAGGGTAAGCCCTCATTATTCCTTTTCTGAGTTGCTACAGCATAGCATGTTCTTAACTGGCATCCAGGCTCCCCAGTCTTGGTGCTCTCTAATCCATTCTGCTGCTAAAATGATTATTCTGAAACAGAAATCTGATCTTACTCCTTCCTTAAAAGCCTTTACTGCCTCTCTACCATTTTCAGGATTAAAGCCCAGATTTTAGTGTAGTTTTCGAGGCCCTTCATGAAATCATGCAGCTCTTTCCGCTGCTCTCCTCTCTCCACTTTAATAATACTCAGCTCATGTGACTCCTCCAATGGAATGAGCTCTTGCTTACTTGGTATTGTAGGCTGTGCTGTTTCCTCTGCTGAGAACCCCCTTTTCAGGCATACTTAGCTTAAGTTGACAGGTTTGAATATTGGTTTGCCTGAAAGACTGGTGTAATATACATGAGTCATCCTGTTTTATCACTGAACACATAAACCTCTTTCCTGTGTCCAGAGAATCTCTGACCTCATGGCAGATGCCCCCTCCCACTATAGAAGCTGATAATGCAGGTACTCCCTTTCCAGCCTCCCTTGCTTCTGGGGTATGGACGTGGGCACATGATCTATATTGAGCCAGTAATAATTTTTTACCCTAAACTTTGAACTGTAAGCTTTTGGACCCCAAGAGGCAGGTACCATGCAGAATCCACTCAGCTGACAGTAGCTGTGGCAGTGCTATGCCAATGGTGTTGTGCCTGTGTGCAGCCTGGCATCATTGCTGAACCAGCTCTAGATATGACTTTGGACATTGCTCCTCACTGTATGACTGCTCAGCCTGGTTCTTTAGACCTTTTAGAGGGTACGTGAACTACCTGATAACCTTTTAACCAACCTCTTCTTTGCCCAGATACACCAGAATTGGTATTTGTGGCTTGCAAGTAAAAACCCTGCTTGATTCAGTTACATTTCCAGCATCAATACTTTCAAAGACAGAGAGCAGAACACAGTTGTCTATATTAAACTGCAGTGAAATGACAGATCCCTAATGCATAAAGTTGTATGAAGCTCTTGGTTTGTAGGTAAATGAATAGTCACAAGACTTAGGAGGATCTTGTGCTATATATGCAATGACATGATGAAAGTCACAGGGTTTTCCTAGAAAAGAACACCAGAATATTGCTATGATCATAAAGAATGGTGAAAGTGTAGATGCAGAAATAGCTGTAGAGCTTTTTTTTAATGTATTTTTTTATCATGGTAAAATATAATAACATAATTTGCAATTTTAATTATATTGAGTGTGTAATTTAGTCACATTAATTATAGTCACAGCATTGTGCAGTCATCACCACTATCAATTTCCAAAACTTTTTCATTACCCCAAACAGAAATTCTGTACGCAGCAGGCAATGACTCTCCATTTCCCCCTTCCCCTAGTCCCTGGCAACTTCTGCTTTACTTTCTGTCTCTGTGATGTTGCCTGTTCTAGACATTTCATGTAAAGAAAATAATACATTTATTTGTCCCTTTGTGTCTGGCTTATTTCACTTAGCATTATGTTTTTAAGTCTTACCCATGTTATAGTATGTATCAGAACCTCATTCCTTTTTATGGCTAAATAATATGTCATTGTATGCATATACTGAATTCATTCTTCTGTTGATGGACTCTTGGGTTATTTCCACCTTTTGGCTATTTTAGTACAAATGTAAATAATACTGCAGTGAATATTGGCATACAAATATCTGAGTCCCTGCTTTCAATTCTTGTGAGTATATACCCAGGAGTAGAATCACTGGGTCATATGATAATTCTGTGTTTAATTTTTTGAGAAACTTCCAAACTGTTTTCCGTAGCAGCTGTGCCATTTTGCTTTCCCATCAGCAACGTACGAGGGTTTCAGTTTCTCCATATTCTCGTCAACACTTCATTTTCCATTTTCTAAATTATAGCTAACCTAGTGGATGTGAAGTAGTACCTCCTTGTGGTTTTGATTTGCATTTCCCCAGTGATTACTGATGTTGAGCATCTTTTCATATGTCTGGAGCATCTCAACTATATCATTTGTCTCAAGAGCATCTTGATCAGTTAAGTAAAGTTCCATTTCTGTGATTATCATTTTTCCTAGAAGTAAGAGATTGGGGTTCTCTACTATTTATCATTTTATGGCCAGACTCAGCTCTCAAACATAAGGCTTCCCTGTAAATACCATTAAAGGCTTGACAGCAGCATTTTAAAATTTATGCCTTGTTTTCAACCTGATAAGTGATGTGTGTGCAAAACCTGCAGTTAACATCATACTTAATGGTAAAAGGCTGAATGTTTTCTTTTTCTCTAAGATTGGGAACAAGAAAAAGGGTACCTCCCCTTACCACTTACCAGTTTTATTTAGCATTGTCCAGGAAGTTCTAGCCAAGGGAAGTAGATAAGAAAATAAAATGCATGTCGATTGGAAAGGAAGAAGTAAAACTATTTCTCTTTGCAGGTGATGTGCTCTTGTAAATAGAAAATCCTAAGGAATCCATTAAAAACAATTCAGACGAATAAATGAGTTCAGGTTACAAGAGACAAGAACAATGTACAAAAATGAATTGTATTTCTATACATTAGCAATAAGCAGACTAAATATGAAATTAAGAACACAATTCCATTTATTGTAGCATCAAAAAGAAAAAAATGGAAGACTAAATATTAACATGGTAGTACTTCTCCAATTGATCTATAGATCCAACACAATCCCTATTTTAAATCCTAGCTGACTTATTTTCAAAAATTACAAGTTGATCCTATAATTCATATGGAAATGCAAGGAACCCAGAATAGCTAAAACAATCTTGAAATAAAGAAAATAGTACACGCACTCACATTTCCAAATTTCAAAACTACAGTAATCATAGTAGCATAAGAATGCCCATGTAGTAAAATAATAAATAAATAAAAAGAATGTACATGTAGATCAGTGTACTCAAATTGAGAGGCCAGAAATCAACCTTCACATTTTATGGTCAATTGATTTTCAACAAGAGTTCCACGACAATTCATTGGGGGAAGAATAGTCTTTTCAACAAATGGTGCAAACAGCTGGATATCCACATGTAAAAGGATGAAGTTTGGACTCCATGCTGTGGTCTGTTTCTATCCCCCTAAAATTCATATGTTGAAACCTAATCACCAGTGTTGTGTTAATTATCAGACACCAAATTTGCCAGCACCTTAATCTTGGACTTCCCAGCCTCTGGTACTGTGAGAAATAAATTTCTGTTGTTTATAAGCTATCAAGTATATGGCATTTTGTTTATAGCAGCCTGAATAGACTAACATACACTATATACAAAAATCAACTAAAACTGGATTAATGACCTAAAAGTAAGAGCTGGGGAGGAGGATATGGAAGATGGCAAGAAGGAAAGTTGTATGGACCAGGCCAGGAAGGGGCACATATAACTCCAACTCACATTTCACTGGTTGTGGAAGTCAGCCATGTGGGTATCAGGAGACCATATGGTCACTGGGAAGCTGGGAAATGTGGTCCAGCTCTGTGCCCAGAATAAAGAGGAGATGATTTAGGTGAATAGATAGCCATCTCTGCTACAAGGAGGTTGCCATTGGTTATTCCTGTGGACCTCTACATTCTGAAATTCTGTCCTGTATTAGCTCTCCCTCATTAAGCCCTACAGTTACAAGAACTGAAAAGAAACAAGACAAATAACACTTCTTTTCCTTGGACATAAGAAAAATGTAAAGTTCAGCCAACAAAGTTAACTTCACAGCAATCTTGCTTGCAAAAAATATGCCCCGTGATCTTGTAACCTACCTGTGTATCAGCATGATCCTGGCCCGAGACCATGATGATCTCTCCTGATCTCTGGTCTGCCCTCATATGAGTGAAGGGATAAGCATGGTTCTCATACTTGATGTAGAGGCTAGTTGGATGAAGCTTTTGAAAATGAGTGAACACTACCTTATAGGAGGACAAACAAGCAAACAAGTAATGGCTCCAAATGAAACCAAATGTATGAATTAGATTCCATCAAAGATCCTCTGGAATGGACATCAGAAAGTTGGACGGTGCCCCATTGCAACCAGAGGATTCTCCCCTCAGTGGCAGGATCACAAGAATAAATTTGCTTGTCCATCTTAGTTAGAGTATCTTGAGGGCATCTGTTTTGTGAATTGATATATATTCTCAATTGAAAAAGAAGTAGTGTGCTCCAGCGGTGAGTTTGTAATCTAATTGTATGTAATGTGCTCTGTGGATATGATTACAGAGACTGATGGAAGAGCTAAAGGGAAACAGAATACAGGGGATGTTATAAATAAGGCACAATGCTGTTAATTTTTAAGAAACTGCTTTCTGCAATGTCTTGAGGGATCTTGCCTACTGGGGGAACCAGCCCCTGATATTTCAACGTAGGTTCTTTTCTATTTTCCCTAAGTGTTGGCTGGTCTGAGAAATAAAGGAAAAGAGTACAAAAGAGAGAAATTTTAAAGCTGGGTGTCCGGGGGAGACATCACATGTCAGCAGGTTCCATGATGCCCCCTGAGCCGCAAAACCAGCAAGTTTTTATTATGGATTTCAAAAGGGGAGGGGTGTACGAATAGGGTGTGGGTCAGAGAGATCACATGCTTCAAGGGCAATAAAATATCACAAGGCAAATGGGGGCAGAGCGAGATCACAGGACCAGGGCGAAATTAGAATTGCTGATGAAGTTTCATGTCCCACTGGACACGCATTATCATTGATAGCATCTTATCAGGAGACAGGGTTTGAGAGCAGACAACCGGTCTGACTAAAATTTACTAGGCAGGAATTTCCTAATCCTAATAGGCCTGGGGGCACTACAGGAGACCGGGGCTTATTTCATCCCTTATCGACATATAAGACAGACATTCCTAGAGCGGCCATTTTAGAGACCTCCCCCTAGGAAAGCATTCTCTTTCTCAGGGCTGTTCCTTGCTGAGAGAAAGAATTCAGTGATATTTCTCCTATTTGCTTTTGTAAGAAGAGAAATATGACTGTTCTGTCCAGCCCCTCAGGCAGTCAGGCCCCATGGTTATCTCCCTTGTTCCCTGAAAATCGCAGCCATCCTGTTCCTTTTGGATGCCCAGATTTCATATTGTTCAAACACACATGCTCTACAAACAATTTGTGCAGATAACGCAATCATCACAGGATCCTGAGGCGACATACATCCTCAATTTACGAAGATGATGGGATTAAGAGATTAAAGACAGGCATAGGAAATTATAAGAGTGTTGATTGGGGGAGTGATAAATGTCCATGAAATCTCCACAATTTATGTTCAGAGATTGTAGTAAAGACAGGTGTAAGAAATTATAAAAGTATTAATTTGGGTAACTAATAAATGTCCATGAAATCTTCACAATTTATGTTCTTCTGTCACAGCTTCAGCAGGTCCCTCCGTTCAGGGTTCCTGACTTCCCACAACACTTGCCCAGATAGGATAGGACTGAGCTTCTGTATTATTCCCCTCACTCTGCAGCATACGTGTGTTTAAAATTCCTGCCTTTGAGTTATGTGCTTAAGCTAAATGTTGCATTTTTTCACAAAACAATCACAGAAAGACTGTAAACTGGTGCTGGACAAAGTGTGATCTGCAGACTGGTGTTAGTCCACAAAGTATTTTTTACCAGCCCACAATCAGATAAGCACAGAAATGGAAGGTGTTTACAAACTCCTAAGGCAGTTTGATGCTGCTGCAGTATTTAAGCACACAATCAGTGGGCTTATCCTGTTAACCAAGGTAAACCAATTAGGGTAGTGCTCAATTTGTATGATGATCTGCATGAGATGCAAGCTCATTTTGGTCACACGTAGTATGCATTAGTTTGCACAATAACACAGACTGGGTAGCTTAAAGAACAAAAATCCAAGCAAGGTGCCAACAGGGTAGGTTCCATTCTGAGACCTTTTTTCCTAGCTTTTAGATGGCCACCATCTTGCTATATCCTAACATGACCAATTCTTTGTGTGTACTCAAAGAGAATGAGTATGTGAGCTCACTGGTATCTCTTCATGTAAGGATGATAGTCCTATCATATCATGGCCCCACCCTTATGACCCCTTTCAACTTTAATTACCTTCTTGTAGGCCCTGTCTCCAAATACAGCCACATTGGGGGTTACAGCTTTAACATGAATTTGTTGAGGGCAAGGGGGCATTCAGTCCATAGGACAGTAGGACCATAATGGACTGGGAATTTAAAAATTGGTCCTTCACCTCAGATAGTTCAAGCAGCACTGTAGGTATAATTAAGCTAAACACAACTGGATATTACTAATATAAAAACTAGAAAAAATTTGCTTTAGGTTACAAATGTTTGAATATTTATCAAATTCATATAATCTTGACATTCAATAAAATTGTTTTGTGTAAAACATTGAATGTTTACAAGAGATTAGATTATAAAAACTTGATTGGATACTGAAAAAAATGTACTGATTAGTTAATTCCTACAGAGGCCTGGGCTTAAGCTTGATGTAATTACAGCATGGTAGCTGTTCTTATAGCATAGCTCTCCTGCCTGTGCAGCCGACTCATAAATCTATGCATCTCCCTGCTGGCCCTGGCCTTCTGGCTTCCTGAAGACATGTCCCCATGGCCATTCCATAAATACCACTATCTCAGCCATTCAGAAGAAGGCATGTCACCTCCCTGGAGCCCTACCCCTGTGCTTCCTTCCTACTCTGTTTTATAATCTCAACAAATAGGAACATTATTTTCATGTTACTCACGTTGAAACTGTGGAACATTTTCAGCTGTGCTCTTTTCCTTTGGAGATCTCTTTTCTCTCCCACCTGCTTATTCTGCCTCCAGAATGCCTACTCCTTCAATCCCCACCATTCTAAGGTGCTATCAGCCTTGCACCAGGCCACTGCTGTCATGTCTTATTTGGAGTATTTCAGTAAGCACCTCACTACTATCCTTGACTTCAGTTTCTTTCTCTCCAGTCTAATATGTGTGAAGCACGGTTCTGACTATATCCCTTGCAAGCTGAAAAAGCCTTTGCTGGTTTCCTTTTCTTACAAAATAAAGTCCAGCCTCCTTAACAAGGGATTCAAGGTCCTCTGTAATCTCCTCTTATCTGTCTTTCGTCCCTAGTCTCCCTTCGCCCTACGCTTTCAACATGCATACTGTATTATAGGCATAGCTGTGTTTTACATTTTCCTGCTTTTGTGTCTTTGCCTGGAGTTTTCTTTGGCCTGGAATTTTCTCCCATCCAATTTCTGCTCTTCAGAGGATCCCTTGTTCTTCAAAGTCTAGTTCAGGCATCACCTTTCCCTCAGTTTTCCCTGGTCTCTCTGTTTAGCGTTAATGATTAATTAATATGCTCCCATAACATGTTGAAGTTTCATCCATTCCTTTACTGTGTATTCACTCTCCCCTAGTTGATCAGTTCTTTGAGAGCAGGATCCATGCTGTATTCAGAGTTGGCATTACCCCAGTCCCAGGTCACAGTACTGAGCACATGGTTGGTGCTCAATTGGGGTGTTGCTAATGTAAGGTCGTGATCTATATGTGAAATATCTCAGATCACGAAGAGAATGATAATGCCTCTCTACGTCGTTTTGAGAACCAGGAGAGCAGAAGAGGCAGTTTTGCATGTGCCCTTGATTCTGCTCAGAAGGCAGGAGTAGATTCCTTAAGTTTACTCTTCATTGTACTTCCTGAGGGAAGATAGTCAGGGTATATTCAGTAGTCAGAAGGAAACCTTGCCCCAGGCTGGGGTATTTACAGCTTATGGTTTTAGAAAAGGGGCAAGTTCTTAGCAATACGAAGCAAAGAAGTTATCTCGATTGTGTCCATTGATTCTAGGGCTAGATTATAGCTTCAGCTACAACTCATCAGCTGTGCTTTTATTTTCTCTATCACCAGTGATGTCACCTTTCCTATTCTTGATATTGGTAATTTGTATCTTTTCTTCTTACTCATCAATCTGGCTAGAAGTTTATTGTATTTCTCTAGGTTCTCCAGAAAAATAGAACCAATAGATTATATAAAATGAGATTTATTATAGGGAATTGGTTCATGCAGTTATGGAGGCCAAGCCCCAACTCAAGATCCACACTTGACAAGCTGGATACCCAGGAGAGACAATGGTGTCATTCCAGTCCTAGTCTGGAGACCCAAGAACCAGGAGAGCCCATGATGTGAGTGCTGGGCTACCCAAAGGCAGGAGAAGACAGGTAGAGAGAATTCTTTCTTACCCAGCCTTTTATTCTATTCAGGCCTTCAGTGGATTGGATGAGGCTCACCCACATTGAGGGAGGTTTTTGCTTTATTCAGTCTATGGATTCAAATACTAATTTCATCCAGCAACACCCTCATAGACACAGCCAGAAATAATGTTTAATCAATTATCCTGGCACCCATGGCTCAGTCAAGTTGACATGTAAAATTAACCATCACATTTATAGATCTTCTGAAAAATCAGTGAAACTTTGGACTTTATTGATTTTCTGTATTGTTTTACTATTTTCTATTTCTTTGCTTTCTGCTCTGTTCTTTATTGTTTCTTTTATTTGCTTTTGTTTTTCTAGTTCCTGAAGATGGAATTGAGATAAAATTTCCTGCTACATAGTGTTTTAGTGCATCCCACATATTCTGGCAAGTGTTTTCATTTTTACTCAGTGCAAAATACTTTTTCATTCTTCTTTTGATTTCTTCTTTGACCCATGTGTTATTTAGAAGTATGTTAGTTTCCAGATACTGGGATTTTCCAAATATCTTTTTGCTACTGATTTCTAATTTAATTACATTGTAGTCAGAGAAAACATTTTGTCTGATTTGAGTACTTTTAAATTTATTGAGACTTATTTAATGTCCCATAATATGGGCTATCTTGGCAAATGTTCCATGTGCATCTGAAAAGAATGGGTATTCTGGTATTGTTGGGTAGAATGTTCCATAAATGACAATTAGGTCAAGTTGGCTGATAGTTTTATTCAGGCTTTCTGTATCCTTACTGCTTTTTTTGTCTACTTTTTCTATTAATTTTTGAGAACAGTATTGAAATTTTCCGTTATAATTGTGGCTTTGTCTGTTTCTCCCTGCAGTTCTATCACTTTTTGCTTCTTTTTTTTGAAGCTCTGTCATTTGGTATATAATTGTTTCATCATCTTCATGGATTGACCTTTTTATGATATAATCTCTTTATCCCGGATGTAATATTCTTTGCTTTGAAATCTACTTTATCTAATACTAAGTCAGCTTTTTGTTGATTTGTGTTAGCACAATATGACTTTTTACATCCATAGGTTCATTTACTTTGAACCTATTTGTGTCTATATATTTCAAGTGTGTTTTCTTTTGGCAACATATCATTAGGTCTTGTATTTTTATCCAATCTGACAAGCTCAACCTTTTTAATTGGGGCGTTATGGCATTTATATTTAATCTGATTATTGATATGATTAAAGTGTATCATATTGCTATTTATGTGTTTGCTATTTTTTCTATTTTTGCTTGCAATTTTAATTTTGTTTGCAATTATTTATAATGTAATAAATTATATAAATTATAATATGCTATTTCTAATATAGCAAACAAAATAAAAATAGCAAGCAAAAATAGAAAAACAGCAAACATCTATGTTATAAATAATAGCAAACAAAATAATATTTAATATTAATATTAAATATTTAAAAATAGCAAATAATACGTAGGTATTTTTATTATTTATTTGCCTGATCTGTCATTTCTTCCCTTTTCTTCCTTCTTTTAAATCATAGAAGTGTGTGGCTGGGCACGGTGGCTCAATGCCTGTAATCCCAGCACTTTGGGAGGCCAAGGCAGGCGGATCACAAGGTCAGGAGATCAAGACCATCCTGGCTAACATGGTGAAACCCTGTCTCTGCTAAAAATACAAAAAATTAGCTGGGCGTGGTGGCAGGCGCCTGTAGTCCTAGCTACTCAGGAGGCTGAGGCAGGAGAATGGCGTGAACCCTTGGAGGTGGAGCTTGCAGTGAGTGGAGATCATGCCACTGCACTCCAGCCTGGGCGAGAGAGTGAGACTCCGTCTCAAAAGAAAAAAAAATTCATAGAAGTGTGTGTTTGTGTGTGAGTGAAATTCCATATTTTTCCTTTTTTGATGATTGGCAACAACTTTTTGTTTTGTTGTTTTAGTGGTTACTTTAGGGTTTATAGTATACATCTTTATTTTACAAAGTTTACCCTCAAGATATTATACCACTTCACATACAACATAGTATAAGAACCATACAATAGTTTACTTCCATTTTTCTCCTCCTTCGTAATCATTTCCCAGTACTGAGTCAAGACTCTTCCAAACACTCTCTCTGGTGACCCTGAGTTAGATTTTCTGGTCTGGCTGGTGGTGACAGACACTGTTCTCAGTCCTGTGTGAACAGAGCTCTGTTTCTTCCAACCTGGTCTGATGTTGCTTTCCCGGACCTCAGATAGTTTCCTCACATACGTGTGCTGGTAAGACCTCTACTGAAAACTTGAGGGAGATCACCTGCAGACCTCCTGAGCTATCTGTTGCTCTGCAGCTCTGTCTTCTTTTGTTTTCCTGCAAACAGCTGGTGCCATGTTGTCCCTGGATTCTCATCATGACTCAGAAAGTCTGCTGTGCTCATCCTGACGTTTTCTCCCTGCACTGTGGCCTGGAGACTTTGTCTAGGCAGTAAGTAGCAGCTGTAGGCTCACCCTGCTTCTTTTCCATCAGGAACCACAGTTCTTCACTGCCTGATGTCCAGTGTCTTGAAAGTGTTATTTTATAAAGTTTGTCTTGTTTTTTGGTTGTTGTTTCGGGTGGAAGGGTTACTTCATCTTGGTGGAAGTGGTCTGTTAGGATATTTCTAATAAGGATGTAAGAAGAATGAAAATAACATTTTTTTCAATTTCTATAATTAGTGACTTCATCTTTATAGTTGCTAAGGCCAGAAACTTTGGAGTCATCCTTGACTTATCTCTCTGCAACCTCTAGTCCAAGATTCTTGTTCACACCACTGCAAAACGTAATATATCCAGAATCTGACAACTCCTCATGACCTCTACTGCTAGCGTTGTGGCCCACTCACACTTTGGGCAAATTACTGAGTCTCTCTGTGCCTCAGGTCTTAATTTTGCAAAATAATGCCTAATAATAGTACCACGTCATAACATTGTTATGAAGCGTAAGTCATTATTTTAAAATAATGCACAGAATAGTGCACAGTGTGCATTAATTATATGAGTGTTTATTAAGTGACAAAGGCAGAGTTGGGATTCTCTCTCATGTCTGACTGGTCCCTGAGATATTGCTCTCTCATGTTACCTTGCTTTTCTTCTGTGCCTAGAGTTGTTCTCAGTGCTGGAAAATACAAAATGGTGAGAGAGTGGGCACCTTCCCAGAAGACACTTGCTAGTTGGGTGACAGGAGCTAAATATGATAGAATCATGCATTGACATAGTGAGAGATCATGGGCTGCATCTGGTACTTGTCCTGGTAAAAGTCCCCACATCCGGGGCTCCCACCCTTCTCCACACTCCCACCCCAGCTTACAGCCTGGGCTGTCCAAAAGCACAGTGGGGAGCTTGTGATTGCCTGATTGCCTGGGTTTAGATGACAAGACTCTGCTGCTTTAGAATTTGGCCCTTGTACCATGGACCTCATTGTCCTGTGTGTGCATTGCTCAGGAAAACACCTTGGAGCAAGGCAGTGCCCTGAGGGCTGCCTGGAGCCAGTGCTCTTGTTTTAATGTAGGTAAAAATCTACACTCTTACCCCACAGGCATGATTTCATCTCACAATAGAGAGCCCCTGTATGCTTTGTAAGTGGTTTCTGAATTCAAGCAAGCATTTTCTCTCTTGAGAGAAGCTTACAGGTCATGTTCTTGCCAGACTACAGACATGACTCTCTGATCCTCTTAGGTAGCAGGGCCAGTTCAGGCTGTATATCCTAAAACTAAAAGTGGGGTACTAAGGTGGGAGCTACAAGGAATGAAGGGCAATGACTAACAGACATAAGCAGAAAAACAAACGAATGGGCTCTGCTTGACTCTGTTTATCCACAGTCATGATTTACACGTGAAGAAAGATGCTTAAGTTTATTTTATAAAAGATTATTTTCAGTCAGAGATAGGGATGGGATGTTAGACGTTAATTTAATATGGAACAGTTTATGCAGACTCCACTCTAGGACTAAATAGAATTGGAAATGTCAGCCTAGAGCTAGGACATTGCTAAAACGTTTTTCTGAGATTTTGCAGATATTGTGAAGTCAATAAATACATTGATATATGGACTATATTTTGTGAATTTTAAAAAAATCTAATTTGTGTTACTAGAGCAGCAATAAAAAAGCTAAAACAACCATAATGTATAAATAAATTAGGTTGGAAATATAATAATACTTTTTATTTTGTGCATGTTGCAGTCCATTATTTTATTGGCATTATCTCTTTTTGCATTAATTGACTTAAAACGATCGTCTTTAAAAATGAAATCATAAAGAGCATGAAATTTTGAATGTTGCTTATAAAAATTCACTAATTGGACACATTAATCAAACTATACTATCTTGCTTTTTAACAATTTTAATTAAACTGTGAATTGGGATAAACGGGTAATTTTTGACACCTTGAGAACAGTATGATTATACTAAAACTAAATATGATTGTGTCCTACTATTTTAAAATATCGTTTTTTCAACTGTAGCTGGAGATATGAATAGCATACAGAATGTAAACCCTGGCTGACTCAGTAAGAGGACTGTTAGAGAGTGTCTATGTAAATTTGATGGGTTTAATTAAGCATCAGTTGAACCAAATGCATTTTTTGGCTGCCAAGCTCACTCACTTCTTTGTACACAGTGGTATATTCAGTTAGGTCTCAGGGATGTGGGAGAAGGGGCCATAATGTCTCCATGATTTTTTTAAAATTTAAATGTTTATTGAGATAATTGGAGATTCATATGCAGTTGTAAGAAATAATACACAGAGATTTTGTGTACCTGTTACCTAGTTTCCTGGATGGTGATATTTTGTAGAACTGTAGAGCTGTGTCACAACCAGTATATTTACAATGATACAATCCACTGATCTAATTCAGATTTCCCCAGTTTTACCTGTACTTGTGTGTGTGTATTTGTGTTTAGTTCTTTTTTTTTTTTTTTTGAGACAGAGTTTCACTATTATCTCCTAGGCTGGAGTGCAATGGCACAATCTCGGCTCACTGCAACTTCTGCCTCCTGGGTTCAAGCAATTCTCCTCCCTCAGCCTCCCCAGTAGGCAGGATTACAGGCATGCATCACCACGCCTGGCTAACTTTTTGTATTTTTAGTAGAGACGGGGTTTCACCATGTTGGCCAGGCTGGTCTCAAACTCCTGACCTCAGGTGATCCGCCTTGGCCTCCGACAGTGCTAGGATTACAGGCTTGAGCCACTGTGCCTGGCCTTGTGTTTAGTTCTATACAGTTTTGTCACATGTATAGGTTCATGTATCTACCACCACCATCAAAATACAGGACTGCTCCATTACCATGGGACCCCTCACCCACCCCAATTCCTTACCCCTGATGATCACCAAAATCTGTTCTCTGTCTCCAAAATTTTGTCTCTCAAAAATGTTATATAAATGTAATCATACAGTGTATAACCTTTTGGGGTTGACTTTTTCCTTCAGCACAGTTCCCTGGAGATTCATTCAATATATGTGTATACCAGTAGCTTATTCCTTTTTATTGCTGATTATTATCTATGGTATATATATACCACAATTTGTTTAAACATTCACCCACTGAAGGACATCTGGTCTGATTCCTGTTTTTGGCTATTACAAATAAAGTTGCTATGAACATTTTAGTACTGGTTTTTGTATTAACATAAGTTTTTCTTTCTCTGGGATTAATGTTCAAAGGTAACATTGCTGGGTTGAATGGTAATTGCATGTTGAGTTTTATAAGAAACTGCCAAACTGTTTTCCAGAGTGGTTTTACCATTTTATATTCCCACCAGCAATGTGTGAGTGATCTAGTTTCTCCATATCCTTGCCAGAATTTGGTGCTATCACTAATTTTTATTTTAGCCATTCTGATGGGTATGTAGTCATATTGCATTGTAGTTTTAATTTGTATTTTCCTGATGGCTAATGATGCTGAACAACTTTTCAAGTGCTTATTTGCCATTGCTGAATCCTCTTCAGTGAAATGTCTATGTTTTTGCCCATTTTATTTCTTTTTTTTTAAATTTAAGTTCTAGGGTACATGTGCACAACGTGCAGGTTTGTTACATACGTGTACATGTGCCATGTTGGTGTGCTGCACCCGTTAACTCATTATTTACATTAGGTATATCTCCTAATGCTATCCCTCTCCCCTCCCTCCACCCCACAACAGGCCCCGTTGTGTGATGTTCCCCACCCTGTGTCCAAGTGTTCTCATTGTTCAATTCCCATGTATGACTGAGAACATGCGGTGTTTGGTTTTCTGTCCTTGCAATAGTTTGCTCAGAATGATGGTTTCCAGCTTCATCCGTGTCCCTACAAAGGACATGAATTCATCCTTTTCTATGGCTGCATAGTATTCCATGATGTATATGTGCCACATTTTCTTTCTTCTTTTTTTCTTTGTAGATTTCTTTTTTTCTTTTCTTTTTTTTTTTTTTATTATACTTTAAGTTATAGGGTACATGTGCACAACGTGCAGGTTTGTTACATATGTATACATGTGCCATGTTGGTGTGCTACACCCATTAACTCGTCATTTACATTAGGTATATCTCCTAATGCTATCCCTCCCGCCTCCCCCTACCCCACAACAGGCCCCGGTGTGTGATGTTCCCCTTCCTGTGTCCAGGTGTTCTCATTGTTCAATTCCCACGTATGAGTGAGAACATGCGGTGTTTGGTTTTTTGTCCTTGCGATAGTTTGCTCAGAATGATGGTTCCCAGCTTCATCCATGTCCCCACAAAGGACATGAACTCATCATTTTTTATGGCTGCATAGTATTCCATGGTGTATATGTGCCACATTTTCTTAATCCAGTCTATCATTGATGGACATTTGGGTTGGTTCCAAGTCTTCGCTATTGTGAATAGTGCTGCAGTAAACATACATGTGCATGTGTCTTTATGGCAGCATGATTTATAATCCTTTGGGTATATGCCCAGTAATGGGATTGCTGGGTCAAATGGTATTTCTGGTTCTAGATCCTTGAGGAATCACCACACTGTCTTCCACAATGGCTGAAGTTTTTGCCCATTTTCTAATGATTTTTTTAGTTGTTGAGTTTTAAAAAATATTTCTGTATCCTAGGTAGTACTCCTTTGTTGGATATGTGGTTTGCAACTATTTTTTCCCAGTCTGTAGCTTCACATAAGCTTTGAAAAGTTTTTAATTTTGATGAGGTCTCTTCATGACTTTTTAATGTTTGGTCTTTTTTGAAAAATAGGGAGAAGTACCTTCAATAGAATTAGAGCATTTTTCTGTTTTAATTATTTTTATTCTTTTTTTATTCTCTACCTTCTTCCCCTTGACTTTTACTCCCTCTTCAGCAACATAAACTTTTTCTTGATTGTGAAAAATATTGTAAAGTATTAAAATTATACTTTATTTCAGTGTTCTTAATGTTCTTTAATAAGGAACATCACATTTTTCTCTTGCCTTTTACAAACACCTAGAACATTTCCTTTTTGTTTGATGACATTTTTTGCAAGTATTTGTTGGCAATTGTTTATGCTCTTCAACAGTTACATGCTAACTATACAATCTCCCCCTTTTTCTTCAAAACCAGACCCGTGTGCAGATGGCATTTCATTTTTATCACAGTTAATAGTGACAGAACGGCCCCCTAGAACCCACAGAGAAAATCCCTGAGCTTGTATATTTATTTTCTCCAGTTATGAGAAGAAAAGGCTACCCTCATCCATCAGGATTTAGATATGCCTTTCCTGAGTGTCCCTGGTCACTGGGCCTACCAGTGACTCTCCTGCAGTCCAGCCACCATCAGAGGTTTGCTGTGTTTCCTTTTTTTTTTGTCCCTTGTAAAGGGGTCAGTCCTAGCTATGAGGGCATCCAGGCAGTGCTGACTGGTCTGCTTCTAAACTTCCAGGGACCAGCAGCACCAGGGGTTGTGGGAGGGATGCCTTGCACACTTGACCCAGCTGCATGTTGAAGTGTCCAGTTGAAGAAGCAGCCCTGGGTGAGGATTGTGCCCCAGCTTCCCACATGGCCTGGACCTGTGGTAGGTCCCTGAGCCTCGCTGAACACTTCTTATTCCCTCCTGTAAAGAAGGGGAAGGGGAAGAATACAACCCACCCTGTCTCCTACGAAGGACAGTCCAGAAAATTTCTCACATCCCTCTGTTTGTGGTATCTGACTCTAGTGAAAGAAGGTACCCAGTGACTTTCCTTGCTGTATGGATACAGAGAGAAATGTACTTATCAACTCTTGGGTAGATAAAAAGATAATGATACCAAACCTGCTAACAAAAAGCACCTTTTTCTTATGAAACTGACAGGACTTCTAGAATCTTCCAATAAGTAGGAATTAGAACTCATTCAGTTAATTCAATAAAGATATATTAGCACCTACTTGATGCGAGACACTTTTCTTCGCAGTGAGGATACAGCAGTGAACAAAAGGAAGGAAAACCTCTGTACTCGTGGAGTGTATTTTAGGGGGGAAGATAGATGATAATGAGATGAAATGTATAGTATGTTAATCAGTAATAACCACTCAGGAGAAAAATAAGGTGAGGAAGGGAGATAGGAAGTACCACGGTGGGGGTGGTGGTATAGTTTTAAGGAAGTTGGTCTGAGAAAATGTCCTAGGGAGAATGATTTCTGGGTTAAGACCTGGAGTGAGTGATGGGAAAGCCATGCAGATACCTAGTGGAGGAAGAGCAGTGCAGGCAGAAGGCACAGCACCCTAAAGGCCCAGGGGTGGGCCTGGGCTATTAAGGAACAGCAAAGAAACTCGTGGCTGGATCACAGGGAGTGATGGGAGTTTGAGTCCATAAATATGATGCAGAGGATCACACAGGGATTTTTAGGTCATTTGGCTTAACTCTGGGTGGCATGGGAGCTGCCGGAGGGCTCTGAGTAGAGGAATGGATAGTCAGAGTCTGACTTATGTGTTAATGGGGCCTCTGGATACTCTGTTGACTGTAAAATGCACAGGATATGAGCAAAGGCAGAGAGACCAGGTAGGAAGTCATGGCAATGGCTTAGGACAGAGACGGTGTCTTGGACCAGGGCAGGAAATGTGGAGGTAGCCAAAGTGGTTGGGTTGTGCATAGATTTTCAATGCAAAATAAAGGATTTGATAATACGTTGGAGGTGAGGGGTAACAAAAGAGAGGCATCACAGATGACCCTCAGGTTTGGCCTGAGCAACTTCACAAATGGAATTGTCATTTCTGAGACAAGGATGACGTTATGAATGATTTGTGTCAAATAAGTCCTAGATAATACTGTAAGAGCATTATATCTTTATTTTAAAGGTGAGGATTAACACACATAGAGTAAAATGCATTAAAGTGTACTTATTCCAAATTATAGCTTTGCAGGAACACTATATCTTAAACATATTTTATTCATCATCGGAATTTGGGGGAAATATTTTTTGTTTGTTTCTTTAATAATTTACATCTTAAATCCTTTATCATTTTTAGCTGTTCCGAGAAACAAGGCACATGTCTCTCTGCTACAGATTGAAACATAAAAATAATTTCTTCCACAAGTATCTTTTAGCCCTATTATACATACTCATAATATCCTGGCCCTATAGGGAGAATAAAGTATAATCTTTGCCCTTAGGGACCATATTATTTAGTTGAACATAAATAAATGATGTGAAAACTGCAGAATAATAACAAATTCAAACCCACTGGCTGACAGTTTTTCATTTCTTGACTTCGTGAATGTGTATGTCACCTCCTCCTCTGGAATATCTATCACAAAATGACAGTGTTTTGGTTCTGTGATCTGAAAGATGACTTACTGGAAAGAGCACGTGAAGAAAATGTGTTATATCATTCCTGATGAGTAAGGAAGCCAACTGAGGTTTTGAAGCATGCCTCACATAAAGGGCTTTGATGGGGTATAATTGTGGGTTTCACTGGTACCTGAGTAAACCCATGTAGATGATGACATCTCATGAAAAACACATGCTTCTTAGTCGATTTACTAGTGAAATAGTGTTGGGGGAATCCAGCCTATAGACAGTCCTCATGCTCAGCAGAAAAATGTTCTGACAATTAAAACAATTTTAATTTGAATCTTATTTTCTCATAGAAAAAGTGATGTGACAGAAAATGTTTATTCTAACTGGGGATCTGATGCCCAACATTTTATAGAAATTACCATAAACATTGTACTTAATTACATTTATTTTCAAGTGTAAGTGGCATGCTATTTAGTATAGAACTTAGATAGTATTTAAAAACTCGATGGCATTTTATTTATGCTAACACTATCTCATACTATACCAGAAGCTGCTTTTGTTTTCATGCATTCTACTTAAATTTTAGTAAAGCAAATCAGAGCAACTCTCATGGCACTTAATAGAATTCAAAAGAACTTTGTTCAGATTTTTACCATCTTCTTTGAAAGAAACTTTGGACTGGTTGATACATTTTTTAGAAACGGATTCAAGAATAATTTTCTTTCTGCTGGGCACAGTGGCTCACACCTGTAATCCCAACAGTTTGGGAGGCAGAGGTGGGAGGATTACGAGGTCAGGAGTTCAAGACCAGCCTGGCTAACATGTTGAAACCCTGTCTCTACTAAAAATACAAAAATTAGCCAAGCATGGTGGCATGTGCCTGTAATCCAGCTACTAAGGAGGCTGAGGCAGGAGAATCCCTTGAACCCAGGAGGCAGAGGTTGCAGTGAGCCGAGATCATGCCACTGTACCTCAGCCTGGGTGACAGAGTGAGACTCTGTCTCAAAAAAAAAATAAATAAATAATTATTTCTGTCATTTCTCTGATATTTTGTTGAAAAGGCTTTTTCCTCTAAACTACATAAACTAATCTGTTTTTTTTATGAACAGTAACTCTCTTAGCAATGGCAGAAAACTATGCCATTATAGATAGCTACAGTTGCAATCAGCTAGGTACCAATTACATTGCCCATCTGTTTCGTAATTGTTATTTACATTTCTTAGCAGAGATATTTCATGCTTTTCCTTTGCCTTTGATTTATTTGCACTGGTTTTTTTTCACCTGTAGATCACACTTTAGATCCCCAACGCTTTATTTTTATCTATCTATCTATCTATCTATCTATCTATCTATCTATCTATCTACCTACCTACCTACCTACCTATCTACTTATTTTTTGAGGCGGAGTTTTACTTGTCGCCTGGGCTGGAGTGCAGTGGTGCAATCTCAGCTCACTGCAACCTCCGCTTCCTGGGTTCAAGTGATTCTCCTGCCTCAGCATCCCGAGTAGCTGGGATTACAGGTGTCCGCCACCGTGCCGGCTAATTTTTGCATTTTTAGTAGAGACAGGGTTTCACCATGTTGGCTAGGCTCGTCTTGAACTCCTGGCCTCAGGTGATCCACCGCCTTGGCCTCAGCCTCCCAAAATGCTAGGATTATAGGTGTGAGCCACCACACCCAGCCAATCCCCAACACTTTATATAACAAGGTGTTATATAACAAGACTGAAAGCTTCAGTGCAAATGGCAGCCTTATTCAGATTTGCTATACTGTGAAAAAAAAAATCCTCTCTCAGCCTTCAAATCATAAAAATCACCTGATTAGAATGCAGTTTTTAATAGGATAAATGACTGTGAAGTGATGAGACCTCTCTTTGTATGATAGCACTGAGAAATTCAAACAAATCTTAACGGTCAGAGCAGCCAAGGCAGCCTATAAACTTAGGCTGGGCTTGGCCTGAAACCTGTTTGAAACTATTTTATTTGGTTTCTTCAGAGATGTTTTCATAGCCACATGAGTAAATTCGTTTTTTATGTTATGGTGATAGGACAAAGAGAACGATATTAGTCAAAGGGGGAGTGAGCTGTCTTCCTTGTCATATGGCTTAGCTCTGCCCCCTTCTCTTCATTCATGGCTGCTTAAGCTTCTGATGGATCCTGAAGGGAGTAGATAAACTTGCCTTGTGGCTTTGGAGCCATCACATTTGATCTATGGGCCTACTCCCCTCTCCTCATCTATTGGGATGAATGTTAGTAGTGATCTACTTGTGAGACTTGGGTTTCCCAATAAGAAAATAATTAGGTGATCTCTCTCCCCACCCATCACCAAGAAATCAAAATAAATTAGAATCTTCCTTTCAGTATCTGAGAGTATTTAAAGGTGTTTTAAACCACTAGAGGGAGCCCATATTGTTCTGATTTCTGAAACCTGTAATGTTTAACAGCTTGATTTTATTGCCTATAGAAAAGGATCTCTCTAACCAATGACTGGATCACTACATCCATAACTGTAGTGTTCTCCCTTAGTTTGCATTTTTTCTTTTTTCCCAGTTTTTTTATTGTGGTAAAATATACATAATACAAAATTTACTGTCTTGACCATTTTAAGTGTACAATTCAGTGGTATTAAATACATTTATAATGTGCAACCACAGTAATCATCCACCTCTATAATTCTTTTCATCTTGTAAAACAGAAACTCTATACCCATTAAACAATAACTCCCTATTATCCCCTCCACCTAGCTCCTGGAAACAGCCCTTCTACTTTCTGTCTTTATGATTTTGACTATACTAGGTATCTGATATAAGTGGAGTCATATAGTACTTGTCTTTTTGTGACTGGCCTATTTCCCATAATGTCCTCAGGGTTTATCCATGCTGTAGCATGTCAGAATTCCCTTAGTTTTTAAGGCTGAATAATATTCCATTGCACGTACATACTGCATTTTGCTTATCCATTCATCTGTTGGTGAACACTTGTGATGCATCCACTTTTTAGCTGTTGCTTTACTTCATTTGTGTTGTTATAAAAGGAATACCTGAGGCTGGGTAACTTGTTTTTAAAAGAGGTTTATTTGGCTCATGGTTCTGCAGGCTGTACAAGAAGTGTGACACAAGCATCTCCATCTGGTGAGGGCCTCTGGCTGTTTCCACTTGTGGTGCAAGGTGAAGGGGAGCTGGTGTGTAGAGATCACATGGTGAGAGAGGAAGCAGGAGAAGCGGGGAGGTGCCAGGCTCTTTCTGACAACCAGCTCTGGCAGGAACTAATAGAGCGAGAAGTCACTCATTACAGCAAGGATGGCACCAAACCTTTCATGAGGAATCTGCCCCCATGACCCAAACACTGTCCACTAGGCACCATCTCCAATATCAGGGATCAGATTTCAACATGAGGTTTGGGGGAACAAATATACAAACTATAGCAGCTATTGTGAATAATGTTTTATAAACATAGGTATACATGTATCTCTTCAAGATGCTGGTTTCAGTTCTTTTAGATATATACCCAGAAGTGGAATTACTGGATCATATGGTAATTCTATTTTTAATTATTTGAGGAATTTCCATACTGTTTTGCATAGTGGTTGTACCATTTTACATTTCCACCAGCAATGCACAAGGATTCCAATTTCTCCGTATTCTCACCAACACTTGTTATTTTCTGGTTTTGTTTGTTTATAGTAGCCATCCTATGGGTGTGAGGTAAGGAGAAAAGTGGAAAATCACCAAACGGAGACCATCGTTGATACTGGTGTTCTTGTACTCTGTGGCTTAGAATAGGATGTGGGTGAAGTAATTGGAGACAGATCATTTTGATAGCTCCTTGGCTGGGGTCTGTGGCTATCCTCCTCCCCTTCTCCATAATACTCACTGTCATCTTCCACCACATTTCTTTCCACCAATCCCTGGACAGATTTAGTTCCATTCAGCAGAATATCAGTCATGTGTGGACATTATTATGCTGGGCTGTGTGGCAAAGTAGAAAGTGAATAATGAGCTGTCTTTCTTGTCAGGGTAACAATCTTAGTCTTCATTGCATCCAGGTAATGTGTTTTGGCCTCTTTCAACCTCTCTTCCCTTTGCTTTCCTCTGCCTCTCTACTAAGAAGCTTTGACCTCATGATTTCTCAGACCCCCTTCACTGCTTCAGATTCTCTAGATTTTTCATTTTGTGTTTTATTGTCTTTTTAAAGTATTGGGAATTTATAAGATTTTACACTTCCTGCTATAGTTTGGATGTTTGTCCCTCCAAACCTCATGTTGAAATATGATCTGTAATGTTGTGGTGCCTAATGGGCAGTGTTTGGGTCATGCGGGCAGATCCCTCATGAATGGCTTGGTGCCATCCTTGTGCTAACGAATGATTTCCCACTCTGTTAGTTCCTGCTGGAGCTGGTTGTTAAAGAGCCTGGTACCTCCCCTCCCTTTGCTTCCTCTCTTGCCATGTGACTGCATAGCTGGCTCCCCTTCACCTTCCATCATGAGTGGAAGCAGCCTGAGGCTCCCACCAGATGGAGATGCTGGTGCCATGCTTCTTGTACAGCCTGAAAAATCATGAGACAAATAAACCTCTTTTCTTTATAGATTACCCAGCCTCAGGTATTTCTTCATAGCTATACTAATGGACGATGGCATCTTCTGTTTCAGAATACAACTAATTTCTTCACTGAGAGATTTGAGTTGATTCAACTGTACGTACAGCGCCCTCCCCAGCCCTCTTACATACCTGTGTTATAAGATGGTCTGCCTTCCGTTTTTGTTGTTGTTGTTGTTGATCACCATTCTAGGTTGAGCTATAGGAAGTCATGTAGATGTCAAAGCTTATGGAGTCTTTCTAAACCTTCTAAGATTATGCCAACCCAATTCAGAGTATATACACTGATAAAGTAAGATATTTATTAGGATAATTTCTGTAATGGTTGTGTTTGTGCACTAAAGTGTCACTCAGGGTTGAAAAGGCAAATCGTGATTTCAGTCAATTACATTCAAGACTGGTTTTACTTTTAATACCTGCAGAGTTATAGCTTAGGACAGAAGCTTAAGAGATCATACCACCACATTTCACTGAGCCTAAGGTTAACTTCTCCCACATTTTAGTACCTCTGAAATTGAATGTATTTTACAGTGGATATCAGGGAGCTGCCATCGTCAACATGTGGACAAATTTGAATGTCAACACTGGGCCATTTCTGGTAGTGTGATTTGGCAACAGCAACTCCTCATGGTTTCAGTCAGTATAGAAAATGAATTCTGGGTGGGGCTATAAACCTTTCATTGACCCCTTTTGATAAGATCAGAAAAAGCACCAGCATGGAAGCTTGCAAATGGATGCCAGCTGCTTGGAAGGAAATCCTGGATAGAGTGGTGAAGCACTGTTTTAAGGACTGCTGCATCACCCACACTGCTGAGGCCACATAAGAGGATTTTGTATTGGAAAATTTGTGCATTGTCAACTCTGAGATAAAACTTGATTTAGAAGTCTTGGACTCTGAATGTTTAAAAGATCTAGTAGTACATGGGGCTGGGCGCAGTGGCTCACGCCTCTAATCCCAGCACTTTGGGAGGCCGGGCAGGTGGATCACCTGTGGTCAGGAGTTCAAGAGCAGCCCGGCCAACATGACGAAACCCTGTCTCTACTAAAAATACCAAAAACAAAAAACAAAAAAACAGCTAGGTGTGGTGGCATGCACCTGTAGTCCCAGCTACTCAGGAGGCTGAGACAGGAGAATCGCTTGAACCCAGGAGGCGGAGGTTGCAGTGAGCCGAGGTCACGCCACTGCACTCCAGCATGGGCGATAGAGTGAGTGAG
The DNA here is from genome assembly GCF_000001405.40 of Homo sapiens. Classification (NCBI taxonomy): domain Eukaryota; kingdom Metazoa; phylum Chordata; class Mammalia; order Primates; family Hominidae; genus Homo; species Homo sapiens. Next base: position 43,499,855 of record NC_000003.12, on the reverse strand, counting down.
ACTCTGTCTCAAAAAAAAAAAAAAATCTAGTAGTACATTAACAAGCCTATATTTTGCTTATATTTTGTAGGTAGCACAGGAGTGATTATTAAAAAAAAATCTATCTAAAGAAGTTTTAAAAAGAGCCCTTCAAATTAGAATTCTAGGTAATAAGAACACTTTCTTTAATTATTTAATTGGCAGTATTTTTTTTTCTTGGTGGTATATGGGAGAATGGTGTGTCTTACGGTGTCTTACAGTTTTTGGTATCCTAGATTGTTGAAAGAATAATAGTGGGAAGTGTGGTTTGCCTGCATTTCTGAACTTCCTCTCTAGCACCCAGTTTTTGTACTGCTGCTGATCCTGGCTTCTGTGCCTTGCAAATGCCCTCTTCCCCTGCTCAATGCTCCTCCTGTCAGCCTACTTCCTATACTTCCTTTGATGCTCAATCTAAGACAGACTTCCTCTGCCAAACCCTCCCTAGTAAATACTTCCCCATCTAGAGCATTCAGTGTACTTCTATGGAGGTATATCATTTGAACTATACACTTGACTGTACATGGCTGTGGAAATGTTTTATATTTGTTTCATGACTGGGTTCCTCAACTGTAAAAGATTGTAAACTCTTTGTGATAGGGTCTCTGTACCCTATCACAAGTATCGTTTGATAAATACTTGCCGAGTTTATTTTCACTCTGCATTTGCCTGTGCCATTGTTAGAAATTTGAAGACACGTGAAAAACAAGGACAAACAGGGACAAACTGCCCCTCTCTCTAGTGGTTTCTCTACATGAGCCCTGGAACTGTGGTGGAGAAGGCTCAATGTAATCCCCAGGTTTTGGTGTGATTTTTAGCTTCTTCCTCAGTACTCACCACCACCTCAGGTAGTCGGGTCTGGGGACTTACCCCCAGTGCCCAAGCACCACAGCCTCAAGACTGTCGCATTGCAGAACCATTTGACAATGAACGATCATATATGTGTGTTTACCTTATATGCATATAGCAAGGATTAAATTATTTTATAGCACTGAGTACAAGAAATGTTATATCTTATTTTTCTGATTTTTATTCCCCTCTTACCCTACCTGCTGAAAAGGACAGTCCCATTCATATTTTGACTGCTCTTTGCTTCTCCCTGGGGATGCGCAAGAATAAGAGGGAGGATTATATTTTTTGAAAAACAAAGGACAGCATCAGTAAATCTCAGCTATAGTAAGCTGCATAGTCCAGACTACAAAGTAGAGGGAAGGGAATGGCTGGGTTTCCTCTGTGCTAAGCTTTGGACTTGGGATCTTTTAGGCAGGCTTTGAAAGCCACGGGAGGTGGTGTTTATTCCCTACTCTTCCCTCCATATGCCATCCCATCAGAGTTTCTGTTACTTTCTAGGACATGCTGGGGGCAGGTCTCTCCTATTGACACAATTGGTAGGTAACACTGCCATCAGGGATTGTCCTCCCAGGTTAGGTCACATCTGCCCTACTACACAGTTCTTCCCTCAATCAGCTGGATTTTGCAGGGGTGGAGGGCAGTTGGCTTGCCCGCTGAGTACCACCCATCTTCTGGGGAGGCATTAGAAATATCCAAGGTCAGAACAGCCAGTGGCTTCCCAAGAAGTGGGCAGGAAAACTCCCACTGTCTCCTTGCTGTACCTGCCAACAGCCAGTCAGTGGCCAAACCAAGCATCAAGTCTTATCCTGCTGCACATACACACTTTGTAGTGCAGAACAAGGCTTCAGTGATTCATACTTTTTAAAGAAATACATGAACAGAAAATTTGATGCTACTTACATCCTTTTAAAATAATTACCAGATTAATGCTTGATTCACAGCTGAGAATTTATTCTGATAGGAACACAGTATATGAGTCATTCCATATAAGAAGTACAGAGATGATGCAACAAAATTACAATTAAGCATCACCATTAAGATACATGCATGAGTTCCACTCTCAGGTCTTTTAAGTCCATGTTTAGAGTAGCTCAATTTGTACTGGCTTTTCCTTTCATATATCACAGCAAAAACAGTATCAAAAATATTGTATTTGAGGTGAATTAATAGAAATACAGAATAAAAATCTTTATTTCATAGAAATATGTAAATATATATCACAGAAATATACAAATCCCCCTCCATGCTGCTTCCCTCCCCCATGCAAACCACAGGCATAGGAAGGTTCTGTAGGAGGGCAGAGGGCATCTGGGAGGTGGTAGGGGCCCCTCCCTTCCCTCACTCCAGGGACTTAGGCTCCTCAGGATGTCTGTCTTAGGAACAGCTTCCCAAAGATTCAGTAGGGTGGATTCATTAACTAGCCTTAGATCCACCCTGCTGAGGGAACACAAGCCTGAAAGAGAGTTCCTTTCTCTACTTTTCTGGGACTGGAGTTTTCTGCAATCAGGAAAAACAGAGCAGAAAGTGTGTGCTGCTTGCCAGAGGTTGAAACTCTGAAGACAGTTCTCCCAAAGAAAGAGGAGGCAAAAGAAACATGTAAGGAGACAGGGTTATGTGACTAGGGGATACTTTTCTTTGTTTTGTAAACTATTAAAGTTTTCTATCTTTTCTCCTTAATTACAAAAGCATTACTCGCTTATTACAACCAGATAAAGATTATAGAGATTTCCTTCTGTGCACACGCTGACTTTTGTATGCTAGGTAAGTTTGCATGTGCCTCCTGTGGAGTAAGGAAGTAGGAATTACTCACACATTTACCCTCCAGTAGGTTTATTGTCTGCACTTAATTCAAAATCACAAAAATCTTTCGAAATGTGACAGAATAAGAAAAAGTGCTCACATATGTACTCTTCATCCCATCTACCAAAGAAAATTCTGCAATTGCTAACCCAGTCCCATCCCCTATCCCCATACTGCCAAGTAGGGTTGTTCTTTGTCTTTAAGGATGCAGTATATGAATATAGGAAATTCCATAGCTGGGGGAGGACATGGCCTAAATCACTGTGCATCATCAGGAACAGGAAGGAGCTTACATCACTGTACATCTTGAGGAACCAGGAAGGAGAAAGGGAGAAGAGAACAAAAATCAGAGGAGGATTTGAATTTTGGTTTGGACTTGGTTTAGTTGGGTGCTGTGGTTCAGGGGTGGGGGACAAAGGATAAGCTTCAGAGTGGTGAAGTGTGGAGAAAACTGGTGGGAAGAAAGGGGGAGACATGGTAAGTACCATGCAAAAAGTAAATAAAGAATAGAATAACCAGCTTGGGCAACATGACGAAACCTTGTCTCTGCCCCTGCTCCCCCACCCCCAAAAAATATATATATGTAAATTAGCAGGGTATTGTGGTGTGCCCCTGTAGTGCCAAGTAGTCGGGAGGCTGAGGTAGGAGGATTGCTTGAGCTTGGAAGATGGAGGTTGCAGAGAGCCAAGATCGTGCCACTGTGCTCAAGCCTGGGTGACAGAGCAAGAACCCGCCTCAAAAAAAAGAATAGAATTGTTCTTAAATTAGGTTTTGGTTTCTGATCTGTGCTTCTGAAATTTGACACTCCTTAGGAATAGACCACTAGGGTACCATGTTTGTCATGGCTACAATGGGGTTGCATATGTCAATATATACAGGTAAATAAATATATACCTTGCTCTTTGTAATGGCTACAGAATATTCCACATGGTCCAGCTTTTCTCCTGTCAGTAGGCATTCTGATTGTTTTCCGATATTTTGAGTTACCACCAGTGTAACTTTTCTATACACATACCCTTTTTCAATAGAGTATATATTCCTGAAAGCAGGATTGCTGGATCAAAGAGTAGGCACTACTTTTAATAGGTACAGTGAGATCATTTTCCCAAAAGTGTCCTGGTAACTTATTTATGAGAGCTCCATTTTCATATACCTTACTGTCTACTTGCTCTTAAAAATATTTTTCCTGGCCAGACGTGGTGGCTCATGCCTGTAATCCCAGCACTTTGGGAGGCCAAGGTGGTCAGATCATGAGGTCAGGAGATCGAGACCATCCTGGCTAACATGGTGAAACCCCGTCTCTACTAAAAATACAAAAAAAGTTAGCTAGGTGTGGTGGCAGGCACCTGTAGTCCCAGCTACTCGGGAGGCTGAGGCAGGAGAATGGTGTGAACCCAGGAGCAGAGGTTGCAGTGAGCCGAGATTGCGCCACTGCTCTCCAGCCTGGGGGACAGAGTGAGACTCCATCTCAAAAAAAAAAAATTTTTTTTTCACAAATTGGATAGGCAAAATGTTGTCTGAGGTGGCATTAGGTTCAATTTCCTGACCAGCATTGAGAAAGAATACTTTCTTATTATGTTCAATGGCCACTTGCCATGCCTCATCTGTGAAGCTGCCTACACATGACTTAAGCTCATTTTTCTTTTGAGTGTGGTTTATCTTCTTCTTGTGAATTTGCAGGAATTTTGTATTTTAAGTATATTAACTCTTTGGTCACATGTTACAAATATTTTCTTCTATCTGTTGTTTAGTATTTTTTGTCTCTGGCATATATCACATACATACTTTTTTCCATTTTTTATATAACCCAAGTGTATATTTTTCTTTGTTTCTCCTGGTGTCTTGTCTTGCTTAAGACTTCCAAATAATCCTCAAAATTTCTTGGTGGAGTTTTGAATTTTGTTTGCTATGTGTCTTATTTACATTTAGATGTTGAATTAATTTTGAAATTATTTTTGTTTTTTTAAAATTATTTTTGTTTTGAAGTAGGAGTCCAACTTCATATTTTCCAAAGAAATAGTCATTTATATCATTTATTAAACCGTCTTTTCCAGTAACCTAAAGTCCTACTTTTATCACGTTATTTTGAGATTCTCTTCTATTTCACTGACCTTTTTGTCTGTTTTTGAGCCAATCCATATTGTTTTGATTATAGTTGTTATAGTAAGTTTTAGTATTTGATAGGGCAAAATTTTTCCTAAAAATTTTCCTACTACAATTTTTCTCTAGAAATTTGTTGATAATTCTTTTATTTTTTTTATATAAACTTTAAAATTACTTAGTTCAGCTTCAACAAAATTCATTAGGCCCTGATTGAAATTGTGTTACATTTGTATATGAATTTTGGAAGGAATAACACTTTTGTGATGAGTTTGTCCTCCTAAAAACGTATTCACTGTCTCTGTCAATGACTTATTACATATCCTTCAATAAAATTTTTTAGTTCTTTCACATAAGCTCTGTACTTTCCTTGTTTTTCGTTGGTAATTCATTGCATTTATTTCTCTTGTAAATAGTATTTTTCTAATCAATCTTCATTTTTAACTAGTTCTTACTGCTATAAAGAAGAGCTTTTGAAAAATATGTCCCATAACTACTAAGCACTCTTATTAGTTATAATTGGTTGTTAGTTTTTCTTGGGTTCATACTCATAGCTGCAAATGAGGATAATGTTTTCTTTTTTCTGCTAATACTCATACTATTTATTTATTTATTCATTCTATTTTTTATTTTTTGAGATGGAGTTTCGCTCTTGTTGCCCAGGCTAGAGTGCAATGGCGCAATCTCAGCTCACTGCAACCTCCGCCTCCTGGGTTCAAGCAATTCTCCTGCCTCAGCCGCCTGAGTAGCTGGGATTACAGGCGTCTGCCACCATGCCCAGCCAATGTTGTATTTGTAGTACAGACGGGGTTTCACCATGTTGGCCAGGCTGGTCCCGAACCCCTGACTTCAGGTGATCCGCCTGCCTCAGCCTCCCAAAGTGCTGAGATTACAGGCGTGAGCCACCACGTCTGGCCACTTATACTAATTATTTTATGTTTGCTCTTATTGCATTAGCTAGGGCCTCAAAAACAATATTGAAAACATCTCTGTCTTAGTCTTTACTTGAATAGTGATAGCCTTATTATTTCACCATGTAATAAATTGTTTGCAGGCTGGGAGTGGTGGCTTATGCCTGTAATGCCAGCACTTTGGGAGGTAGAAGTGGGAGGATTGCTTAATGCCAGGAGTTCAAGACTAGCCTAGACAACAAAGCAAGACCCCATCTCTGTGAAAAAATGGAAAATTAGCCTAGTGTGGTGGTATGTGCCTGTAGTACTAGCTACTCAGGAGATTGAGGCAGGAGGATCACCTGAATCCAGGATTTGGAGATTACAGTGAGCTGTGATCATGCTACTGCACTCCAGCCTGGGTGACAGAATGAGACTTGTGTCTTAAGTTGTTTGCTGTGGGTTTGTAATAAATGATTTTTATTTAAGTATATTTTTCTACTTTTATTTTAGATCATTTTCTGTTTGTTTATCTTAATTGGGAATAACTATTGTATAGCAAGTGCTTTTTTAACCTTTATGTTTTTTTAACCTTAAATTATTTTTTATTGTGTTTCTTACCTCATTCAAGAGCTAATGGTCCTTTTTTGTGGAAATGTGGTAGCCTGTTTAGTTGCCATTATTTTAAATACTTTCAATAAATAAATGGCATATTAAATAAATTGTCTGATGTCCTGAAGAACAGGCATTATCAACTGTTTGAAGCATCAATTTTTTTTTTTTAAATTATACTTTAAGTTCTGGGTTACATGTGCAGAACATGCACTTTTGTTACGTAGGTATAAATGTGCCATGGTGCTATCAACCTGTCACCTACATTAGGTGTTTCTCCTAATGGTTTCCCTCCCCTAGCCCCCCATGCCCCACAGGCTCTGGTGTGTGATGTCGCCCTCCCTGTGTCCATGTGTTCTCATTGTTCAACTCCCACTTATGAGTGAGAACACACGGTGTTTGGTTTTCTGATCTTGTGATAGTTTACTGAGAACGATGGCTTCCTTTCCCTGCAAAGGACATGAACTCATCCTTTTTTATGGCTGCATAGTATTCCATGGTGTATATGTGCCACATTTTCTTCATCCAGTCTATCATTGATGGACATTTGGGTTGGTTCCAAGTCTTTGCTATTGTGAATAGTGCCGTAATAAACATACATGTGCATGTGTCTTTATAGTACAATGATTTGTAATCCTTTGGGCATATGCCCAGTAATGGGATGGCTGGGTCAAATGGTATTTCTAGTTCTAGATCCTTGAGGAATCGCCACACTGTCTTCCACAATGGTTGAACTAATTTACACTCCCACCGACAGTGTAAAAGTGTACTTATTTTTCCACAGGCTGTCCAGCATCTGTTGTTTCATGACTTTTTAATGACCACCATTCTAACTGGCATGAGATAGTATCTCATTGTGGTTTTGATTTGCATTTCTCTAATGACCAGTGATGATTAGCATTTTTTCATATGTCTGTTCACCGCATAAATGTCTTTTTTTGAGAAGTGTCTGTTCATATCCTTTGCCCATTTTTTGATGGGGTTGTTTGCCTTTTTCTTGTAAATTTAAGTTCTTTGTAGATTCTGGATATTAGCCCTTTGTCAGATGGAAAGATTGCAAAAATATTCTCCCATTCTGTAGGTTGCGTGTTGACTCTGATGATAGTTTATTTTGCTGTGCAGAAGCTCTTTAGTTTAATTAGATCCCATTTGTCAATTTTGGCTTTTGTTGCCACTGCTTTTGGTGTTATACACATGAAGTCTTTGCCCATGCCTATGTCCTGAATGGTATTGGACAGGTTTTCTTCTAGGATTTTTCTGGTCCTAGGTCTTACGTTTAAGTCTTTGATCCATCTTGAGTTGATTTTTGTATAAGGTGTAAGGAAGGGGTCCAGTTTCAGTTTTCTTCATATGGCTAGCCAGTTTTCCCAACACCATTTATTAAACAGGGAATCTTTTCTCCACTGCTTGTGTGTGTCAGGTTTGTCAAAGATCAGATGGTGGTAGATGTGTGGTGTTATTTCTGAGGCCTCTGGTTTTTTCTGAGGTGTTCTGGTTTTTGGAATTTTCAGCCTTTCTGCTCGGTTTCTCCCCATCTTTGTGGTTTTATCTACCTTTGGTCTTTGAGGTTGGTGACCTCAGTTGGAAATGCAGAAATCACTCATCTTCTGCTTTGATCTCTCTGGGAGCTGTAGACCGGAGCTGTTCCTATTTGGCCATCTTCCAACCTTTATGTTTTAATTTATGGTTATCTTTTCACTTAAAAACGTAATAAATTATGTTGATAGTGTTGCTAATTTTAAGCTATCTCTGCATTCCTGAAATAAACCATGTTATATTATTATATTATATCATATTCTGTATATTTTTCTGTTAATTTGTTACTGGTGGTGAATCCATATGGGTTTGCAGCAACTTCAGTTCTTGCCTCTTCAGAAGGATTTGACCAAGGGGTAAGGCAGAAGGAGAGACCGAGGCAAGTTTTAGAGCAGGAGTTAAAGTTTACTAAAAAGCTTTAGAGTGGGAATGAAAGGAAGTACAGTACACTTGGTGGAAGAGGTCCAAGCAGGTGACTTGTGAGATGGAGTGTGCAGTTTGACCTTTGACTTAAGGGTTGTTTGTTGTTTTTTCTTGGAGATGGAGTTTTACTCTATCCCCCAGGCTGGAGTGCAATGGCGCAATCTTGGCTCACTGCAGCCCCCACCTCCCTGGTTCAAGCGATTCTCGTGCCGCAGCCTCCTTAGTAGCTGGGATTACAGGTGCCTGCCACTACGCCTGGCTAATTTTTGCATTTTTAGTAGAGATGGGGTTTCGCCATGTTGGCCAGGCTGGTCTCGAACTTCTGACCTCAAGTCATCTGCCTGCCTCAGCCTCCCAAAGTGCTGGGATTACAGGCATGAGGCCACTGTGTCTGGCCTGACTTAGGGTTTTGTATGTTGGCATACTTCCAGGGTCTTGGATTCCTTCTGATTCTTCGCTTGAGGTGAGATGTCCACATGCACAGCAGCCTACTAGTGCTTGGGAGATGAGCATGCACAGTGTGTTTACTGGAGTTGTACGCATGCTCACTTGAGGTCCTTACCAGTCAAATGTCCCTGGAAGGTCATATGCCATTTAAACCCCGCCCCCCTGCCATTCTGCCTCTTAATATGCATGCCTGAGCCCACTTGTCCAACTCCTGAGATCTTATCGGGAAGCTGCTGCTCACCAGTTTCAGGTGTTCTCTATCTATTAGGAGACTGCCTTTCCCTGGCACCGGCTGTGGCCAATTATTATTTTAGAAAGAGAGTCAGCAACCGCCTGACCATCACCTGATGGTCACCTGACATTCCAGGTGTGTGTGTGGGGGTGGTGCTGGGAGCACCCTTCTGCCCTCCTCATGCCTGACTAACTACCTACTGTAACAAATTCACTTCTGGGTTCTATTTGCCGGTACTTGATTTAGAATCTTTGCATCAATATTTGTAAGTGAAATTGGTTTCTGTTTTTCTTTGTCATACTTTGGTATTAAGTGTGTTCCGGCTTTTTAGAATGAATTAGGAGGAGCCTTCCATCTTTTTCTATGGTCTAGACCAGTTTGAGTACATAGCAAGTATCTGTTCTGTGATGATGCCTACTGCTCTATATTAATAAGGCTGTGGAGTATTACTGAGTTTTTAATCTTCACTATTATGATCTTAAAATATGACCTTGTTTTAAAAGGAGTCCTCTAAAATACTTTTCTTCCCCCTCTTCCAAGTTGCCAGGTTTTTGGTTATCTCATTGTTTTGCTTTTTATTTCACTTGTGTTTAGATAAAAAGTTTTTAAATTTCACATTTTTAGGCTGGAAACTTATTGCAACAGGAGGGAATATTTAGAGAGGAGAGGAACACACACACCATGCAAGACTTTTGTTGTGGCGTAGTTGGAGATCTGAGAAGGGGAAGGAAACTGGATTTATCAGAAAGAGGGAGGCCAGGGCTAAATGTCAAAGCCTGGCTGTAGCCCTGTCTCCTATAAGCTGAGTGACTTTACGTAAGCCTTCTCTGACTTCAGGCTGTTTTTCCATCATCCATGTATCACGTTGAGAACGGCCTGATGTAATTGCTGTGAGGATCAGAAGAAATAATATTCAAGGACTTCTGAACCCTTAAGGCATTATTTTGATGCAAAGGATACTGTTACAGGCTTATTCTTTTCCAGTGATTCGTTATAACAGAATACTTCTTCAGTGAAAGGAGATTTTTATTTGTAAATGTTTAGATAGTTGTTGATTTTTGTAAGATAGTTTTTTTTTTCTTAAATCAGGGCCTCTAATGGTCATGAGATAAAAAACAGGTTTTAAATTTTACCCCTTGTTTTTTTCACCAGGCAAAGAGACTGTTTTGTAGCAAACTAGTCTTCTAGCTCAAAGAAAAGAAAAGAGAAATATTTTTTTCTGCCATGCACTTTCAATACCAGTTAATTGAACTATATGTTCTGAGCACCTGAAATGAAATTATTGACGAATTCATTCTGTCTAACTGTGTAATCTCCTAGTCTTATTGTGAAAACTTGCTGCATCCTCTTGTGCCCCTTGTGTCTTCCTTCACTGGTCACCCTAAGGGCCAAGGGAGAGCTTTCCCCTTGGCCCTCTAAAGGTTCACTGAAAAATCAACTTGCAAAAGGCAGATTAATAGGAGAAAAGGCGGATTTATTTAACGTGTACATGGGAACTTTCAGAATGAAGATCCAACCCCTCAGTAAGGTACAGAAGCTTATATACCACCTTAAGGTTATAAAAATAATGCAGGCTCAGAGAGTGGCCAAAAACAGATTTTTTTTTAATTTTTATTTTTTATTATACTATTATACTTTAAGTTTTAGGGTACATGTGCACATTGTGCAGGTTAGTTACATATGTATACATGTGCCATGCTGGTGCACTGCACCCACTAACTCCTCATCTAGCATTAGGTATATCTCCCAATGCTATCCCTCCCCCCTCCCCCCACCCCACAACAGTCCCCAGAGTGTGATATTCCCCTTCCTGTGTCCAGGTGATCTCATTGTTCAATTCCCACCTATGCGTGAGAATATGCGGTGTTTGGTTTTTTGTTCTTGTGATAGTTTACTGAGAATGATGTTTTCCAATTTCATCCATGTCCCTACAAAGGACATGAACTCATCATTTTTTATGGCTGCATAGTATTCCATGGTGTATATGTGCCACATTTTCTTAATCCAGTCTATCATTGTTGGACATTTGGCTTGGTTCCAAGTCTTTGCTATTGTGAATAATGCCACAATAAACATATGTGTGCATGTGTCTTTATAGGAGCATGATTTATAGTCCTTTGGGTATATACCCAGTAATGGGATGGCTGGGTCAAATGGTATTTCCAGTTCTAGATCCCTGAGGAATCGCCACACCAACTTCCACAATGGTTGAACTAGTTTACAGTCCCACCAACAGTGTAAAAGTGTTCCTATTTCTCCACATCCTCTCCAGCACCTGTTGTTTCCTGACTTTTTAATGATTGCCATTCTAACTGGTGTGAGATGGTATCTCATTGTGGTTTTGATTTGCATTTCTCTGATGGCCAGTGATGATGAGCATTTTTTCATGTGTCTTTTGGCTGCATAAATGTCTTCTTTTGAGAAGTATCTGTTCATGTCCTTCGCCCACTTTTTGATGGGGTTGTTTGTTTTTTTCTTGTAAATTTGTTTGAGTTCATTGTAGATTCTGGATATTAGCCCTTTGTCAGATGAGTAGGTTGCGAAAATTTTCTCCCATTTTGTAGGTTGCCTGTTCACTCTGATGGTAGGTTCTTTTGCTGTGCAGAAGCTCTTTAGTTTAATTAGATCCCATTTGTCAATTTTGTCTTTTGTTGCCATTGCTTTTGGTGTTTTAGACATGAAGTCCTTGCCCATGCCTATGTCCTGAATGGTAATGCCTAGGTTTTCTTCTAGGGTTTTTATGGTTTTAGGTCTAACGTTTGAGTCTTTAATCCATCTTGAATTGATTTTTGTATAAGGTGTAAGGAAGGGATCCAGTTTCAGCTTTCTACATATGGCTAGCCAGTTTTCCCAGCACCATTTATTAAATAGGGAATCCTTTCCCCATTGCTTGTTTTTGTCAGGTTTTTCAAAGATCAGATAGTTGTAGATACGCGGCGTTATTTGTGAGGGCTCTGTTCTGTTCCATTGATCTATATCTCTGTTTTGGTACCAGTACCATGCTGTTTTGGTTACTGTAGCCTTGTAGTATAGTTTGAAGTCAGGTAGTGTGATGCCTCCAGCTTTGTTCTTTTGGCTTAGGATTGACTTGGCGATGCGGGCTCTTTTTTGGTTCCATATGAACTTTTGAACTGAAGGAAATAGAGACACAAGAGACACAAAAAACCCTTCGAAAAATTAATGAATCCAGGAGCTGGTTTTTTGAAAGGATCAACAAAATTGATAGACCACTAGCAAGACTAATAAAGAAAAAAAGAGAGAAGAATCTAATAGATGCAATAAAAAATGATAAAGGGGATATCACCACCGATCCCACAGAAATACAAACTACCCTCAGAGAATACTACAAACACCTCTACGCAAATAAACTAGAAAATCTAGAAGAAATGGATAAATTCCTCGACACATACACTCTCCCAAGACTAAACCAGGAAGAAGTTGAATCTCTGAATAGACCAATAACAGGAGCTGAAATTGTGGCAATAATCAATAGCTTACCAACCAAAAAGAGTCCAGGACCAGATGGATTCACAGCTGAATTCTACCAGAAGTACAAGGAGGAACTGGTACCATTCCTTCTGAAACTATTCCAATCAATAGAAAAAGAGGGAATCCTCCCTAACTCATTTTATGAGGCCAGCATCATTCTGATACCAAAGTCAGGCAGGGACACAACCAAAAAAGAGAATTTTAGACCAATATCCTTGATGAACATTGATGCAAAAATCCTCAATAAAATACTGGCAAAACGAATCCAGCAGCACATCAAAAAGCTTATCCACCGTGATCAAGTGGGCTTCATCCCTGGGATGCAAGGCTGGTTCAATATACGCAAATCAATAAATGTAATCCAGCATATAAACAGAGCCAAAGACAAAAACCACATGATTATCTCAATAGATGCAGAAAAAGCCTTTGACAAAATTCAACAACCCTTCATGCTAAAAACTCTCAATAAATTAGGTATTGATGGGACGTATTTCAAAATAATAAGAGCTATCTATGACAAACCCACAGCCAATATCATACTGAATGGGCAAAAACTGGAAGCATTCCCTTTGAAAACTGGCACAAGACAGGGATGCCCTCTCTCACCACTCCTATTCAACATAGTGTTGGAAGTTCTGGCCAGGGCCATTAGGCAGGAGAAGGAAATAAAGGGTATTCAATTAGTAAAAGAGGAAGTCACATTGTCCCTGTTTGCAGACGACATGATTGTATATCTAGAAAACCCCATTGTCTCAGCCCAAAATCTCCTTAAGCTGATAAGCAACTTCAGCAAAGTCTCAGGATACAAAATCAATGTACAAAAATCACAAGCATTCTTATACACCAACAACAGACAGAGAGCCAAATCAGGAGTGAACTCCCATTCACAATTGCTTCAAAGAGAATAAAATACCTAGGAATCCAACTTACAAGGGATGTGAAGGACTTCTTCAAGGAGAACTACAAACCACTGCTCAAGGAAATAAAAGAGGATACAAACAAATGGAAGAACATTCCATGCTCATGGGTAGGAAGAATCAATATTGTGAAAATGGCCATACTGCCCAAGGTAATTTACAGATTCAATGCCATCCCCATCAAGCTACCAATGCCTTTCTTCACAGAATTGGAAAAAACTACTTTAAAGTTCATATGGAACCAAAAACAGATTTTAATGGCAAGACAGGTTATAGGGGAGAGAATAAAGGAGGCTTGACTAGCAAAAGTGGCCTTGTTATGTACATGAAGCCTCATAGCTAGAGGCCCTCAGAGAGAATAGATAGTAAACGTGTCTTTTCAGACTTGTAAAGGTGTCAGACTCAATCTCTCCCAGATCTGTGAAAGGCCTAGAAAGGGAAGCCCTGGCTGCATTAATGGAGATTCTCTACAGATGCAAATTTGCCCAACAAGAGACAGCTTTGCAAGGCCACTTCTGTCTGCTGGCCCTGTGGCAGCCATTTCAAAATGTGTCAAGGAAATATACTTTGGGGTAAAATATTTTTATTTTCTTCAAGTGCAATTAACTGTAAAGACATAAACTGTACCTTTTGCGGGTGGCGGTGAGCGCGGAGAGGACGCCATGAAGGTCTTGGGCACACTACGAGAGTACAAGGTGGTGGGTCGCTGCCTGCACACCCCGGAATGCCACACACTGCCCCACTACCACATGCAAATCTTTGCGCCTAATCATTTGTCAACAGGTCCCACTTCTGGTACTTCGTATCTCAGTTAAAGACAAAGAAGGCTTCAGGGGAGATTGTCTACTGTGGGCAGGTGTTTGAGAAGCCCCCACTGCGGGTGAAGAACTTCGACAGCTGGCTGCGCTAATGTTACTGGGGGTCCTTGCTCCCAGAGCTCCCAAGATGGTGGCGGGCTGCTTCCAAGATGGTGGCAAGCCTTGTCTTCTCTGACCTGGGGTTCTTGGCCTCACGGATTCCAAGGAATGCAATCTTGGGCCATGCGGTGAGTGTTATAGCTCTATTAGAAGTCGTGGGTCACGGAAGAGAACCTTGGAACCCAGTGACTAGTGTTGAGCTGGATTAGGACAAACCCGTGCAGGAACAATGGCAAGTCTTTAGCCCGATCAGGAGCGGCAATGGGCGCCTCCCTGGATGGGGAGCACAGCGGACACCCTGTCGGATCCGGAGGTATGGAAGTCAGCAGCGGGTCTGCGACGGTGGCAAAGGGCGGCAAACAGCAGCTAGTCCTGCCTCTCACTATGACTCCCGGAGCTGCACCTACAACATGTACCGGCAATACCGGTACCTGACCACCGCAGGCGCTGTCACCCAGTGCTACCGCGCCAGGGCCCACTCCATCCAGATCACTCCACCAGATGAAGGTGGAGGTGATCGCAGCCAGCAAGTGCCGCCGGCCGGCTGTCAAGCAGTTCCACGACTCCAAGATCAAGTTCCTGCTGCCCCACCGGGTCCTGAGCCGTCAGCACAAGCCACGCCTCACCACCAAGAGGCCCAACACCTTCTTCTAGGTGCAGGGCCCTTGCCTGGGTGGGCCCCAAATAAACTCAGGAACGCCCCGGTGAAAAAAAAAAGACATAAACTGTAAATGCTTAGACAATTGGTCATGCCTGTTGGCGGAGAACACAGCCCCGCCTCCATGATGTAAACCAAAAATAAAATCCTAAGTCCCCCCACCAACTGAATGGACCCTCTCTTGGCCAAGAAGACCTCAGAGAAACCTGAAAAACTGTGTTCTTGGCCATGATGGGAAGAGAGGTTAGACATACCTCGTTATACCCCCTCCCTTTTGGAGTTTAGGCACAACTGACTAGCACTAACATTGAAATAGAGATTATTAGACTGATAAAATAGACTTTGTTGCCACAAAGAGTGGCACATAAGATAGCAAATTCCAAACTGATTCTGGTGTAGCATCACATGACAGCAGACCCTGAAGGCGATAGAAATATTTTACCCCAAAAATATATTTCTTTGACATATTTTGAAATTACCCTGCAAAACTGTCTCTTGTGGGGGGAATTTGCATCTGTAGAGATATCTCCATTAATGTGGCCAAGCCTTCCCTTTCTAGGTCTTTCTGGGATCTAGAGGAGATTAAATGAGTTTGTCACCTTTAAGATCTGAAAAGAGACATTTACCATCTATGTTCTCTGAAAGCTGCTACCTGGAGGCTTCATCTGCATAACAAGAACCTTGGTCTGGCTGGGCCTCTGTAGCTCACACCCATAATCCCAGCACTTTAGGAGGCTGAGTGGGCTGTAGCTCACACCTGTAATCCCAGCACTTTGGGAGGCTGAGGTGGGCAGATCGCTTGAGCCCAGGAGATTGAGACCAGCCTGGGCAACATGGTGAAACCCCATCTCTACAAACAAACAAAAAACCCAGGCATAGTGGTGTGTGCCTGCAGCCCTAGCTACTCGGGAGGCTGAGGTGGGAGGATCATTGAGTCTGGGAGGTTGAGGCTGCAGTGAGTTGTGATTGCACCACTGCACTCCAGCCTGGGCAATAGAATGAGACCCTGTATCAAATAATAATAGTAAAGAGCCTTGGTGTCCACAGCCCTCCTTAACTTAACTCAGGCATTTCTTTTGTCTTTAAACAAAGCTTAATTCTTTCAACCAATTGCTAATCAGAAAATGTTGGAATCCACCTATGACCTGTAAGCCCCTGTTTCAAGGTATCCTACCTCTTTAGGATGAACCAATGTACACCTTCCATGTATTGATTTACGTTTTTGCTTGTAACTTCTGTCTCCCTAAAATGTATAAAACCAAACTAACCCAACCACCTCAAGCACACCGTTTCAGGACATCTTGAAACTGAACACTGGGCCATGGTCACTCATATTGGCTCAGGATAAACCTCTTGAGATATTTTACAGAGTTTTGTTTTTCTGTTAACATTTATCAATCATGTGGGTAGTGTTGACTTACGAATCTTTTGAGCAATGTGAGGTGCTGAGGCAATTGATTTTAGTCTTTTGTGTCTATTGCATGGTTAGGAACCAGACCAAGTGTTACGTGTTACCCCAGAGGCATGGACATGAACTGTTACTTTTGAGTCTATTTCTAGCAGCTTGGCTCCTCTGATGAGATACCATTTTACAATGCAAATGGAAAGAACAAAAAACACACCACCTGAAGACAAAAATTGTAAGGTCACCAAAACTCTATAAAAATGTCCCATTACTAAACTTATGAGTAAAAGGTTTAAGGGCTGGAAGCAGATCTTTTTTACTCTTGCTAGAGTTACGCAGGAAGTCATTATTTCCACAGGAAATAAACAAAGACATTTTCTTAAAAACGAATGATCATCTTGTTGAATTCCTGCCTTGTGGCATTTGATGCTGACCATCCATCCATGTCCCAGAGCACAGGAAGCTTATAGCATAAAATCATTAGTTAGAGAAGATATCATTAATTCTTAAACATGACCAAAAATTGAATCTTTTAAGAGACAAATTTAATAAACATTCTCTTTCTTTACGATCCATGGCCTTTTTCATGGATTGCCTACCCATTATGAGTTTCTCCTGGAGATTGGCCCTCCTCCCTCAGCTGACTGCAAGGGTACAGCTTTGCTCCTGGTGGGGACTGTGTCCCCATCCCTGCCCTGTACCCTGCCCTGTACCCTGCCCAGTGGTGAGCACATGAGCACCCAGCCTAGGCTCCACCCTGCAACCCATCCTTGCAAGGTTTGAAATTGCCTCAAAGAGTAGTCTGTTTTGGTCTGGCTGCTCTCCCAGATTGAAGGGATGTGAGATTAGGAGCTATTGGCCAAGGCCTTTTTGGTCACACAGTCTGGGACTCAGAGAGAGCCCCTCAGAAGCTAGAGAGAAGTAGAAGTAGGAACTCAGCAGAGAAGAGGCTTCAGGGTCATGCCTGGCCATCTTTGACTATTGGAAGGTTAGTGTGTTTACCTGGGTATGGTGTTTTGGGGGGCATAACTGTGTTGGGAGCAGTTCCTAAGGGCAGAGTTGTTCACAGTTCACATAGCAGGTGTCACACTGGGGAGCAGGTGGCATATTAGATGATTGTTCAGGCACTTCCAATCCTGAGATCCCATGGTTCTCTAAAGGCATGTCAATGAAAAGAGTCAAACTCTGTGAAGTATTTGAAGAGACTTATTCTGAGCCAAATATGAGTGACCAATGGCTCATGACACAGCCCCAGGAGATCCTGAGAACATGTGCCCAAGGTAGTTGGGCTACAGCTTGGTTTTATACATTATAGGGAGACATAAGACATCAATTGGCTGGGGGCGGTGGCTCACACCTATAATCCCAGCACTTTGGGAGGCCAAGGCAGGCGGATCACGAGGTCAGGAGATCAAGACCATCCTGGCTAACACGGCGAAACCCTGTCTCTACTGAAAATACAAAAAATTAGCTGGGGGTGGTGGCACGCACCTGTAGTCCCAGCTACTCGGGAGGCTGAGGCAGGAGAATTACTTAAACCCAGGAGGCGAAGGTTGCAGTGAGCTGAGATCACACCACTGCACTCCAGCCTGGGTGACAAGAGCAAGACTCTGTCTCAAAAAAAAAAAAAAAAAAGAAAAAAAAAGAAAAAAGACATCAATCAATACATACAAGATGTACACTGGTTTAGTCCAAAAGGTTCTCTGAGGTTCAGGCACTGTGGACTGTCATTTTAGTGTGATTTGGAAAGCCTCTGGCTTCCAGGTCATAGGTGGATTAAAAGATTTTCTGACTGGCAATTGGTTGAAAGAGTTATTATCTAAAAACATGAAAATCAGTAGAAGGGACTGTCTGGGTTAAGATTAAGTGATTGTTGAGACCAGGGTTTTATCATGCAGATGAAGCCTCCAGATAGTGGGCTTCAGAAATAATAGATTGTAAATGTTTCCTATCATTTCTGTCAGTCTTAAGGTCTCTGTTTTGATGTTAATGCTGGTCAGCTGGGCCTGAATTCCAAAGGGAGGAGGGTATAATGAGGCATGTTCAACCCCCCATGTCCCATCATGGCCTGAACTAGTTTTTCAGGTTAGCTTTGGAATGCCCTTGGCTGAGTGAAGGACCCTCAGTCAGATGGGGAGCTTAGAATTTTATTTTTGGTTTATAGGCACAAATTGAGTATCAGTCTTAGTACCTGGCATAATTTAAAAACTACATTTTACTCATTTTTTTCACTTACAGTTGACCAAGCAAATTCAGCTTTTTTATCTAATCATATTTTGTTTTTATAAAAGTAATTCATATAAATAATTTTAAAGGTCAAATATTCCTTTAAGAGTAATAACAAAAGAATGGGTCTCTGCCCTTTCCCAATTTCCTAGAGTATATGACTCAAATTTTTAGCCCTTTTTCTGCTGTTTACCTCTATATTTCTAAATACTATGTCTTTCAGTTTTATTGACTCTCTACTATAAAATATGAATGTTTTTATGTTCCATCTTGCCAGTGTAATTTCACATCACAACTTTTGGTTAAATCAGTGATTGTATTGTTATACAATTAGTATATTGTATTATTATACAATTATTATACAATAATACAATGTAGTGGTTGTATTATTATGCACATTGTATTTGTAGATAAGTACGTAGTGTGCCATGATTATGTTTCCTTAAGCATAATTGAGTTGAAAACGGCCTTGTTTTTTCTTTGTTTGGTTTCTGTGTACCTATCATTGATTCTTTCCTAAACATAGTGTGCTTAAACACACCAGACAGCCTCTCAGTGTGTTGTGTTGTTTTCCTTGGAGAGGGTATTTCTGGAACTGTGGTGTTCCCTTCCCATTTGGGCAGTTCACCTCCAGACTGGCTGCAGGGTTTCTGTCCTCACTTCCCAACTTCTTGGGAATTCACTTGGCTTCTCGTTTACCACCCCTTTCTTGTAACCCCCTCCTTTATCTTGGCAGGTTCATGAGAGATAGTTTGGAATCTTGCATATCTGCAGACATCTTTATGCCCATCTGCCCTCCAAATTTGGAAGACATTACCCATTGCCTCTAACATTGCTGTTGAGAGCCTAATGCCAGCCTGACCCCTGATCCTTTACACGGGGTCTGTTCATTCTCTCTGGAAGCTTTCACAGTCTTCTCTTTATCCCTGGTGTCTGACATTTCACAATGATATGCCTTTGTGGTCTCCTCGATCAGAGGGACTTAACACTTGCAGACACCTGTTCTTCAGTTCTGTGAAATCCTTGAATTATTTCTTTGAGAATTATCTTTTCTCCATGTTCTATCTTTATTTCTGGCCCTCTGTTGCATTTTCTGGACTTACCATTTGTTGTATGTTTTCCCCCTATTTTTGTGTCTCCTTGTTTGTTTGGGTTCTTCTGTCTATTTTGAGATTTTCTCAACTGTATTTCCCAATTCTTCTATTGAATGTCAGCAATCATAAGTTTAGTATCCAAGAGCTCTTTTTTATTCTCTGAATGTTCCCACCTCCTTTTAGAAAATAGCATTCTGTACTTTATTTCATGAATGCAGTATTATCCCTCTGTACTTTTCTTCTGATCTCTGCTTTGTCTCTGTTTCCTCCTAATTCCTCTTTTAGTGGAAAGGCGTTTTCATTATTGTGTTACTGCCCCTGGTGCTGCCTGTAGTTCAGTCTCACTTGATAGGAAGTCTTGTGTCTTCCACTGGATGAGAGAGGGGATGGGACTTTGAAGGATAGAGAGGGGTCAAGGAGTGTCTTCTGCCCTTCTGCAGCCGTTCTGAGGTCCTAGGCTCTATCTCCTGGGGTTCTCCAAGGCCCAGGCACTGTGGGCTATCATTTTATGGTGATTCAGAAGGAGGGGAGAGCAGACGTAAGTTCATCTGTTTAATCCAGAAGTCTCCCAGGTCTCCAGGTCCCAGTATTACACTTTGACTTTAACCATTTGGTAATTAACTTTTCTCCTACTTAGTCTATCCACTTAGA
This sequence comes from Homo sapiens, assembly GCF_000001405.40. Taxonomy (NCBI): domain Eukaryota; kingdom Metazoa; phylum Chordata; class Mammalia; order Primates; family Hominidae; genus Homo; species Homo sapiens. Next base: position 43,479,591 of record NC_000003.12, on the reverse strand, counting down.
AATGTCTGCAGCCTTCAACTTTCCTTTTTCCCTCCCTCCTTTCCTTCCTTTCAAAAAGCTCTCTTCAGGGCAGATGTACCAATCACATTTCATTAGAGGTCTTTACTTCTCTGGTTCTTTTTTATTGTTGAGTACTGTGAATTTGGTAATTTTTCATAGATTATTGAACTTTAGATTGACCAACTTCTGAATTAATAAATATATCAAAGTTTAATATTTATTTTTTATTTCTAACTTCACCTACTTGAAAAAGAAAGCAACAACAATGTTTAAAATGTAAATAGGATAATTAGGTATAGAAACTTTCAGAGAACATCTGGGATAACAGGGACTGTGTGTTTTTACCACATGAGACATGATACAGCTTTTATACAATTAGGCCTTAATGCTTGCTCTTATATTTTCATGTTAGCACGAGTGAAAAGGAAAAGGTAGTGCCTCTTTTCTGTTATTAAACAAAAGGATCAGGGAACCTTGATTAACACAATAATCTATGCACGAGTGAAAAGGAAAAGGTAGTGCCTCTTTTCTGTTATTAAACAAAAGGATCAGGGAACCTTGATTAACACAATAATCTATGTCCTCAAGGATAGTTTTAGAAAACCATTCAGATGGTTCACTATAGTTTCTAAAGTGCCCTAACTTGTGGAGGCATTTCTGTAGGGGGCTATAATATTATAAAACAGGTACTTGGGTTTGCTTTTAGATGCTCTAACCTTAAAATGGAGACAATTTGGAAGTCTAAGGATATATCAGACTTTTTAAAAACTATTTGACTTCTCAAGCTTTTGCCAAATGTTTGATCACAGTCAATTTATTATTGAATTATCTGCTACATATGTATGGTGTGAATAATCTGTGTTTGAAAATGAGAAAAATTGTACTGTGTCAAATATGAATACTACATAGGAGTGAGAGCTAAGCATTAATGTAAATTAATTACTTGTGCCAAAGACTTCTCCCCACTAGGAGGACAGCCTGTGTTAGCACAAGCATAAACCATCAGAGTAGACAGAGCCACTATTTTTCTGATTGTGATGATGTTGGAATTTCTCACTCACACATAGTCACTACAGTGAAATGAAAAAAGCATGGGTCCTGGAGTCAGACAGCTAAGATCCTGGCTTCAGATCTCACTAGCTAGGGGAAGTTACTTTCCAGACCTTAATTTCTTAATCTATAAAATGGGTGGTTAAAGTCCCTACTTTAAAGGGTTTGTTAGGATTGGGCTTTTCATTTATAAAACACATAGCACAGTGGTGAGGTCATAATAGATGGCTGCTGTTTTTTAGGTTGCTGATTTCAGAATTATCATTTTGCATAGAAGAGGCAACTTTGACAAGGACATTTTAAGGCATCTGTTCTGACTAACCCCAACTTCCATCTCCAGAACCTCACTCCATGTGGCTTGTATAGACAGCTCACTAACTCTGTGACCTTGGCCAGGATACGTAACCTCTCTGATCCTCAGTTTCCTTATCTGTCAAATGGGAATAAATGTAGTTTCTGCCTCATAGGGCTGTTGTGAGCATTAAATGAGTAAATATATGAAAAGCACTTAGAATAGGGCCTGGCACAAGGTAAGCATTGTGGTAAAGTGTGAACTGAAAAAACAGAGACTACTTCCTTAGAGATGGGCCATTGGGAAATCACTTCTCAACATTCCTCCCTCACTCCCTATGTGTGCCTCTGGTGTGCAGGTTGGCGGGCCCCTGCCAAAGTCAAAGAGGTCTGTCCAATTGTAAGTGATAATGGCTCTTTTTTCTGCCCGTAATGAGCAACAGGCACCTTCTATGTTAAGATTATGCCTTGCCCAAACAGGAAGGCCACGTCACCTTCGCGTCTTCCTGTGTGCTATTGTGTGTGAACACACCCAAGGTCGACTGACAGTATAGGGGATGTTAGAACATTTAAGATGAGGGGTAATTTGTCATCAGGCTATTCCCTCCTGCTCTGAGCTTACCACAAGTACAGTATTATGGTCCAGGATCCAAGGAAGCATTACGAGTTTTAGATCTGTGCTCAGATTGTTCCGTTTGATTTGCAAATGACTTTTATGCAATGACATTTTGATTTAGCACTTAAAATATAACACGTCAGCTGTTATTAACAATTATCTTAATAAAATGAAATGGAAGGTAATAGATGGAGTACGTCTTGCTTCATTTTCTGTCCATACCACTTAGGACAGTCCCTAGCATATGGTAGATGCTCAGTAAATGTTTGTTTGAGTAAGTAATTTATAAATTATTTTCATATTCATTAATAAAAAGGGAGAGGTGGTACATCTTTTTTGTGCATCTGCCTAAGTTTTATCCACTACAATACCTTTGATATTATTCTAGCTTTTCTTAACAGTTACAATAATACTGTATCTTCTCAACATCATATCATCTCAATATGCTGATCAGTTTTAATTTGAGGGATAATGAAAGATTTCTCTATTTGTAAACCAGTAGATAAATAACAGGGCTTGTCTCTAGGGAGAATACTGAAAGATGGTAGAGGGGTGCAGAGCAGGAATGGATGGAAGATCTTTTCTGTATATTCTTTGTCTTTATTTTTTAAAACTATGTATACACATTACTTTCTCAAATAAAAGAAATTTTACCCATGGTAAAAGAAAAAAAAACTCTTGTATCTGCCCACTGTGGAGATCTGCCTGCATTGAATAGTACAGGGAAATTACTTATTGATCGGCAAATTGCTTATTGATTGGCAAGGTTTGCTATGTTTTCTTTCTTCTTTCAAAATACATGCTATGGTCATGCATGAATTCGGGGATAGTCTTCATTTTCTTTGAGCAGTTACTCTTAGGCTATCTCATTATTTTAATGTTTATTAGTGGTATAGCTTGCTCATACTAAGTTCCACAAAGTGATCTAACTCAAGATTTCTTGGGAAGATGGTGAAGTAAGGGAAAAAACCGATAAAAACTACAAAGAAAAAGGAAAGTAAGGAGAAAACTCCATAAACCAAGAAAAGGAAAAGGAGAAAACAGGGAGCTGGCAGGGAAGTGGTGTCCGTTGCATTCTACAGGTGTTGAGAAGTTTTTATCTGATATAACATGAAGGACAGACCAACTTCAGGAAGACACCAAGAACCAGCCAATGTCTTCCCTTCCTGAGACAATTGGTGGGATGACATGAGAAATGAATTTAACAAATGCTAGTAGACCACTACAGACCCCACTAATTGGAGATCAAAAGCAGGCCTAGAAGAGGTAGAGACTCTTTCTACCTTAGGATTCAGTAACATTCACAGAATGGGTACATGGATATCACCAAGATAAACTGAAAACTTGGGGGCAACCTTCAGGTCTACCAACAATTATTTTTTGGAATTTTCTTCTGTTCCCCTTTGGTTTTTATTTAGACATGATTAAATACATGATAATTTTAGGGGGAAAGTAGATAAGCTAACAGAAAAAAATACTGTAAAACCCAGAAAAAAATACTGTAAAACTAGTTAACATTATAAAATGACAATATGAGCAAACAGTGTATCAAAATATATGATTCTGAAGTAAATCACATAGAATAAATATGAGATAATGGCCATGGACATTTTTGAAGAAAATAAAGCCACAATAACTGAAAAATTATGATAATGGCACCAGAATAAATAGATAAATAGAACAGATCATAAATTCCATGAACTGTCAAAAGTATAGATACATACAAATTTGTAGGCCAGGTGTGGTGGTTCACACCTGTAATCCCAGCACTTTGGGAGGCTGAAGTGGGCAGATCACTCGAGGTCAGGAGTTCAAGACCAGCCTGGCCAACATGGTGAAACCCCATCTCTACTAAAAAATAAAAAAAACTTTGCCAGGTGTGGTAGCACATGCCTGTAATCCCGGCTGCTCCGGAGGCTGATGCAGGAGACTGTCCTGAACCCAGGAGGCAGAGGTTGCAGTGAGCCAAGGTTGCGCCATTGCACTCCAGCCTAGGCAACACAGCAAGACTTCATCTCAAAAACAAAACAAAACAAAAACAAAGAACCCCCCCCACAAATTTGTGATAGGCATTTTTTGCCAGTAGAAAAATGATTGATTAGGTATTAAATGTTGCTGGGACAAATGGCAAGCCATTTGGGGAGAGTGGATAAAGCCTCCCCTTTTTTAAAGTACACACTGAAATGAAATTCAGTCAAGTTAAATATATGAATATAACAAATTAAAACCATAAAAGGACTGGAAAGAATTATAGGTGAATATTTATCTGATCTTTGGGTGGGGAGACCTTGACTATAAGAATGACACCAAAGAGAGAAACTGTAAGAAAAAAAATTCACAGGTTCTTCACGCTAATGTTGTGTGTAAGGTTCAAGACCGAGAAGGAGCTATATGTCCAACATTAGATAATTGAATAAATGTTGACCCATCCTTATAATGGTATATCTTGCCACTATAAACATAAAACTGTATGTAAGTATTTATCCTTGGAAAGACAGCCGTGACATAGTGCTAAGTGAAAAGCTTATAAAGGCATGTATATAGATGTTTGCTTTTGTATAAATGGCCTGGGCAGATATAATCCAATGTTAACACCAGTAGTTTTCTCTGGCTATTAAGATTTGGGTAATTTATTTATTTTGGCTTTTCTGTGTTTCTTTCTTTTCTCCTACTATAGTGATTATATATTTAAATAATCATGTCTAGTTAAAAACCAAAGGACAAAAAAAAATTCTACAAAATAATTAGTGATAATAAAATCAGAGAGAAAACTGAGCTTCAAACTCCCCTCTTGACTAGATTAGATAGATAGATTTCTTAGAAAGATTTTGGGGACCATCTGTTTTGTTGCATGATAACAGCATTTCTTTATGTGGCAACTTGAATCTGTAATGACCATAAATGCAAATTTCTTTAAACATAAAAATCAAATACATGTATTCATTCTAAAATACCACTAAAGGTCATATTTTTAAATGATGATTTATTATAGTTGACATTTGACTTATTTATACATTCATTCTTTTTAAACAGTGTTTGTTTTAATTTTTCTGAATTAAACATCAAAGAGCTGTTTTAAAATACAAATTTATTATGGACAACCAAAGTTAATGAATATGTCTCTTAATGAGAGCTTTGGCTAAGCCAGTTTAAAACATTTACAAGTCAAAAATGTAATCAAGGAGAGATTGTTTTAGTTTATTGTCCACCAAGAAGCTTAGCTGCCAGCAAGAAAAACTCTCATTTTCTGGGGAAATGTTGCTCCTCCTGCTTTGAGCTCTGCAATGTTTTATCGACTTGGAAAAACAACATATTAGTTTTGATAATCAATCCTGATAAAGTCCTCTGAGCCCATCAGTTTTCTCTTGTGAGCTGACAATCTTCTAATGTGAAAAAGGAAGAAATTGGGGTTGGGGGGGGCGGGGAAGTACTGAAACTTGCAGCAAGTGGTATGACCACGTGTAATCAGTCTTATATAGCCCTTTATATCCTAGGTGGAAATCAATAATCATCATTTTGCCTTTGCTTGAAATTGCTTTATACCAAAACCAAAAAGGCCTCTGTTATACCACTTTCTCTCAGTTGCACACAATATAAAAATGCTCTTTGGATCATTCCAAAACTGTATACACATGCTGGCTGGGAGGAATGAATGACTGTGTGTGTTTGCTCTGAACCCTCCTCAGCCCAGCTGTGTTGTCACTTGGGCTGCACTCTCACTGTCATCACCAGGCCTCTGTCACTGACTCCAGACCTCTCCATCTTCAGGGGTTGTAATTTTCTTTGTATAGCCTTCCCCACAACCCCACCCAATAATTGCCATTTGTTTAAGAATACCTCAGGATCATTCATTCATTTATTCAATGTTGAAGTGCTGCTGAACATCCTATGACGTCCAGGGCAGCTCCCCACAACAAAGAATTTTCCAGTCTAAAATGTCAGCAGTGCTGAGGTTGAGAAACGCTGAGGTTGAGAAACCTTCAGTTAAATCAACTATTTTCTTCAGCATGTCTAGGAACAGTATTGGGCATAAAGTGGTAGAAGAGCGAATGGGATTTCTTTCCTACCATTCTGGTAAATTGACACATGAGAAAAGTCAACAGATAACAAATAATGACAGTGGCATGTGGGAGAGGCGCGTGTGGCACTGAGAGCACAGGGGTGGTCATGCTCTCTCTGACTGTGCCTGTAGGGCTCAGAGCATTCCAGACCAGCTTTATCATGGTAGGCAAGGGGAGCAAGTAGAGTGACGTGGCAGGAGCCTAGCAGTGAGGAAGAACGTGGCTTATGACATCCAGGAGGAGAGTGTAGACGGCGCTGGGCATGGAATCAGGCCAGCAAAGCGGACAGTGTCTCGTCATGAGAGATCCAATACTGGGCACTGATCACGTTTAAAAGAGACCAGAGAGACATAATCAAATGCTGTGCATGAATTTTGACTAGATTCTGTCTAGTAGGAAAACAGCTATAAAAAAAAAAGACATTTTGGACCAAAAATCTTCCAGAGAGGATTTCACAACACACTGATTTGCCAAGATTAGTTTTGTGAATGATTTCTCTCCACTTATTACTTTGAAATTTTCAAATATACAGAAATGCTAAAAGTTCAGTGAATAGTTGTATGCCTTTAACCCAAATTCTGTAGTTGTCATTCATATTTATCATTTTGCTTATATTTGCTTTATTTTTATGTATATACATGCACATACAGACCATACAGATAAAAACACAACTTTTTAAAAAATGAACTTCTTGAAAGTAAGGTGCAGACATCAAGGCAATTTACCTAAATATTTCAGCATACATCTCCTAAGAATAAGGATAGTCTCCTATTTAATCCCATTGCCATTATCACATTATGAAAATTAACAAGAATTTCATAATTTCCTCTAAAATCTGGTCTATATTTACATTTCCCCAATTGTCTTCCAAAAATTTTTTTTATAGCAATTTTTCCTCCTACGTCAAATAGGAAGAGCCAGTCAAAATTCATTGCATTTGGTTGTTATGCCTCTTTGGTCTCTCTCTCTGTCTTTTTTTTTGGCTAGTCAAGTGCAGTAGTGAGAAGGGTGGGGAAAGAGTGGAACAAGGAGTTCGATCTGTAACTGACCATGAACGATCAACTGAGATAACTCACTGTGATAACTTCAGACCCTCTTTTTTGGTGTCTTTTAAACTTGAACAGTCCTATCACCCTTTCCCCCTACCCACCATATCAGTGACTTTTTTTCATTTTAAAAATTTTAAGGGTTTTTTAAAAAATTTACATACAGGAAAAGTCATACTTTTTGGTGTAAAGACCTGTGTGTTTTTGTATTAATTCATGTAATAATAATCAAAATTAAGAAATAGAACAGTTTCATCCTCCTTTCCAAATTTCCCTCCATTGTCAAACTCTCTCCCTACCCTTAACCACTAATCTGTTCTCTCTCCCTACGAGTTTTGCCTTTCTCAGAGTATCATATAAATGGAATCATATAGTACATAGGCTCTTAAGTCTGTTTGTTTTTCACTTGGCATAATGCATTTGAGATTCATCCATGTTATTGCATTTATCAATAGTTTGTTCCTTTTTTGTTGCAGAGTAGTGTACTATCGTGTGGATATACCACAGCTTGTTTTTCCATTCTGTAGAAGAGGAATATTTTGATTTTTTTTCCAGCCTTTGTGATTTTGAATAGAGCTGCCATAAACATTTGACCTTTTTTTCATCCATTTATTTGTGATCTTCACTGATAAAGTAGCCATGACATTGATTTTTGAAGAGGCAAGGTCAGCTTGCCTGTAGATTGTTCCACAGTGTGGATTTGATTGTTTCCTATGATGTTTTGTTTCACTTTTCTTAAAAAGAAATTTTTTTTAGGGATGGGGTCTCACTGTGTCACTCAGGCTGGAGTGCAGTGGCACTATCATGGCTTACTGCAGCCTCAAACTCCTGGGCTCAAGTGATCCTCCTGCCTCAGCCTCTTGAGTAGCATGTCCAGCTTGCTTTGTTTTCTTTTTCTTTCTTTTTTAAATACTTGCTCCTCTGTCACTGTATTATATTGGAAATTGTGTCTAGAAGCTTGGGATTTCATCATAATATGGGAGTACCTATGGGAGCGTATCATTTGTAGGAATGTCTTCAAGAAAACTGGTTACATGTGGAATTTAACACCCTTGATGTTCACCCAGACGCCCTGAACACTCCTCCTCTGCGGCAGAGGGACATGATGAGGTTTTGGATCAAGAATAGAAAATCTAGACTTGCAAGGAATATTCCATTTCCTAAGCATTGAATTTTAAAACTTTGTCTCTTCCTAAATAAGAGATATTTTATGGCAAGCAAGTAAGGAAAAAATAAATCTTTTATTTATACTTGATTTTTTTCCTAATGTTTCTGTTTTAATTGGATATACTTTTTCTGTTAGTTAAAACTGGGGTTGAGTGTTTGATGTTTTTATAAATAGGTTTCCAACTGGGGGAAAGTGTTTTCTAAATATTTTCTGGGTCACCACAGCAGTGTTATGTAAGAGAAGAAATCATTATAGCATCCTTCTAAAAATACTTTAATGGAAAATTATTCTACAACCAGACTATATCTGTTTAATGATGTAACATTAAACAGTCTTGATTTACAATGTAATTTATAAATTTATAAACTTAATTTTTTTAGAGCAGTCTTAGTTTTATAGAAAAATTATGCAGAACGTAGAATTACCATATATTGGCCAAGAGCGGTGGTGCACACCTGTAATCCCAGCACTTTGGGAATCAGAGGCAGGTGGATCATTTGAGTTCAGGAGCTTGAGATTAGCCTGGCAACATGGTAAAAACCACTCTCTATAAAAATCACAAAATTAGCTGTGTGTGTGGTGAGATGCGGCTGTACTCTCAGCTACTCAGGAAGCTGAGGTGAGAGGATTGCTTGAGCCCGGGAGGTTGAGGCTACAATATGCCAAGATTGCATTACTGCACTCCAGCCTGGATGACAAAGTGAAACTCTGCCTCAAAATAAATAAATACATAAATAAATAAATAAATAAATAAATAAATAAAATAATTACCAGGCCGAGGCAGGCAGATCATGAGGTCAGGAGATCGAGACCACGGTGAAACCCCGTCTCTACTAAAAATACAAAAAATTAGCCAGGCGCGCCTGTAGTCCCAGCTACTCAGGAGGCTGAGGCAGGAGAATAGCATGAACCCCGGAGGCGGAGCTTGCAGTGAGCCAAGAGTGCGCCACTGCACTCCAGCCTGGGCGACAGAACGAGACTCCGTCTCAAAAAGAAAAAACAAAAACAAAAGAATTACGATATATCTCCCATACTCCCCATAGCCCAAACAGGTTCCTCTGATCTTTTCACTGTCTCTATAGTTTTGCTTTTTCCAGAATGTTGGAATCATTCAGTAGGTAGCCTTTTCAGACCTGCTCCTTTTACTTAGCAGTATCCATTTAAGATTTCTCTATGTCTTTTCATGGTTTGATAGGTCATTTCTTCTTACCACTGAGTAATATGTCATTATATAACTATGCAACAGTTTGTTTATCAATTTATTTACTGAAAGACATTCTAATTGCTTCCAGTTTGGGCAATTATGAATAAAACTGTTATAAAGTAGAATGTAGTTTTTAAAATACAACTCCAATTGTTGATACTTCTCTGAAGTTCAGCAACATCTGCATTTGTTAAGCTTTACATTGACTGTTTACCCACAGTATGTCCAAGAATGTTTCCTGACAGCACTAGCCATCACAAAAGCAGATGATCAAATTCCTTGCCTCGTGGAGCTTCCTGTCTATCTAAGAAAGAGCTGGATTATATTTAAAATATATGTTTGTGGGTGTGTGGAATTAATATATATACAGACATATGTGAACCTCTACAAAAACTTTTAAAGACTCTAGTCATTAGAAGAAGATTAAACACTGAGTATAGAAGTATGTTTAAGGATAATGGGAGACTGAAGGCCATGGACTTCCTTAGTGGGGGTGTTCTGGAGAAGAAACCTTTGACTGTGATACCTGTGCAATGACCACCATGCATCTCTTGTTTAGGGTAGCTTCATTTATAAAGGTAAAAGCACTGGTTCTTGGCACTTCCAGAAGCCTTTAGAATTTTCACTCCTAACAGTGCAATTAATGAAACAACTGAACAGGACCTGGAATATTATAAAAGAGAATAGTGAAAGATTCTTGACAGGTCATGTGCCTTCAAGTCCTGTTAATTTGATGAATCAGTAGGAGATGAAATCAATATAAACCTGAAGGAATTGTCCGCGGGGCAAATCACTAAAAGCAGCTGATTAGGCCGGGCATGGTGGCTCACGCCTGTAATCCCAGCAGTTTGGGAGGCCAAGGTGGGTGGATCACGAGGTCAGGAGTTTGAGACCAGCCTGGCCAACATGGTGAAACCCCATGTCTACTAAAGATACAAAAAAAAAATTAGCCGGGCATGGTTGTGTGTGCCTGTAATTCCAGCTAGTCTGGAGGCTGAGGCAGGAGAATCGCTTGAACCTGGGAGGTGGAGGTTGCAGTGAGCCAAGATCGTGCCATTGCACTGTAGCCTGTGTGACAGGACAAGACTCCATCTCAAAAAAAAAAAAAAAAAAAAAAGCAGCTAATTGATGTAGGATTGAAAATCCAGCCAGGCGTGGTGGCTCACACCTGTAATCCCAGTACTTTGGGAGGCCGAGGTGGGTGGATCACGAGGTCAGGAGATTGAGACCATCCTGGCTAACACAGTGAAACCCTGTCTCTACTAAAAGTACAAAAACTTAGCCAGCCTTGGTGGCATGCAGCTGTAGCCCCAGCTACTCGGGAGGCTGAGGCAGGAGAATCACTTGAACCCAGGAGGCGGAGGTTGCAGTGAGCCGAGATCGCACTACTGCACTCCAGCCTGGGCAACAGAGCGAGACTCTGTCTCAAAAAAAAAAAAAAGAAAACAAAAAAAAGAAAACCCACTGAGATGTTTAGGGAAGAGATTTGAGTTACCACCACCACAGTCTGACCTGCTGAGATTGTTTAGTTTGAAGCCTGGATGCATTCATGAAAACAGGTGAAACATTGGGTGCTGTGGGAACTTTGTAAAGCTTGATTTACATTTAAAGTTTATGTGAGCTCCAGAAATCCCGAAAATTCACTGTTTTTTTGTACAGTCCTAGAAAGCCATGTGCACACATACCAGGCATATGGTGACAGTTCTTCCACTGGTGCAGCCTTTGCTCTGTCACTCTTTGACTCCTTCACAGGAAGCTTCCATCCTTCCAGGGCTCTTTCTGTTACAGGAAAGTGTTTTGGGTCAGAGATAAGCCTTTCAGCATTTCCCAAGGGCCCATGTGTCAATACTGTGCTGCACACTGGGGATGCCATGGTGACTGAAATAGTTGTGGAAATTATGAAACCAACTTGTAGAGTAGACCACTTTGTGAAATCCTTAAGGATTACCCACCTACCAGCATTGTGCCCACAGCAATTTTTTAAACACATAAGAAATCACTGCTAAAAATTATTAGACATTATGGCCAAAGCAGGAAAGTAATTTTGCTATGAAAGGAAAATAGCTTGTGGATTGAAAGGATTTATAATTAAAGCTTAAAATATGACCTAGATACTCACATTATACAACCCCAGGCACCACAAAAGAGTACTTATGCTCAATGCTAAGAACTCCATCACTGTGATGAAAGCTAAATAAAGTGTCAGTGTTTTTCCATGTAGTTTCATAGCTATAAATTGACTGGAAAACTCTAAATTCGTTTGTATTTTCTTTTAATTGTCTTTACAATTTGGTTTGTGAATCTCTCTGTCTGACATTGTATTTATTACTGTTGCAGTTAAAATTAGAAGAGTTAAGGAAGGATCACTGCATTATACCTTATGCACTATTCTTCATCAGCTTTCTTGAAGTATAATTTACATACAATAAAGAGGACCCATTTTAAATGTTCAGCTTGATAGGTCTCAACAATTGTATACATCCAAAATCACCACCACAAGAAGATTTAGAACATTTCTATCACTCTGGAAAGTTTCCTCCTCCCCTCTGCAATCAGTCCCTTCTACTCCCCAGCACAGGCTGTCACTGAAGTGCTTTCTTGTCACTACAGATGACAATGGCCTGTTACAGAAATTCATATAGATGGAATAACATAGTAAGTATTCTTTATATCTGGCTTTTTATTTAGCATAATGCTTTTGAGATTCATCCATGTCATTGCATGTAGCTTGTTGCTTTATATTGCTAAATATTTATTCCATTGTATGAATATACCATAGATTTCTTATCCATTCACCCATTAATGAACATTTGGGTTGTTTCCATATTTTTACCGTTATGAATGAGGCAGCAGTGAACATTCTTGTACCCATTTCTCATGTGCATATGTCTTTATTTCTCTTGGGTAAATACTTTAGTGGAATGACTGAGTCTTATGATAAGTATATATTTAACTTTATAAGAAATTTTCTAACTGTTTTATAGAGTGGTTTTAACATTTTACATAAACTTCAACCAGCAATGATTGAGAGTTCCAGTTGTTCTAAATCCTTGCAAATATTTGCCATTGTCAGTTTTTAGTTTTTTTAGCCATTCTGATAGATGCATTGATATTTCATTGTGATTTTAGTTTGCATTTCCCTGGCAACTAATGATGTTGAACATCTCTTCATGTGTTTATTAGCATACTATTTGTGAACATTCTGTTAAAGTTTTATGCTCATTTTTGTTGCACCATCTTTTCATTATTGAGTTTCATGTATTCTTTACATATTCAATACACAAGTTAATTGTCAAATATAATACATATATTGCAGATATTTTCCCCAGTGTATGATGTGCTTTTTCATTTACTTAACATAATGTGTTGAAGACAAATTTTTAATTTTTGGTAAAGTACAGTTTCTCGTTGTGTGTTTGTGATTATTGCTTTTTTATGTCTTGTCAGAAAAATCTTTGGTTACCCTAAGGTCCTGAAGATTTTCTTCAATGAGTTTTACAGTTTTAACTTTTACATTTATACCTATGATCCATTTCAAGTTAATTTTTGTTTATAGTATGAGAGAGAGGTTAAGGTTCATTGTTTTCCTATATGAATATCCAGTTGTTACTCTAGTCGTTTGTTTAAAAGACCCTTTTTTCTCATTGATTACTTTCGCACCTTGTCTACATTCATCTTGCCATATATGTGTGTCTCAATTTCAGGACTCTATTATATTCCATTTATATATCTATATTCTTATGTGTTGATTACTGGTTTTTTTGTTTGTTTTTTTTTTTTTTTTTTGAGATGGAGTCTTGCTCTGTCACCAGGCTGGAGTGCAGTGCAGTGATCTCGGCTCACTGCCACCTCTGCCTCCCGGGTTCAAGCGATTCCCCTGCCTCAGCCTCCCGAGTAGCTGGAACTACCGGCACGCACCACCACGCCTGGCTAATTTTTTGTATTTTAGTAGAGACAGGGTTTCACCATGTTGGCCGGGATGGTCTTGATCTCCTGACCTCATGATCCACCCTCCTCAGCCTCCCAAGGGTGCTGGGATTTCAGGCATGAGCTACCATGCCCAGCCCAATTACTGTTGTTTTAACTCTTCATGTCAGATAGTGTTAGTCCTGTAACTTTGTTCTTTTTTCAAGTTGTTTTGCCGTTCTGGATTCTCTGCATTCCCAGAGGAATTTTAAAATCAATTTGCTGATTCCTACAAAACTTTTTGAGACTGCATTTCATTAGATTGATTTGGAGAAGATAAACTGACATTTTAACAATATTGAATGTTCTAATTCATGAACTTTGTATATCTTTCCATTTATTTAGGTCCTCTTTAATTTTTCACAACAATATTTTATAGATTTATTTGACAGAATTTGTACATATTGTATTCATCCCTAAATATCCATTTCCAATTTTAATTGCTGGTACAGTCATGTGCTGCATAACAACATTACAATCAGTAATGAACCATATATATGACAGTGGTCTCATAAGATTATTTATTTATTTATTTTTGAGATGAAGTCTCACCCTGTTGTCCAGGCTGGAGTGCAGTGGTGTGATCTCAGCTCACTGTAACCTCTGCCTACCAGGTTAAATTGATTCTCTTGCCTCAGCCTCCAAGCAGCTGAGATTACAGGTGCCTGCCACCATACCTGGCTAATTTTTGTATTTTTAGTAGAGACAGGGTTTCACAATACCACATTTTTACTGTACCTTTTATATGTTTATATATATTTAGATACACAAATATTTACCATTGTGTTACAGCTGGGGACAGTATTTAGTATAGTAACATGCTGTACATTTTTGTAGCCTAGGAGCAATGGGCTATACCACATGGCCTAGGTGTGGTAGACTGTCTAGGTTTGTGTAAATACTGTCTATGATGTTTACACTATGACAAAATCATCTAATGACACATTTCCCAGAATATATATCCATTGTTAAGTGATGCAAGACAGCTGACAGGAAGAAAATTGCTTTTTATGTTGACCTTTTATCCTGAAACTTTGAAAAATTTGCTTATTAGTAATAGTTTTATTTATATGGGGTAAAACTTAGGATTTACTCTGTACATGACCACATCATCTGCAAATAAAAACAAATTATCTTCTTCATTTATAATCTATAGGTTCTTTGTTTACTTTTCTTGCCTGATTGCACTGGTTAGGATCTCCAGCAGAATGTTCAATAGAACTAGTAAAAGTTATCATTCTTGTTTTGTTCCTGATTTTAAGGAAAAAGCAATTAAGTTTTTACCATTAAGTATGATGTTAGTGACTCTCTTTCTCAGTATCTTTTTAAGATTGAGGAAATTTGCCTCTATTTCCATTTTACTGAGACTTTTTATCCTGAATGACTACTGAAGTTTGTCAAAAATTTTCTGTATATATTGATATGATGGATCATTGTTCTTCTTTATTCTGTTAATGTGTTGAATTATATTAAATAACTTTCTAATGTAAAACCAATCTTGCATTTTTTTTTATATGGGGTCTCTGTCTGTCACCTAGGCTGAAGTGCAGTGGGGCAGTTATGGCTCACTGCAACCTCAACCTCTTGGACTCAAGTGATTGTCTACCTCAGCCTCCCAAGTTGCTGGGACTATAGGCATGTGCCAACATGCCTGGCTAATTTTTTAATTTTTTGTAGCTGCAGGGTCTTGCTATGTTGACCAGGTTGGTCTCAAACTCCTGAGTTCAAGTGATCCTCCCACCTTGGCCTCCTGAAGTGCTAGGATTACAGATGTGAGCCACCAAGCCTAGCCCAACTTTGCATTTCTGAAATATATCCCACTTGGCCATATTTTATTAGAGATTGCTGGATTTGATGTTCTAATATTTTGCTAAAGAATTTTACGTCTATACCAATGAGAGATATTGGTCTGTGGTGTTCTTTTCTTGAAATGTTTTTGTCAGGTTTTGGTATCAGAATAATACTGTCCTCATGAATGTCCCCTCCTTTTTTTTTCAGAGAGAGGCTGTGTAGGATTGATGTATTATTCCTTTTTCAGGTTGCTGATAAAAACATACATTGGGCAATTTACAAAAGAAAGATGTTTAATTGGACTTACAGTTCAATATGGCTGAGGAAGCCTCATGATCATGGCGGAAGGCGAGGAAGAGCAAGTCATGTCTTACATAGATGGTAGTAGGCAAAGAGAGAGAGCTTGTGCCGTGGAACTCCTCATGAGACTTACTCACTATCACGAGAACAGCATGGGAAAGACTTGCCCCCATGATTCAGTTACCTCCCACCGGGTCCCTCCCACAACACATGGGAATTCAAGATGAGATTTGGGTAAGGACACAGCCAAACCATATCATTCTGTCCCTGACTGCTCCCAAATCTCACATCCTCTCATTTCAAAACCAATCATGCTTTCCCAACAGTCCCCTAAAGTCTTAGCTCATTTCAGCATTAACTCAGAAGTCCACAGTCCACTCATCCAAGACAAGGCAAGTCCCTTCCACCTGAGTCTCTAAAATCAAAAGCAGGTCAGTTACTTCCTAGATACAGTGGGGGTACAGGCATTGGGTAAATACAGCCATTCCAAATGGGAGAAATTTGCCAAAACAAAGGGGCTACAGGCCCCATGCAAGTCCAAAATCCAGCAGGGCAGTAAAATCTTAAAGCTCCAAAATGATCTCCTTTGACTCCATGTCTCACATACAGGTAATGCAAGAGGTAGGTACTTAGCATTGAGCATAAGTACACTTTTGTGGCACCTGGGGTTGTATAATGTAAGCATCTAGGTCATGTTTTAAGCTTTAATTATAAATGCTTTCAATCCACAAGCTATTTTCTCTTCATAGCAAAATCTCCTTTGACTCCATGTCTCACATCCAGGTAACGATGATGCAAGAGCAGCTCTGCTCCTGTGGCTTTGCAGGGTACAGCCTCCCTCCTGGCTGCTTTCAGGGGCTGGTGTTAAGTGTCTGCAGCTTTTCCAGGTGCACAGTGAAAGCTGTCAGTGGATCTGCCATTCTCAGGTCTGGGGGACAGTGGCCCTCTTTTCACAGCTCCATTAGACAGTGCTCCAGTAGAGACTCTGTGTGGGGGCTCTGACCCCTCATTTCCCTTCCTCAGTGCCCTAGCAAAGGTTCTCCATGAGAGCCCCGCCCCTGCAGCAAACTTCTGCCTGGACATCGAGGCATTTCCATAGATCTTCTGAAATCTAGGCAGAGGCTCCCAAACCTCAGTTTTTGACTTCTGTGTGCTCACAGCCTCAACACCACGTGGAAGGTGCCAAGGCTTGGGGCTTGCACCCTCTGAAGCCATGGCCTGAGCTCTACATTGGCCCCTTTCAGCCACGGCTGGAGTGGCTGGGACACAGGGCACCAAGTCCCTAGGCTGCACTCAGCATGGGTACCCTGGGCCTGGCCCACAAAACCGCTTTTTCCTCCTAGGCCTCCTGGCCTGTGATGGGAGGGGCTGCCTCCCATCTGACATGCTCTGGAGACATTTTCACCATTGTCTTGGGGATTAACATTCAGCTCCTCATTACTTATGCAAATTTCTGTAGCTGGCTTGAATTTCTCCTCAGAAAATGGGATTTTCTTTTCTATCACATTGTCAGGCTGCAAATTTTCCAAACTTTTATGCTCTGCTTCCCTTATAAAAATGAGTGCTAGGCCTGGTATGGTGGTTTAACACCTGTAATCCCACCACTTTGGGAGGCCGAGGTGGGTGGATTACCTGAGGTCAGGAGTTCGAGACCAGCCTGACCAACATGGCAAAACCCCATCTCTACTAAAAATACAAAAAATTAGCCAGGTGTGGTGGTGGGTGCCTGTAATCCCAGCAACTTGGGAGGCTGGGGCAGGAGAATCACTTGAACCTGGGAGGCGGAGGTTGCAGTGAGCCAAGATCGTACCGTTGCACTCCAGCCTGGGTGACAAGAGCAAACCTCTCTCTCGAAAAGCAAACAAACAAAATACTGAATGCTTTCAACAGCACCCAAGTCACCTGTTGAATGCTTTGCTGCTTAGAAATTTCTTCCACCAAATACCCTAAATCAACTCTCTCAAGCTCAAAGTTAAATGAATTTCTAGGGCAGGGGCAAAATGCCACCAGTCTCTTTGCTAAAGCCTAACAAGAGTCACCTTTGCTCCACTTCCCAACAAGTTTCTCATCTCCATCTGAGTCCACCTCAGCCTAGACCTTATTGTTCATATCACTATCAGCATTTTTGTCAAAGCCATTCAACAAGTCTCTAGGAAGTTCCAAACTTTCCCACATTTTCCTATCATCTTCTAAGCCCTCCTAACTGTTCGAACCTCTGCCTGTTACCCAGTTCCAAAATTGCTTCCACATTTTTGGGTATCTTTTCAGCAGCGCCCCATTCTGCTGGTACCAGTTTACTGTATTAGTCCATTTTCATGCTGTTGATAAAGACATACCCGAGATTGAGCAATTTATAAAAGAAGGAGGCTTAATTGGACTTACAGTTCCACATGGCTGAGGAAGCCTCATGATCATGGCAGAAGGCAAGGAAGAGCAAGTCACGTCTTACATGAATGGCAGCAGGCAAAGGGAGAGAGCTTGTGCAGGGAACTCCTCTTTTTTAAACCATCATATCTTGTGAGACTTATTCACTAACATGAGAACACCACAGGGATGACTTGCTCCAGTGATTCAGTTACCTCCCACTGGGTCCCTCCCAGAACACATGGGAATTCAAGATGAGATTCGGGTGGGGACACAGCCAAACCATATCAATTGATAATATTTATTCCTTAAATGTTTTATATACTTTCCCAATAAAACTGTCTGGGCCTGAGAAGATTTTCTGTTATGAATTCAATATCTTTAATAGATAGAGGGAGCTATTCAGATGTTCTGTTTCTTCCTATGTCAGTTTTGGTAATTTTGTTCCTTATTTGTTTATGTCATCTAAGTTTTTTAACTTACAGGTATAAAGTTGTTCACATTATTTTCTTGTTATGGTTTTAATTTCTATAGAACATTTAATGATATCTCCTTTTTTATTCCTGATATTGGTAATTTATGTCTTTCTTCTTTTATTCTTAATTAGTTTAGCTAGAGGTTTAGTTTACTGATCTTTTTAAAAAACGTTTGTTCTTATTGATTTTCTTCTATCGATTGATTTCTATTTTACTGATTTTTACACTTTTAATATTTTCTTCATTTTTTCCTGTTTTTTTTTTCTAGCCCCTTCTTAGTTCTATTATATGAAAGATTCTTAGATTAGATTCCTCAGCTTTTCTATTGAAGTTTTCATTTTGACAATCATATGGTAATTTCCAAGAACTCTTTCTGGCTTTCAATTGTTCCTTTTCTGTGAGTGTCTGCTCTTGTTGTATGAATACAGGATTTTCTTAGTTCTCCCTGAGGCTGCTGTCCTTTTTTTAAAAAAAACCCTCTCTCCTGTTCTCAGAATTATCTGTTTCATCTGGATTCATTTTCTTCTTTTTTGCCATGGGGTATATGTGCATAGCTGTGTGTCTGTCTGATTTTCTTCATGAAGACTTTTCTCAAGTGTTTGGTGAGTCTTGGCTATCTGTTCATATTGAGAATTAGCCAGTAGCATGGCTGGCTCAGGCCTTCATGATATGGGTGAGGTTTTCCAAGAGGCAAAGACTTTGCTTTATGATAGAAGACAAAGGGGAGAGGGGGAGGGTGCAGAATACACTGCCCATCCCCCAATGCCAGAATGTGGAAGGTGTTTTGAGCTCCCTTAGTCCTCCTACCTTCCACCCCAAGAAAGTTCACTTAATTTGTTTAGTAAAGATCTATTTTGTGTGTGCATGTGTGGCACATGTATGTATGCATCTGAGAGTTACTTAGCTGCAGCCATTTGCACATAGGATTATAGGGAGAGATGAACTTCCATATCACTCTTCCTACCATTATGAGGGCATTGTCCAGGTACAAAGCCTTTCCAAGGCTTTGCTGTACTGGTTGGCTTTTTCCATAGCCAAAGCCTGCCTCCATCTGGGTTCTAGGCTGTAATTTTCTACACTCAGTTTTATCATGCTATACTCTTTGATTTATTTTCTGATTTCCAGAAATTTACAGACTTTTCCTATGTGCTGATGGCCTTCTTCCCATTTCCCTCATTATTATGGATGCCTTTTTGTTTCTTTGCTGTTCTTTTGATGATCTCTCCAAATGGATATGAGAGATAAATGGAAATCTTCAACCTCCCATCTAAACCAATGCATAGCATTCTTTTTAACTTCTTTATATAGTAGTTTATAATTTTCCTGATTCCTAATCCCATGCTGCCATTTACTGGTTTGTGACCCTGAGTAACTTGTTTAACTTCTCTGTGCCTGTTTTTTAAAATAGAGATAACAGTAGTACCAACTATGTAGTTCCACCATGATGGTGGAAGTGTTAAAACTAACCCACCAGCCTGGAGCTCAGTCCCTCCTTCCATGGGCGAGCCCTCACTAACTCCTACCATCTGAGGCCCAAAAAGCACTTTCCCCCTTGAATGGTTGGAGGCCTGAGCAGAAGCTCCAGACAGGCACTGGCAGGAAGCACTCACTAGCTCTGGGCCAGTGGGAAGCACCTTCCTCAGGAGGGTCCCACTGAGAAACTGGCAGCTCCATCATGCCTCTTAGCCATGTCACCTCTTGGCCATGTTCTCCTCACTCCGCACTTGGACCTTCCTCTCCACAAGTCATTCTTCTACTGGCAGATATTTCTGTGAGACCTCTGAAACCTTGTTTCATTGCCAGCAAGCCCTCCCTCACCCTTAGCCTCTTCACAGAAGACTATCTGTGGCCCTCTCTCTGATAATACCACCTTGTTTGTTACTTACTGAATTGGATGATGCTCAATTTGGTTATCCTCCATTTACTAGGGAAGTGCATCAGGTAGAAATGGAATCTGAGCACTGACTGGTCCTTTTCCTTCAACAACACCGAATCCTGGAGCAAGTTGTGGCTACCGAAAGAAGAGAACAAAAGATAAAAACAACTTAGTGGCAGGAGGTGGGGTGGTGGTGGTTGGACAGAAAGTGAGTCAGGAAAAAAAAATTGAGAAGTGCCACCCTATGATAGTGACACATGCAGCTAGCTATTGCTCTTAGAGCCCACCTAATGGCATTAAACAGTGCTGCCTTTCTCTTCTCATATATTTATGTTCCACCTGGTTACACATAACTCAAGGGGCTCAGAGACTTTGTTTTACTGTTGTAGAGACATTGATTTGGAAGCTCGTGGCGTATAAGAAATAGGTTTAATCATCATCCTCAGCAAACTAACACAGGAACAGAAAACCAAACACCACATATTCTCACTCATAAGTGGGAGCTGAACAATGAGAACACATGGACACAGGGAGGGGAATATCACACACCCGGGCCTGTCCAGGGGTAGGGGGAAAGGGGAGGGAGAGCGTTAGGACAAATCCCTAATGTATGCAGAGCTTAAAACCTAGATCACGAGTTGATAGGTGCAGCAAACCACCATGGCACATGTATACCTATATAACAAACCTGCACGTTCAGCACATGTATCCCAGAACTTAAAGTAAAAAAGAGAAAAAAGAAGTCGGTTTAAGCCTAATGGGAGATTGAAAGCTCTCTGCATTTCTTGTCTATGGTGTCTTCATTTGATGTTAATAGGAATTTGTAATGCATAAGAGAATTCCTGTAGAAATATTTCCTATGTAGAAATATTTTCAGAATATTTTATTGTTATGGTAAGTAAAAGGAGGATGTGGAGGAATTTGATGGAGCAAATCAAATTATTTCAGCTTAAATTTAAAAACTTTGCAGGGCAAGGTGGTCTTATTGCTAGAAACATCCTTCCAAGAAGGAAAAAACAGGTATCCTGGATTCTTTGTGAAACTTCTTCTTAGAACAGATTTTTATAAAGTGTGTCTGTCTTTAAGGAGATTCATCTGTGGGGTGCTATAAGGATCTTATTGCACAGTGGTCTCCATTGCAGGGGGTCTCTTGACTAGGACTCCGGGGTCAGCATTTATAACAAGCCTTCAGGGTTTTAATAATTTTTACAAATGACAAAGATTATATATAGCACAGTGGGGATATATTGTCATCTCCCCTTTTATAGGTTAACAAGCTAGGAACAAAATGAGAGTTCTGACTCCTTTTCCAATATGTGGTTGTCTACTGTCTTTGTTGCCTGGAGCTCAGTGTCACTCAATGAAAGGGAGACAAAGAAACTTAAGTGATTATTCCAAGATCCCACACAAACTCCTATAGGAATAGGAACAGGGTAGGGGGTGGGGGATGGGTTGGGGGCCTTGCATCTTGGTTGATCAGACTACAAGCTCCTCAAGCCCCAGGTACACCACTGCAGAACTCTCCATGTTGCACTGAGCATTTCAAGTGGCAGCTCCTCAGAACACATTAGTTAATTTGATTTCCACCTGGTACTGATCTCCTCCTTGCAGTTCATTTTATTTTAGAAAGTAATTTGTAGTTTAGAGATGGCAAGCAAAAAGCTTGTAATGAATTAGGAGTCTATAGGAAACATACATGTATTCTAAAGTAAAGCAGGTTTGGCTCTGTGTTCCCACCCAAATCTCATCTTGAATTGTAATTCCCACATATTGAGGGAGGGACCCGTGATCCCCACATGTTGAGGGAGGGAGGTGATTGAATCATGGGGGTGGTTTCCCCCATACTGTTCTCATGATAGTGAGTGAGTTCTCATGAGATCTGGTGGTTTTTATAAGTGTTTCAATAGTTCCTCTCTTGCTCCCTTCTCTCTCCTGCTGCCTTCTGAAAAAGGTGCTTGCTTCCTCTTCACCTTCTGCCACGATTGTAAGTTTCCTGAGGCCTCCCCAGCCATGCAGAACTGTGAGTCAGTTAAACCTCTTTCCTTTGTAAATTACCCAGTCTCAGGGAAGTTCTTCATAGCAGTGTGAAAATGGACTAATACAAGCATGTTTCTGCAGCAGGTTATTAACTGTCAGGGTTAACTTTGATATGTGTATTTAGCAATCTGCTAAGAGGCATTTTGTGTGCCAAGTTATTAACCACAGTGTCAAGTTCAATACCAAAGGAGTCTTTTTTATCTAGTTTCCTCCCTGACTTTATTTCAAAGCATAATCAAAGCTTTATTCTTCATTAGATTTAGTATTAGCTAATTTAGTTTTTGGCAATTTTTATTCTGGTTTCTGTTATATACCATTCATAAATTGAAATGATTGTGCCAAAACATGTTAAGTTTATAGAATGGTAATGTACTGTTGGGTGCATTGTCATGGCACATTATAGATGGCTCTGGAGCAAGATTTACAAGTAACAAATACAAGAAAGTTGTAAGTATGAAAAATCCGTACTTACTGTGTTTCACTCATAAGAACACTGCTATCCACTTTTCCCATGACCACTACCGCCTCAATTACACAAAATTAAAATGATCCTACTCTTTGCTTCATGTCGCAGACACCTTTGTAATTGTATTAATTCCTGCATCTGTGACCCTCCCTTTTGTAGGCACCAATGGTATATTTGATATATGTCCTTCCCTTCCACCTTTCACTTATTTAAATTATGGTGTTTGTGTGTGTTGTAATTAATGAGCATGGCTTTGGGCTCTGAATCTCTAATTCTTTTTCACTCAGTGTTTATGATATCTGTCTATGTGGCTATGTATGAATTTGGTTCATTGCTTCTGACTGCTACGTAGATATCCATCTTCTGAATACACCAAAGTTTTCTTATCCATTTTCCTACCGATGGACAACTCTTTGCTTCTAAAGCCAGAGCTACATAAGGATGCACAGCGTTGTGTTTGCTTCTTTGTGGATGTGTGCAAGAGCTTACCTCAGAGCACAGGTGAAGAAAATGCCCAGGTTTAGCAGATTTTTAGCACCTTTAAGGCAAAACTCAGTGCCATCAGTATAATATAGGACTTCTGGAGCTTTAAAATATATACATTTTGTATAAAAGGTGACACTCAAAAATGCAGCTGAGAGTATCATTAATTATACACTGCAGTGTCTGAAGATTCTATTTTTGTAGCGTCCTTTTCCTTTCCTCCTAATGACTGTGCAGGTGTTGGTGACCGCCGTACCTGCTCACCTGCTGAGCCCAGGTTCCCAGGGTGGGAGCCAGCCCAAGTTATTTGAGGAGTAGGCAAATGTAGCATGTCAATTTCTATTTAAAGAAATTATTTCATCACCTAGTAGGTGCTTAAATGTTTTTTAATGTTACTCTTTTTGCTTTTCTTTATCCCATCGTAAATTAGAGTTAACGCAAGTCTTTGCTCCTGTTGTTTATTGAACTTGCTGTAGAATAGCAGTGCTGGAATATGTTACTCTAACAAGTAAATACTGCGTCATGTACCACAGGATATTATAATTTATTTTTATATATCTTTATATATTCATCTTTGTGTCAGAATCTGTTGGAAAAAAAAAAGGTTTGTAACCAATGTTTGTTTGACTGATGGTGTTTGGAAAAATTTTAAGTGTAGTTTATTCAGAAACCCTGAGGAAAAGATCACACATGCAGCCCAGCCCAGTGAAGTTTTGAGAGGGGTTCTTAGGGTGGTGAAAGGAGAAATAATCAACCAGTCAGAACAATTAAATTAGCTGGCCCCAGAAAGGATCTGTGAGATGGAAGACTGCCCTCCTATCCTGCTAACTAGTTGATTTACAGTACCTAGCCTGGCTTACCCCAGGTCATTTCCCCCCATTCCTCAAGGACTTAAGGGCCTGACTCACCCCCTCTCTCTGCAGAACCTCTCTAATACACGTACCTGTCACTCCTTCCACATCCATGGCTGCTGACATCCTTGACCTCTCCTCCACTGACCTGTCTTCCTTCTGATCTCAGCCTCCCACCTCCACAGTCATACCTCTGACTCATGGCCTGCCTCACTTTAGATTCCTAATCACTGACCTCAAATAGCCCTCAATGCTGCTTGGCATGCATGTGTATTTCCATGGTCATTCTCTCTCCTGCCCTTCCACATGACTGTTTCATGCCTTCTCCTCCCTCAGTCCTCCAGTGCCTCCTTCCCTCCCTTGCTCTTGGCTCATGACCTTGCTTCCTACCTCACTGAGAAAATGGGCGCACTACATGAAAACTCCCGCCAGCTACACCACTTGCATGCATTTGTGCCCATGTATTTGACTTTTTCTCCTGTCACTGCAGATGGCCCACATCTGCGCCCCATGAGGGACACCTCCACACTCAGGGGCTGGATTCTATTCTCTCACATGTCTCCAGCACAGGCTCCAGGAGACTCCCTCACTCTCACTTGCATTGTCTTTTTCCCTTTCTATAGGATCATCCTCATCGGTGCATAAACATGCTGTTATTTCTTCTACCCTGGCCTTACATTTCCCTCTAATTACTGCCTCATTTGTCTTTAAACAAAACTTGTGTAAATTGTTCATGCTTACTGTCTCCAGTTCTTCTTCTTTCATATTATTTTGAACCATTAGTCCACCAAGACACCACTTCTGAAGGTCTCTGGTGATCAGCACCTTGCTAATGCCATGGTCCTTTCTCAGGCCTCACCTTACCTGACTCCTCTCTCCTGGAAACACTGTTTTCATTTGATTTTCAGGTCCCTACATCACTTGCTTTTCCTCCTGCCTTTCTGACCACTCTTCTTTAGTATCTCTTCCTCCTTCCCTCCCTCCATGTCTCCTCCCCTCCATTTCTCTCTTCCTCTCTCCCTTTTTTTGTGTGTGTTTTGTTGTGTGTGCTTCTTGCCCACTCTCTCTGATGGCCAGACAGTCTTGGGCTCTGTTCTTGGGCCACCCTTCTGCTTTTGTCTGGTCTCAACACAGCAGCCACAGTGGTTTTGTTAATAACCTTACACATCACTTCTCCATCCAGAAACCTCCAGCAGGTTCCCATCTGATTTAAAATAAAAGTCAATGTCCTCACTATGACTTTTGAAACCCTATAGAATCAGGCCCATGATTATCTCTCTGCCCTTATCATCAACTCCTCTCAACGTTCTTGCAATCCATTCCAGACACACAGGCCTTCCTCTGTGTTCCTTGAACAGCCAGGCTACTGCCTCAGGGCCTTTACATTTGCCTTTCCCCTGACCCAACATGCTTTTCCCCCAGAAGAAAGCCTGCCCAGCTTCCTTCCTTCAGGTCTTTATTGAGAGTCACCTTCCCCTGGCTATCCTGTCTACATTTTAGTCCTACTACCAAAACTTCCTCTTCTTTGTTTCATAAACTATGTATGTTACTTATGAATAGTTTAATTATATGTCTTCTCTAAAAAGGTAAGCTCCAGCTGTGCTTTAGTTCCAATCTACAGCACCTAGAGAGTGTCTGGTATGTGGTAGTTGCCTACTGAGCATTTGATGAATGAATGCATATAAGCAGACACCTTAAGAAGGATACAATATGTAATACCGGCATAAGGACAGACTTATAGACCAATGTAATAGAATTGAGAGGCCAGAAATAAACTCTCACATATAGTGTTCAACAAGGGTGTCAAGATAATTGAATGAGGAAAGAATAATCTTTTCAGCACATGGTGCTGGGACAACTGGATAGCCATATGCAAACAAATGAAATTGGATCCCTACCCCACACTATATGCAAAAAATAACTCAAAATAGATCAAAGACCTAAGTATAAGCCAAGACTAGAAAACTCTTAAGAAGAAACAAGGATGTAAATCTTTGTGATTTTGAATTAAACAGTGGTTCTTAGATATGACACCAAAAGCACAAGCAATAAAAGAAAAAGAAGATAGGCCAGGTGCGGTGGCTCATGCCTGTAATCCCAGCACTTTGGGAGGCCGAGGTGGGCATATCATGAGGTCAGGAGATCGAGACCATCCTGGCTAACACAGTGAAACCCCGTCTGTACTAAAAATACGGAAAATTAGCCGGGCACAGTGGCGGGTGCCTGTAGTCCCAGCTACTTGGGAGGCTGAGGCAGAACAATGACGTGAACCTGGGTGGTGGAGCTTGCAAGTGAGCCAAGATCACGCCACTGCACTCCAGCCTGGGAGACAGAGCGAGACTCCGTCTCAAAAAAAAAAAAAAAAAGGGGGAAAAGAAGATAAACTGGGCTTCATCAAAACTGAAACCTTTTGTGCTTCGAAGGACACCACAGAAAGGTTGCAGATATTTGCAAATCACATATCTGAGAAGGAACTTGTATCTAGAATAATTAAAGAACTATTAAAACTCACAATTAACCCAATTAAAAAATGGGCAAAGGATCCGAATAGACATTTCTACAAAGAAGATTTTTTAAGTGGCCAGCAAGCACATGGAAAGATATTTACATCATTAGCCATCAGGGAACTACAGATCAAATCCACTATAAGATAATACTTTATACTCATTAGCATAGATATAAACAAAAAGGCAAATAATAACAACAAGATTTGGTGAGGATGTAGAGCAACTGAAACCCTTGTACACTGCTGGTGGGAATGTGAAATGGTACAGCCACTGTGGAAAATGGTTTAGCAGTTCCACTAAATGTTAACCATAGAGTTACTATGCGATCCAGCAGTTCCACTCCTAGGTATATACCCAAGTGAAATTAAAACACATGTCTGCACAAAAACTTGCACATTAATATTCATAGCAGCATTATTCGTGATAGCCTCAAATGGAAACAACCCAAATGTCCACCAACTGATGAATGGATAAATGAAATGTGGTTTATTTATACAATAGAATATTATTAGGCAATAAAAAGAAATGAACTAGTAATACATGCCACAACATGGATGAAACTTGAAAACACTGTGCTAAGTGAAGGAAGCCCATCACAAAGGACCACATACTGTATGATTCCATTTATGTGGAATTTCCAGAATAACTACTTTAATACAGAAAGTAGACTGGTGGTTGCCTACGGGAGATAAGGGATTGGAAAATGACCATTAAGGGGCATAGGCTTTTTGGAGGGTGCAAGGAAAATGTCCTAAAATGTATTGTGGTGATAGTTGCACAAACTCTGAGTATACTAGAAGGTATTGAATTATATACTTTCATTGGGAGAATTCTATGGTATGTGAATCAATAAAGTGTTGTTGGTTTTTTTAAAAACAAGAATACATTTACAAGCCTAGAGAGTGTTCTAATTCTTTTAGAATTGATCTACATTGGTATCCAAGAAGATTAAATAAATAAATAAGTTAGAATTGTTCTATGGCCTATTTTATTAGTAACTAATCTTTAGCCTTTGAGGGTAGATTTGACTTTAGAATAGCCAAAAATAATTTAATACCAAATCTTGGGAGTTTATCGGTAGCCAAACTGCCTCATACAGTTGGGAGTAGAAAACCAACAACAGAAAGCCATTTTCACTTACTCACTGTGACTAGATAGATATCTAAGAGTTCCAAAAATCTTTTGTGACTTTGCAATTCCATTTCCCTAGAGTAAGCATAGAGCCTCTCAAACTCAATGCTAAGTGAACCACAGTTATTTGAATGTGTAAGTTCTTGGGTGTTCTTTAAACTTCATTTACATTACTTTATAGTCTTATCTAAGCGTATTTGGACTCCTCAGCTAAATTGCACCTTGTGTGCAAAAAAATTGTCTTGTATTTCTTTTGCAAATCCTCCTACCCACCCCCTAATCCCCACCCTTCATCCCTAACCACCACCACCTAGACAAAGCCATAAAAAAGGTGATTTAAAATCCTCATTTTAAAATTGATTACTGTCACAGGTCAGGTTTCCCAGCAACCAAACTCTGAGATGGAGACTAGTGTGCAGGACTTTCGTTAGAGAAAGCTCTTGAGAATCAACACTTGAAAGGGATGGGAAAGGAAGCCGATTGAACAGAGGGAGAAGTTGGGCAACAACGCCTCAGCTGATTTCATAGGGAGCTCTGAAGCTGGAATGGCCAGGTTATTATTTTCCATCCCGATAGACTAGTCGGTGGGTACAGCAGCCTCAGGAGACAGAGGCGAGTGTGGTCAAGGTGGCTCTCTTCAGCTCAGGTGTGTCTTCTAGTAGCCCTTGCAGCAGCTGGGAGAATAATTCCTTCAGTTCTGATGGGACATCTCGGCAGCATGTCCCAGCATTCTCTGAAGTTCCCTTATACTCTGAGTGTTGCCTCTCTCAAGGTCCAACTCCTTAAGCAACTGTTCCTGCAAGGATGTGCTTAGGGACCATGATTCAAAGTAATCTCGACATTATAAACTTCAGATATGTGCTGTGATATACTTTGAAAATAGGGAGTTTCTTCTAATCAGATTGGCATTAACTTTATGACTATGTAAGGTATCAGTGCTGTATTATAAAGCCTAAGCAACAGAAAAAAATGCCTGGACTTGGCAGATACCTAATCCATTTATAGAAATTCATCTGTGAATGGATTAGAAGCTTAAGGAACTTATGACCAAAATGCAGTTTTTCAGGACTCTGCCAAAGTTTGAAGGAAGTACTTTTTGAACTGTAATCTGTTACATTACAAAAAGATGACATAAATGTTCTCATCAATATTTTCCAGAGTGCAGGGTACCTTTCTTATGGCTTTAGTTCACGTGGACTTGAATATCATATTCAGGAATCTTATTTCAGGTTTGTCACTTGATTTATAAAAGTGTGTGGCAAATGACAGTTATTGACATATGATTTCCTTATCATAACCAGGGAATTATCTGAGACATATAATTCTGGCATAGGTGAAAAGCTAGATATGTAATTTTTCTTTTTTTGAGATGGAATTTCACTCTTGTTGTCCAGGCTGGAGTGCAATGGCACCATCTCAGCTCGCTGCAACCTCCGCCTCCTGGGTTCAAGCAATTCTCTTGCCTCAGCGTCCCGAGTAGCTGGGATTACAGGTGTCCGCCACCATGCCTGGCTAATTTTTGTATTTTTAGTAGAGATAGGGTCTCACTATGTTGCCCAGGCTGGTCTCAAACTCCTGACCTCAGGTCTTCTGCCCACCTCGCCCTCCCAAAGTGCTGAGATTACAGGCATGAGCCACTGTGCCTGGCTGATATATAATTTTTCACAGCCGTCAGGGCTCAGATTTTTCATGCTGTAAATTATATTCATATTTTTTCTACTTTATTCCAGAAAAAAAATTCAAATATTTTTCCACTTTATTCTAAAAACAATGGCAGAAACTAGTAGAATAAAAGTCAACTGCTTACCCATATACCTGCAGTGAACATTTGGAATTTGAAATTAAAAACATAATACCATTTACATTAGCTCCAAAAAAATGCAGTACTTAGGTGTAAATCTAAAAAGAAATGTACAAATATAGATGAGAAAAACTGCTAAACTCTACTGACAGAAATCAAAGAAAATATAAATAAATGGAGAGATATCCCATGTTTATGGATGGGAGGATTCTCTATTAAGATGTCAGTTTTTCTCAACTTGATGTGTACATTGAACACAATCTCCATCAAAATCCAAGCAAGTTATTTTATGTATATTGACAGACTGATTCTATTGTTTATGTGGAGTGGCAAAAGACCCAAAATAGCCAACACAATGCTGAAGAAAAACAAAGAGGACTGGCACTAACCAACTTCGAAACTTGCTGTAAAGCTACAGTAATGAAGACATTGTGGTATTGGTGAAAGAATAGACAAATAAATAAATGGAACAAAACAGCCCCAAAATAGATCTACTATTGGCAAAGGCAATTCAATGGAGAAAGGATAGTCCTTTCAACAAAGGGTGCTGTAACAACTGGACATCACATACAAAAAAAAAAAAAAAAAAAAGAATCTAGATAGGGACCTTATACCTTTAACAAAAATTAATCCCAAATGGATCAGAAACCTAAATGTAAAACACAAAACTATAAAACTTCTGGAAGATAAGAGAAAATCTGGGTGTTCTAGGGTTTAGTAATTAATTACTTTTTAAATTCAGTTCCAAAAGCTTGAAAGAAATAATTTATAAGTTAAACTTCTTCAAAATTAAAAAGTTATTCTCTGCAAAAGAGAATGAAAAAAGCCAAAAACTGGGAGAAAATATTTGCAAAATACGTAAATGATAAAGGATTTGTATCCAAAATATACAAAAAAAACTCTTGAAACTCAACAATGAGAAAACAACCCAGCCAGGCATGGTGGCTCACGCCTGTAATCCCAACATTTTGGGAGGCCAAGGTGGGTGGATCACTTGAGGTCAGGAGATAGAGACCATCCTGGCTAACACGGTGAAACCCAGTCTCTATTAAAAATACAAAACTTAGGCAGTCATGGCATGGTGGCGGGTACCTGTAATCTCAGCTACTAAGGAGGCTGAGGCAGGAGAATCACTTGAACCCGGGAGGCAGAAGTTGCAATGAGCCGAGATCGCACCACTGCGCTCCAGCCTGGGTGACAGAACAAGACTCTGTCTCCAAAAAAAAAAAAAAAGAAAGAAAGAAAGAAAGAAAGAAAACAATCCATAAACAAACAATCCAATAGCTCAGTCATTGCTGTGCAAATGCAAAATGGTACAGCCACTTTGGAGGACAGTTTGGCAGTTTCTTAGAAAACTAAGCATACTTTTACCATATGATTTAGCAGCCATGCTCCTTGGTATTTACCCAAATGGGTTGAAAACTTATGTCCATACACAAACCTGCAGATGGATGTTTATAGCAGCTTTATTCATGATTGTCCAAACTTCGGAGCAACCAAGATGTCCTTCGGTAGATGATTGGATAAAATTATGTTGTACATCTATATGAGGGAATAATAATCACTGTTAAGAAGAAATGAGCTATCAAGCCATGAAAAGACATGGAGGGACCTTAAATGCCTGTTCCTAAGTGGAAGAAGTCAGTCTGAAAAGGCTATATACTGTATGATTCCAAATATATAACACTTTAGAAAAGACAAAACTATAGAGACAGTAAAAAGATCAGTGGCAGCTGGGAGTTGAGGGGGAGGGAAGAGATGCAAGGGAGGAAGTGTGGAATGAATAAGTGAACCACAGGGGTTTTTAGGGCAGTAAAACTATCATGTATGATACTGTAATGGTGGATACATGACATGATGTATGTCTCAGCTCAGGCTGCTATAACAGAATACCAGACCAAGTGGCCTAAATGGCATTTATTTTTCATGCTTCCGGAAGTTGAGAAGTCCAAGATTAAGATGCTGGCAGATTTGATTCTTAGGCCTTCTTGAATCCTCATGTGGTAGACAGAGGAAGCTCTAGGTCTGTCTTCCATTTCTTATCTGGGCACTATCCCATCATTGTCGCTCCATCCTTATGACCTTGTCTAAACCTAATTACCTCCCTAGCACCCTACTTCCTAAAACCATCGTGTTGGAGGTTAGCACTTCAAAATGTGAATTTGTGGGGACACAGAAATTCAAGCCATAACAATGCATTTGTGAAAACCTGTATAGTGAACCCTAATGTAAACTATGGGCCTTGGTTGATAATAAAGTATCAGTATTGGTACATCAATTGTAGCAGATGAACAATACAAATGTTAGACCTTAATAATAGGGGAAACTGGGAGAATGACAGGTATACAGCAACTCTCTACTTTCTGTGTAGTTTTTCTACAAAACTAAAACTGCTTTAAAAATAAAATCTCAATAAAAAATAGTAGAACTTCATTAGAATTTAACATGTTCTAATATATAGATCCAATTTAAGCCAAAAAATGAGTTATTTGTACTTGTACAGAACTGGAATCAGTGTCTTTCTTCTTCTTTCTTCCCTTTTCTCCAATCCCTCAACCTTCTCAAATGCTTTTCATTATGAACAGAAAGTTTACAAAAAAAGCAAAATGCAAATGGCGGTTAAGTGTGTGAATAGGTGCTCAACATCATTCAGAGTAAGATAGGCAAGTGGAAACTAAACTGAAACACCTATTGTCACCTTATCAGATTGGCAGAAATCCACCAGAGGGATATCACCTTGGGTCGACAAGGCTGTGGAGGACCAGGGAGTCTCATATTCAGCTGTTGATTGTACATGCGTGCTTAATACCATGTACGGAACAATTTGACAGAATCTACTTATATTACAACTGTGTATATCCTTTGACCGAGCAGTTCTGTCTTTGGGAATGTATTCCACAAATATACTTGCCTGTGCACAAAATGACAAATGTTGGAGGAAATTTATTGCAGCACCCTTACTAATAACAAAAATATTGGAAATAGTGTAAATGTCCATCACTGGTCGATAAAGTATGGGTGCTGTCTAGGTACTAATATGGAAAGATCTCTAATATTAGGAAATACAAAAAAGGAAAATGCTGAACAGTATTTCTGTATGCTCCTTTTATATAAACATGGAGAAAATATTAATATATTCTGATTGTACATGTGGGCAGGAGGCACAGTGGGGCATTGGGAAGATGAGGGCAGGGGTAGGGGTATCACTTTATACCTTTTTTCCTAACCATGTGACTGTATTACCTTCAAACTATAGTTCAAAAAGATATAGGTATATACATTTTTTAATAATAAATTCAGAATAGCTAGGATAAATCGCTTTTGCTGTTGTTAAACCTTAAAAATTATTTTTATCTACCTATGAATATTCATCTTCCCTCGAGTGTTTTCGGTATGGCAAGTTCTGAGTTGTTAAAATTGATTGTTATTGTCACTTTGTAACTGAGAGGGTCTCCCTAGTGAAAACCTGACTTTCTCAAAGAAGTAGTTCAAATTTCTCCTTACTTTTCTGACAGTAGTGTGCCTCAAGCATATCTTAAGAACATAACAAGTAATAAACCATAAACCAGTATTTTCTTCAAGAAAATATATCAGCGGAGAACAGAAAATGTTATCTTTGAAAAAAATATGCAGTTATAAAAAGTTGTAACTCTTTTTTGTTACAAACTCTCTGTTCAATTGTATGAAGTTGCTCTCTCTCAGAGCAAAGACTTGCCAGTTGGCTTTACTTCTTTCATCCCCTTTCTTCTATATCCACTGCCTCTGTACATTTTTCCCACTTCCCTTGCTCTGACAAAGATATCAAAGGTTACATTAAAGCAAAACCTGAGAAGCTTGAGTTATTGCTGATAAGTTCAACAAGGAGTAAATTTAAATGCAATCTGAGAAGTAGAAGATGGGAAGCATTCCTTCCTGAATCCACATGCTCTGTTAGGCCCTAAGGCACAATAAAATGTGGGACATGAACCCTGGGCCCCGAAGCTGATGACAGTGGAGGTCACAAAGTGATCACCCACTCTAAGAATTCTACACACAGTGATATCTATACGTTTCTCTCTCCGCCAGGCTTCTTGTCTTTACTCTCATCAGTGTTTGGACAGCTCCTGACAGAACAAAGGCTGGGTTTGGTGTTCTGTAATCCCAGCTCTTTGGGAGGCTGTGGGAAGATTGCTTGAGCTCAGGAGTTCAAGACCAGCCTGGGCAACATGGCAAAACCCCGTCTCTACAAAAAATACAAATATTAGCTGGGTATGGTGGTGCACACCTGTAGTCCCAGCTACTCTGGAGGCTGAGGTGGGAAGATCACTTGAGCTCGGCAAGCAGAGGTTGTAGTGAGCTGAGATAGTGCCACTACACAGCCTGGGTGACAGAGTGAGACCCCGTCTCAAAAACAAAAAATACAAAAAAAAAATGCATTGCCTGTGTTGTAGGCAATGATATTTCTAATGTAAGGAAACATGGTCATAGATTTGGGAGATGTAGGTCATTTTCAGGATATTCACCCTTAACCTGAGAACTGGTTTAGCAGATTTTGCTGAGTTGTTTTTAGATGGTTTGTTTGGAATCCTAGTTTAATTATTCATTGTTTTACCTGTGATTTTGGGATAAATATATATGATAAAGTAAAAGTCTTTTTAAAATAAAGTTTTTAATTTTAAGATAGTTTTAGATTACAGAAAAGTTAACAAGCTAGAACTGATAGTTCCCATATACACCATAGCTAGTTTCCCCTACTTTTAACATCTAACACTGGTATGGTACACTTGTTATAATTAGTGAACAACTATTAATATTATTAACTAAAGTTCATGCTTTATTCAGATTTCCTTAGTTTTTATCTGATAAGACTCATCTTGTATATTTCCTGCTGCGGTCCTAGACTCAGCCATTTTTCCAAGGAGCTCTGGTTCCTTTGTTTTGGACAATGGTATTAGAAACCAAGATCTGTGTGCATCTCTTAACTTTTTTTTTTTTTTTTTTTTTTGAGGCAAAGTCTCACTCTGTAGCCCAGGCTGGAGTGCAGTGGTGCAATCTCAGCTCACTGCAAGCTCCTCCTCCCGGGTTCATGCCATTTTCCTGCCTCAGCCCACGGAGTAGCTGGGACTATAGGCACCTGTCACCAGGCCTGGCTAATTTTTTGTATTTTTAGTAGAGACGGGGTTTCACCGTGTTAGCCAGGATGGTCTCGATCTCCTGACCTAGTGATCCGCCCGCCTTGGCCTCCCAGCATCTCTTAACTTTTAACCTGAATCCCTCTATTTAAGATGGATTTCTTGCAGTTAACATAGTTGAGCCTTGCTTTTTATTCTAACTCTGACATATATTTAGGCCACCTGGAGTGTCCTGCACCCTGCCGTCCTCGCCATGACTGTGTCAGGTGACCACAGGAGGTCGATTGTGTGTTCTCCTTGCACTGTTGTAGAGCCACCCACTTTCCTGTGGCCCCTGCGGTACCACATCTGCCTTATAGCTAACAGTTTAAGGTTTACAAGTGTGTATTTCTCTATTGTGACTTAAATTCTCACTTGATACAATTAAAGTAAATGAAGTAAGTATATAGTAGAATGAAATCATAATCTTAAGATATCACTTTGCTTTGTAGGCCTTAGTTAGAGAATATTTCTGGGCACACAGTTTTTATATGTTCCTTGGTTTTTTTACTTGTCAAGTGATCAAAATAATTGTTGAAAAAACAAAGCAAGCTCCAAATCACACATAACCCTCTTACAGATTTTATTTCCTTTCACCATCATCAGATCTGCTCTAGAAACTGCTTTGTGCATGAAATGTGGCTCTGAATGAGAGGAAAACAAACTTTAACACATGTAAATTGCTTTAAGCTGTATAAGATGTGTTCTTTGGTGACACAGGGCATGCCAAAGCCTTGAAAGCCAGCTTTCTCACCCTAGGGACAAATGACAACCCCATCATTCAGTGTCCCTCAACTACAACAAGCCTCTTGATTAGCAGGTCCCTACAATGGAGATTATATTTTAAGAGAGAAGAGCCAATGAGACACATGATTTAATTTGTCTGTAACCCTTTAGATTATTTTCTTGCATTAATTTGGTCTAATTGATATTTCCCCCAATCACCTTTTCTATTAAATGATGAAATAGAGAAGGATCCGGGTGCAGTGACTCATGCCTGTAATCCCAGCACTTTGGGAGGCCGAGGCAGGTGGATCACTTGAGGTCAGGAGTTCGAGACCCGCCTGGCCAACATGGTGAAACCCGTCTCTACTAAAAATACAAAAAAATTAGCCAGGCGTGGTGGTGCATGCCTGTAATCCCAGCTACTCAGGAGGCTGAGGCAGGAGAATCGTTGGAACCTGGAAGGTGGAGGTTGCAGTGAGCCGAGACTGTGCCATTGCACTCCAGCCTGGGCAACAAGAGTGAAACTCCGTCAAAAAAAAAAAAAAAAAAAAGAAGGAAGGAAGTAAAATACTTTTCATGCTTTCATACTGAGCAGTTCTCCCTCTCTCATTGTTTTGACTCTTCTAACATATTCCCTTTTTTCCCTGTATACTTCTTTTAGATTCCAGCTATTAATATTTATTGAGACTCAGAAACCAATACCCCCAAATACTGCACTTTGACATGCTGAACTGAAAAGGGAGCCTCAAGGTCTCCCTGATCTCCCCCATACTGTCTCTCCCAAAGCATTAGATTCTCTAAAGTTCCCTTGTCTGCCTAAAGTCCAGACCTACCAAAGAAGAAAACAATTAACTGCTGGTCACTTCCCTGAGTTCTCATTAACTGAATCCATATCACATCTTTTCTCCTGTTAATCTGCTTTTTGTGAGTTGTTTTTTCAGCAAAGCTTCAAGGGTTTGCTGTACATCTTTTAAGACCAACTCCTTGTTCACTCGACTGATCTTGGAAAGTCACCCATGCAGGCAGCCCAGAGGCCTAGGCCTTTTGTGATATTAGTGGTTCCCTGTCATTCCCTGTGTGGATCCTCAGCACACTAGGAATGGAGCTTGGTTGGAGTGGAGCAAGGTGAGCTGGGTCATAGACACAGCCCTGCCCTGAAGACGTCTTCTCAGGGTGACCACCAGGGCATAGGGCCTGAAGACACTGCCAGAGAATTCCTTTTAAACTCCAGAGAAGAGTCCTAGTCATTATGTTATTGAGGCACACATTTTGTGATGCTTTCTCATCTTTTAACAAATTCATATGAGTTAATTAACTGATTAAATAGAGTTTTCAGTCTTTCTATACAATCTATACCAAAGGATGGCAAACCCCAGCCAAAGGACCAAATCCTCCTGCCGCCTATTATTAAAGTTATATTGGCACCCAGCTGCACCCATTTGTTTATATATTCTGCTTTTCATGTTGCAAGGAATGGCAGAGTTGAGTAATTGTGACAGAGACTGTGTGGCTAAAATATTTATTCCGTGGCCTTTTAAGAAGTTTGCTGACCCTGTTGGAGATTAAGAATCTTTTGTGTTAGAAACTGCATTGAATCTATAGATCACTTTGGGTGATATACACGTTTTAACAATATTAAGTGTTCTAATACAGCACATGAACACAGAATGTCTTTTCATTTATTTGTGTCTTATTCAATTTCTTGTGGCAATGTTTTGTGGTCTCAGTGTACACGCTTTTCATCTCCTTGGTTACATTTATCCCTAAGTATTTTAGTATTTTTATTCTTTTTGATGCTATTGTAAAAATGATTGAGTTCTCAATTTCCTTTTCAAATTGTTCATTGTTAGTATATAGAAATGTAACTGATTTTTGTGTGTTGATTTTGTATTCTACAATTCTGCTGAGTTCATTTATTAGTTCTAATGGGTGTGTGTGTGTGTATGTGTGTAGAATTAGGGTTGTCTACATTTAAAATAATGTAATCCACAAACAGATATAATTTTACTACTTTCCAATTTGGATACCTTTTATTTATTTTTATTTATTTATTTTCTTAATTGCTCTGGCAATTAAGAAAGTACTGGACTTCCAGTACTTTGTTGACAGGAAGTGGCAAGACTAAGCATTCCTCGCCATGTTCCTGATCTTAGAGGGAAAGCTTTCAGTTTTCCATCATTTGGTATGACGTTAGCTCTAGGCTTTTTCATATATAACCTTTAGTATGTTAAGGTAATTTCTTTTTACTCCTACTTTGTTGAGTGTTTTTATCATGAAAGGGTATTGAATTTTGTCGTATACTTTTTTTGCATCAATTGAAATAATGTGGTTTGTCTTTCATTCTGTTAGTGTGGTGTATTATGTTGATTGGTTTACATATGTTGTTCCATCCTTGTAGTTCAAGAATAAATCCCACTTGGTCATGCTGCGTAATTTTTTTAATGTGTTGTTGAATTTGGTTTGCTAGTATTTTGTTAAGGAATTTGCATCAATATTGATTAGGGATATTGGACTATAGTTTTCTTTTTTAAATTATGTCTTTGGTTTTGGTATCACAGTGATATTGACCTCATAAGATGAGTCTGGAAGTATTCCCTTCTTGTCAGTATTTTGGAAGAATTCGAGGTGTATTGGTGGTAATTCTTCTTTAAATGTTTGGTGGAATTCACCCATGAAGCTCTCTGGTCCTGGGCTTTTCTTTGTTGGTAGGTTTTTTATTACTGATTCAATCTCCTTACTAGTATAGTTCTGTTCAGATTTTTTTTCTTCATGATTCAGTTTTGGTAGGTTGCATGTTTCTAGGAATTCATTTATTTCTAGTTTATCCAGTTTATTGGTGTATAATTGTTCTTAGTAGTCTATTTTATTTCTGTGGCATCGATTGTAATGTTTCTTCTTACATTTCTGATTTTTGGTATATGAGTCTTTTCTTCATTAGTCTAGCTAAGGATTTGTTAATTTTG
Organism: Homo sapiens; assembly: GCF_000001405.40. Taxonomy (NCBI): domain Eukaryota; kingdom Metazoa; phylum Chordata; class Mammalia; order Primates; family Hominidae; genus Homo; species Homo sapiens. The sequence continues at coordinate 43,441,267 of NC_000003.12, read as the reverse complement.
TTGATCTTTTCGAAAGACCAACTCTTACTTTTGTTGATTTTTTTTTTGCTGTTGTTTTTCTAGTCTGTTTATTTTTGTTCTCATCTTTATTATTTCCTTTCTTCTGCTAACTTTAGTTTGTTCTTTTTGTAGTTTCTTGAGGTTAAAGTCAAGTTATTGACTTGAGATCTTTCTTTTTTTTATAATGTAAGCATTTACCACTATAAACTTCTCTCTTAGTACTGTCGTTGCTATGTCCCATAAGTTTTGGTATGTTGTGGTTTTGTTTTCATTTGCTTCAAGATATTTTCTAATTTCCTTTGTGATGTCTTTTTTGACTCATTGGTTGTTCAAGAATGTTAATTTCCACAATTTGTGAATTTTCCACTTTCCTTTTGCTTTTGATTTCTAGTTCCATTCCATTTTGGTCAGAAATTATACTTGGTATGATTTCAGTCTTCTTGAATTTGTTACGGCTTGTTTTGTGGCCTTAGGTATGATCTGTACTGGAGAATCTTTTATATGTACTTGAGAAGAATGTTTATTCTGTTATTACTGGGTAGAGTGTTCTGTATATATCTATTAAGTTAAATTGGTCTGTGATGTTAAGTCCTCTGTTTCCTTATTGATCTTATGTCTGATTGTTTTATCCATTATTGAAGTGCAGTATTGAAATCTCCTACTATTACGGTATTAGTGTTCATTTCTCCCTTCAATTCCATCAATATTTGTTTCATATATTTGGTTACTCTGATGTTAGATGCATATACAATTATAATTGTTATATCTTTCTATATAATTTGGCCCTTTCGTTTTTACATAATATCCTCATTTGTCTCTTATAACAGTTTGTTAATTAAAGTCTATTTTGTCTGATGTAAGTATGGTCATTCTGGCTCTCTTTTTGTTGCCATTTTCATGGTAAATGAAAATGAGCATTTTTCCTCATTCTTTCACTTTCATTGTATGTATGTCTTTACATCTGCAGGTAATTGGATCTTCTTCTTGTTGGTTTTTTTTAAAATCCATTCAGCCACTCTATGTCTTTTGATCAGGGAGTTTAACCCATTTACACTTAAAGTAATTACTGATAGAGCAGACTTACAATTGCCGTTTTGTTCATTGCTTTCAGTATGTCTTGTAATTATTTTGCTGCACTTTTTCTGTCTTGCTGCCTTCCTTTGTATTTTGTTGATTTTTTTTTGTAGGAACTTGCTTTGATTCCTTTCTCATTTTCTTTTTTGTGTTTTTTTACAGGTATTTTCTTTGTAGTTATCATGGGGATTACATAAAATATCTTATAGTTTAAACTGATAAAAACTTCAGTAGCATGCAAAAAAATCTTCTTGTTTACATTTTCCCCTCACCACTTTTATTATCAATGTCACAAATAACTATTTCTTTTTTGAGACAGGGTCTCACTCTGTCACTCAGGCTGGAATGGAGCGGCACAATCACAGGTCACTGCAACCACAACTTCCCTGGGCTCAGGTGATCCTCCCACCCCAGCCTCCCGAGTAGCTTGAACTATAGGCATGGGCCACCATGCCTGGCTAAATTCTGTATTTTTTTTGTGAGACAGGGTTTTACCATGTTGCCCAGGCTGGTTTCAAACTCCTGGGGCTCAATGATTCACCCACCTGGGCCTCTCAAAGTGCTGGAATTATAGGCATAGTACCCAGCCACAAATTACATTTTTTGATCCATTGGTATTCTTTTGTAGTTAGTTTTATGTTTTTATCTTTAAAGTGTATACTAGAATTAAAAGTGATTTATATACCACCATTGCATTATTAAAGGATTTTTTATTTGTCTATATATTTACCTTTACCAGAGAGTTTATTTTTTCTTATGCTGTTGTGTTGCTATCTAGTGTCCTTGAGCTTCTGCTTGAAGGAATGCCTGTAGCATTATGTGTAAGGCAGTTGTAGTAGTGATGAAATCCCTCAGGTTTTGCTTATCTGAAAGGTCTTTATTTCTCTCCTACATTTTTGAAGGATGATTTTTCCAGGTATACAATTCTTGGTTGGGAGTTTTTTCTTTCAGTACTTTGAATATATCATCTTGTTCTCTTCTGGCCCCCAATCTTCTTGCTGAGAAATCTGCTGATAATCTGGGAATTCCCTTGTACATGATAAATTACTTTTCTCTTGCTGCTTTCAAGATACTCTCTTTGTCTTTGATTTTGACAGTTTGATTATAATGTGTCTTGGTGTAGGCCTCTTTGGGCTCATCTTAGTCACCTTTCAGCTTCTTGAATTTGGATTTACATTTCTTCAGATTTGGTAAGTTTCCAGCTATTATTTCCTCAAATTAAGTTCTGTTCCCATTTCTTTCTGTCTCTTCTCCTCTGGAACTCTTATAATACATAATTGGTCCAATTGATGCTGTTTCATTAAGCTTTCTTCACTTTTCTTCTTTTGTTGTTTTTGCTCCTGTGACTCAATAATTTCCAATGACCTATCTTTGAGTTCACTGATTCTTTTTTTCTGCTTGTTCAAATCTGCTGTTGAACCTCATTAGTGAATTTTTTTTTTTTTTAAGACAGAGTTTCACTCTTGTTGCCCAGGCTGGATTGCAGTGGCACCATCTCGGCTCACTGCAACCTTTGCCTCCTGGATTCAAGCAATTCTCCTGCATCAGCTTCCCAAGTAGCTGGGATTACAGGTGGCTGCCACCACGCCCAGCTAAATTTTTTGTATTTTTAGCAGAGACGGGGTTTCACCATGTTGGTCAGGCTTGTCTTGAACTCCTAACCTCAGGTGATCCACCTGCCTCAGCCTTCCAAAATAGTGGGATTACAGGCGTGAGCCACCATGCCTGGCTGAATTTTTTTTTTTTTAATACAGACAAGGCCCTGCCATGTCAGCAGGCTGGAGTGTGGTGGTGTGATAATAGCTCACTCCAGCCTCAAATTCCTGGTTTCAAGCAATCCTACAGCCTCAGTCTCCCAAGTAGCTGGGACATCAGGCATGTGGCACCACACCCAGCTAAGTTTTTTATTTTTTATTTTTATTTTTGTAGAGATAAGGTCTTGCTATGTTACTTGGGCCAGTCTCAAATCCTGGTCTCAAATGATCCTCCACCTTGGCCTCCCAAAGTGCTGAGATTACAAGTGTGAGCCATCATACCTAGGTGTGACTTGTTAATTCAGTTATTCTTCAGCTCCAGAATTTCTGTTGGGTTCTTTTTTACAGTTTCTATTTGATTGCTGATATATTCTCTTTCTGTTCATGCATTGTTTTCCTCATTTTATTTAGTTGCCTGTGACCTCTTATAGCTCACTGAGCTTTTTAAAGACAGTTATTTGAATTCTCTGTCAGGCAATTCACAGATCTTCATTTCTTTTGGGTCAGCTTCTGAAGAATTATTGTGTTTCTTTGCTTGGGCCATTTTTCCTTGTTTTTTTTTGTTTTTTTTTTTCAGATGCCCTTTTGTTTTTTGCTGGCATTTGGGCATCTGAAAAACAGCCATCTCTCTGTCATTACAGACTAGCTTTATACAAGGAAGGCCTTCACCAATCAGCCCAGTTAGAGAATCAGAGAGTCTCTCAAATCTTTTCTGGTAGTGTGTCTTCTCTGGGATTATGCATCTAATTTCCCGATTAAAAAGGCTTGCCAGCTTCTTTTTTAGGAGATTGTAATTTCTTTCTGCCTCTGGTATCTGTCTGCCGTACTGCAAGTTCTCTGGTGCTGCTACAAGCTGACAAGCTCTTAATTATTCTCAGCACTCCCTAGGCATTTAAAGTATATCCTTTAAGTTCACATGCCCTCTAATTTAGAAAAGGCAGAAACTAGTCCCTCAGGCGGTCCTCTGAAAAGACAGAAAGTTAGATGTATACATTCTACTTTCTCTTTCCCTCTCAAGGTGGCATGAGAAAGGTCCCTATGACCCCAGCTTCTCTGATGGCTGTTCTTTATTCACTTTGGTGCAGACTCCCTGGCTCAGTCCTTTCCTTTGTGGGGTCAAATCTGACATTGGGCCTTCTTTGAGGCTCCTTTGAGAGTACCTGCCTTTACCTTGGTACTATCCTCAGAAGTTCTGGCAACTTCTCTTATTTTCCAGTGTTGTTTCTTTTAGAATACATCTTTCTGTCATTTCAGGGGACCTTTGGGAGGTAGAAGAAGTAGATGTACATGCTTGGTCTGCCATCTTAAAATGAAAATCCCTGAGGTTGTTTTCTTAAGAGCCTAATTCCATAACATTTTTTTCAATCTCTGCTCCATTAATCATTTTTATTAATTTGCATTTGGCATGTAATTTGTCTAGTAATCAGCAGAGGATACCTTTTTCAGGGCACTCCTTTTGTTCAGTCGTGGCTGCCATCTGAATGGAGACAGGTAACTCTGCATACATACCATTGTAGGAATCAGATCTGCTTTTCAGAATTCTAAGAATTCAACTCTAATTTGCATTTTCTGTTTCATTAGAGACAGGGTTGGGGACATATTACTACAAAACACAGCTACTACTATGGATCATATCATAAGTTTTCTAGTTTTTGCAAAATAAAATGGTTCTGCTGGCTCTCCTTGCAGCTGGCATGAGAGTCCTAGGGTTTGACAACCCTGCAGTGACCAAAGGTGAGCAATGTGCTAATAGCAGAGCGGGCAGTACTTTACTGCTGGCACTGGAAAACATTTAGCTTCTGAGTGCTAATTTTCTCTGGTCCTGTTACTTTTTTTCCCTTTCCCAACTCAGACACCCTATAATCACTTTTTAAGGCATATTTTTGTGGGGAGCCAACTTCTTTGTATTTGCTAGTTTTAAAATTCTGCCCGTCTCCTCACCCTACCCTCCCCCCACCTTCACTGTTCTTCTCCTTTACTTTGTTTAGGATATAATTTTGTGAGTTTTACTGTAAAAGAAGATTGTTGATGAAGAATCACAATTCTGGTGCATAAAATGTCTTCTTTTTTCATAGACAGGCTCCTTCCACCCCTCTGTTCATTTTGAGTGTTTTTCTTCAAATATGAATAGATTCCTATTTTATCTTATTTTCTTTTATTTAAACAAGAAAAAATGATGAAAATGCTTTTTGTGGTTTTTTTTCTTTCTCAGATTAGTTAGCATAAAGCAGTTCCCAGCCTTGAAACAGAGTGGCTGTATGGAAAATGTAAATAATATCCAAAAAATTGACCTTTTGAAACACGAGGCTATAAATGTTATTTAGGCTTCCAGGCTACAACACAAAAGCTTCCTTAATGATGCTTAACTTGAATTCTGGATCCTGGGTAAGAGAAACCCTAAGAAAGTTGGGGTAGAGGTGGGGAAGGTCTAATATATCCTTTCCTGACCATAGAGACAATATTGGCTCCTTTCTGCTTCTCTTTACACCTCTTCCTTGAAGCAGGTCCCCTGCTGTTGAAGCTGATTCTATCTCTGCTGTGTTGTCTTCCCACCTCACTCACAAGTATTCATTGTTATTTGCCTAGGGGTAGGGGTAGGGGTGGAGGATAGCAAGAAATAACTTGCTAGCAACAGCTAATTAAAGTAATTAACCAATATCTGTGAATGGTTGATGCTCCTTAACCTTCCCACTGATGCTTTCACTTTTAATAGAAAATGTGTATTAAAGCAAATAAACCTATAATTGGTGAAATTTCTGGTAGTTTGGCAAAGTGGGGAGAAAATCAGTATGACAGATTAGAGAAGGTTAGGAAGTAGTTGATGAAGGCTTCCATCTGAGCACTCTGGCCCTGCATAAGTACTTTCCACATATTTGCAGAATGAATGAATACAAAGTGATCACTTTGCCCAGCTTTTTTTTTTTTTTTTCTGAGATGGAGTCTCGCTCTGTCACCCAGGCTGGAGTGCAGTGGCACGATCTCAGCTCACTGAAACCTCCGCCTTCCAAGTGCAAGCAATTCCCCTGCCTCAACCTCCCAAGTAGCTGGGATTACAGATGTCTGCCACCATGCCTGGCTAATTTTTGTATTTCTAGTGGAGATGGGGTTTCCCCAAGTTGTCCAGGCTGGTCTTGAACTCCTGACCTCAAGTGATCCACCCACCTCAGCCTCTCAAAGTGCTGGGATTACAGGCGTGAGCCACTGCACCCAGCCCACTTTGCCCAGCTTCTTATATTCTTGGACTTCAGTTTAAAAAGCCACATTCTCTGAACTGCAGATTGTCTGGCTTTGTCTGTTTACTGGGCAAATGAGCAATCAGGACGAGGTGAGTTTAGGAGCGTGGCAGGGCATATGTAATTCATTTATAGGAATCCCTGTGTTCTTTTTTATATAAGTTTTTCCCCCATATAAAAGTAATTCATGTCCATTAAAGAGTAAAGATAGACTGCCTATAGTGCCACCATCTAAAGAAAACCATTGTGAAGATGCTATATTTTTTGGAAAATAAACTGTAGAGAATTACTCATAAAAGCATGTTGCTATGCAAATGTTTAAAATGGCATCCTGTTTTGATTAATATTGTCTAATCAATACCAACTTTTTTCAATTCATGAGAATTTTGTGAACAGTTCGCATGGAAACCACAGCAGCAAAATCTGGGCAGCCTTGTTCTGTTACCTACTTGTTCTGTTACCTGTTAGCCAGTCCTGGTTCCCAAACGAGAGTTTACACCTTCCAGATGCCTTACATCCAAGGGAAGCATGTCCTTCCTCAGCAGGATATTTTGTTTTTTTCATTCCTGCCAAGGCTCTGAGGAAGAGGAAATGGGTACAGATTTATTAGGAGAGATGGAAAGGGGCCATGACTTTGTCATGTCATGTAGGGCTCTGGCAACTTAAGCCCACACAGACTCTGAAATACATGGAAGATTTATTTTTATCTACTAATTTGTGTACTTCTTGTCTGATATTTCCACTGAAGAGATTGTCTTGTATAAAATTATATCTCAGTACTCTAATGGAATGAAATAACAGTACAGCATAGCCTTTTCTGAATTATTCATGTATTCTTTGGAGATTATATCCAGGTTTTTATTAATTCAGTTAGTTCAGAATTTCAACATAGGGTATCATCTGGTCCATGCTGTATTATCTACTTGTTTTCCTACTCTAGACCCTTAATCAGTATCTTCCAGTGTCATCTTTGGTCATGGCAGTCACATTTACATGAAGGCTGTCTGTCCCTGGTCTATTCTTTGTCTCTTGTTAATACCAGCCACTGCTTAGCCTGTCCTGGGGTTCTGCTGGTTTTCAAGTCTTCTGATTAAATTATTGCTTGTTCTGGCATCATGCTGATTTCCTTCACTATTTCATGCTTCTCCCAGGAGATATCTGCTTGTTATTTATCCCTCATTTCTCCTTTTGGAAATATCACAGTAAGAAATTCATTTAATTTTTTTCAACTGTCCTTTTTCTGTCAATAATTCAATGCAACATTTCTTAAAGGCTGTTCCATCTCTCTCATTGATTTTCTTAATGCCTTTTAATTATTTCTTTTAAAATTCACAACTTTTAATATTTAGTAACTCATGCTGTCACCACAGAGGCAGCTTTATCCTTTGATCACTTAGATTTCTGTGGGTGTTGATTCTGGATCACAAGATGATCTGGATTCGGAGAAGTATCAGTAGGTTGAGCCTATACATCTGAACAGCGGGATTACCAAGGGAAGCAATACCATTGGCTTAATTATACATCTCATATCATTATGTTATAGAGGACTTCTTTATGATGCTTGTGTGAGAAGGAAAAATAATAGCCAGGTTTTAAGTTTTCCATATTATAATGTCTGTGTACTTACCATATATGGAGTCAGCAGCATAAAGTTACAATCATTGAATTAATCTTTATTTATTATCACATCATAAAAGAAAATGCACCAAATGCTATGGGATTAGAGGATTCATGACACCTTATTTTTAAGATACATGTACGTTTCATGTAACTCAAACTGAAGTGCAGCACAGGGACATTGGGCAGAGAGTGGAGTGACAACAAATATTGTATACTAAGATGCGTTTCTAGAAAAGAGTTTGTGGAAGACTTCAGAATAAGCCATTTTTCTATAAAACATTGAGGGTACCCTTACGGTATCAGTTTACAGGAATACCTGGTTTTAAAAAGAATAAAGTTGGCTGGGTGTGGTCGCTCAACACCTGTAATCCCGGCACTTTGGGAGGCCAAGGTGGGTGGATCACCTGAGGTCAGGAGTTTGAGACCAGTCTGACCAACATGGTGAAACCCCCGTCTCTACTAAAAAATACAAAAAAAATTAGTTAGGTGTGATGGTGCACTCGGGAGGCTGAGGCAGGAGAATCACTTGAAACTGGGAGGCAGAGGTTACAGTGAGCCAAGATCGTGCCACTGCACTCCTCTAGCCTGGGCAACAGAATGAAACTCGGTCTCAAAAAAAAAAAAAAAAAAAAAAAAAAAAAAGAATTAAGCAAAGTCAGTAATTACTGAATGTACCACAACAGGGTGGACTCACTCAGTACAACTCATGGGCCTGCTTGGTCTTTGATACTTCACAGGCCAATACTTAGAAATTACCCAAGATTAATATAAATAATCCTAGATTGCTTAGATATCAATTTATTTCCTTGCATATATGGTCTGATGTATCACATCAACATGTACTCTTTCTTGTTTTCAGCACGCACTCCTGGCTTTAAAGTTTATACTTGCATTTGCCATACCTGATAAGCCACGGCATATCCAGATGAAACTAGCCAGACTGGAATTTGAGTCTTTGGAGGCACTCAAGCAGCAGGTGAGAGCAGCTGTCCTGAAAATGTATGTATTGCTTTAGCAAATGACAGGAAAAATAATTCAGAAGAATCAGTCTCAGCATTTTTTTCAGCCTTGAAGTTACCAGTTTAAATGAATACAGAGGACTCCAGTTCAGGATGACATAACAAAACCAAAATCCTAACAATATGAGCAACAAATAGGTTTAAATAACTAAACTAAAGAAACAAAAATATTCAGGCAATGTTAAATAAAGAATAGAGCTAGCATTCAGCAAAAGAACAAGACAGACATCTAAGAATCAACCTGGGGCAGCTCCCCACAGCTTCCAGTTTTGCCATCTACTGAAACATTAAGTGAGGAGAAGTGAATGAATAAAATCCTGAATAATAGCTTTCAGAGAGCGAGACAGAATGAGATCAGGTGTGTAGAAGCAGCAAAATTGCCCTGAAAGGAGAAACTGTGCCTCAGTGACTTCCACATTCTACCAGAGACTACAAAAAAAAAAAAAAAAAGCCATGCTGGAGTTGACCATTTTGGTGATTTTCTGCTTGTAGGAGAGTGGGAGTAGACAGAAGATCCCTAGACACCTGGAGTATCTCTCACTTGTTATCTTTAGTGCTGCATAGGAATTTAAGAAATGAGAGAATCAGTAAGGCATTGCCATCTGAGGGGACAAGCTCTGGGCAGAACCTCCTGGACACATACTCCTTCTTTGGCCTCCAAACCACTATGCATAGAAATATTTCTTCTTACATTTGGGGAGTGGGGAGAAAAAAAGAACGTGAAGAGGACCCACCTAAGATGACCCTTTGATCAAAGCCTGAGGGCTCCAAGGGTAGTGCGCCGGACAGGAGAACCCCACATCAAACCAATACTTGCCCTGATGAGGCAGGGTGACTCCAGAAGAGGACTTGTGATAAGAATGTGGAAAAGAGGATGAACCCAGGCCCACTAGCCATAGCTGTGCTCATGTTTGCCACACAGTAGGTGACAAGACTAAGTTACCTGCATTCCTAGAGGTTGGGCAAGTTCACTTTTGGCATGTGGGCTAGCCAGTGTGTCTATATGGTAAACCGGAACCCAGCATCATGCCCAATAATGAAACTCCAGAGCATTCCCAGCAATGGCAGAAAATCCATCATCATCACTGACAGCTAGCATTCTTCTAGAGGTACTAACCAAAGCAGTTGTATAAGAGGAAGAGATAAGTTCAAGTAGAAGAGGCAAGATTATCATTACTTGAAAATCAGAGGATTAGGCTGGGTGCAGTGGCTCACACCTGTAATCCCAGCACTTTGGGAGGCTGAGGTGGGTAGATCCCTTGAGCCCAGGAGTTTAAGACCAACCTGGGCAACGTGGTGAAATCCCGTCTCTACAAAAAATACAAAAATTAGCCAGGCATGGTGGTGCACGCTTGTAGTAACAGCTACTTGGGAGGCTGAGCTGGGAGAATTGCTTGAGCCTAGAAGGTCAAGGCTGTAATGAGCCATGATCATGCCACTGCACTCCCGCCTGGGTAACAGAGTGAGACCTTGTCTCAAAAAAAAAAAAAGAAAAGAAAATTAGAGGATTATATAGCTAAAAATAAATTATTAAAAATAAAAAAATTTGGTAAGGAAGCAAGTTACAAAGTTTATCTAAAATCGTGTTTCTTTTCACAAGAAATAATCAGTTTGAAAATATTTTTGATGAAAAATTCACATTTACAGAAGAAACCAAAATGTAAAAACTTAGGTGGTAATTTATGGAAACAATATAGATAACTTATAGAACAATTTTTTTTAAACTTTACTGGGATCAAAAGATTCAATCTTGTAAATATCCAATACCAATTCAAATATATCAAAATAAACATCTGAGAATAGCAAGGAAACTTCTGATAAAGAAGAAAAATGGGGACTCTCACTCTTGTCAGATATTAAAATGTATTCTGAATAGTACAATAATTATAATTAAATACATTTTAAATTAGGGAAGAAATGGAAAAATCAGTGGAATAGAGAGCATTGAGTCCATAAATGGGCCCAAATAAAACTGGGGATTTCATTTATGGTAAAAGTGATATTTTATGTCAATGGAAAAAAGAAGGATTATTTGTTACACAGTTTGATGGCAAACAGCTGTTTGGGAAAATTATTATACTTTATTTTAACTCATTCCTTATGAACCTCCCCACCACCACAAAATTCAAGGTTGACAGATTTAAATGTAAAAAATGTAAACCATAAGAAGTCTATTAAAAGTCTGGGTGTATCTTTTAGTGGGAAATGCCTTCCTAATCAAGACACAAAACCCAAAAATCATTAAAAAAAAAAAGATAAAGTAAAATACATGAAAAATGAAAACTTCTGTATGACAAAAAATAAGCAAACTCAAAAGATAAATTGGACAAACTGGAAAAATATTTTCATATATAACAAAGTCAATATCTTTAATTCAAAAAATAATTTCCACAAATCTATAAAAAATGACAGTCCAGTAATGAAAGGAAAGCATATGAAGAGATGCTCAACCTCATTCAAAATGAAAGAAATATAAATTTAAACACCAGTGAAATACCACATTTCGCATGTTCTATTGGATTATGTCATGATAGCCTGTCCTCACTGGATTTGGGAAATGGACATTCTTTTATATATAACTGACAGAAGTGTAAATTGGTTCAGTCTTCCTCGAATTGCAGTTGAATTTAATTTCAATTACTCTCCAACACCAAACAAACCTTACTAGGGTAATGGTTGTATCTGAAAAGAGTACCAAAATTTAGTCATTGAAACATTTTTATTAGCAAAAATCTGGAGATAACTAAATTCCTCAATAGGAGAATGGTTAAGTAAATTATTGTATATCTATACAATAAAATTCCAGTAACCTGCTTTTTTAAAAAAGATCTGTCTATGCTTATGCATGCACATACACACTGCCTACATTTTTGCAGCTATTGAATTTATGACTAAAAGATTTTAGGTGTCAGTTTAAAAATGCGTGAGAGGGCATAAAGCATCTAAAAACTTTATGAGGTATGTAAGAAAAAAAGCTGAATGTACAGCCTTGTCTCTGGAAGAGTTTTAGTTAATCAGATTTCTCCATTGATTGCATTTCTGGTGACATTTTGTAGATGGGGGCAGGCAACTTCCTGGCTGGTGCATACATATCTTAACTCCAGGTCTAGGAAGAATCATGCTTCATGTTACTCAGGATTTCGTGGTATATCTATACAGTAAATTTTATGGTCTGTATATACCATAAAATTCCATGAATTTGCTTTTTTAAAAAAGATATTTTGAAAAAATCACTCAGGATTTCATGTTACTACTTGTTTGTCTAAAAAGGAAAGGATTCTTCTTGAGAGAATGAAATTATACCTCATTCCCTATGAACCTCCCTCACCACCACCAAATTCAACATATTATTAGTATGTCTCATGTTACTAAATACATTTACCTAAAACTCCAAATGCAGGAGTGTTATATTTGCCATTGAGGGTGTCATGGATATGTGTTTACTATGGATATGGCTAAATGACCTCTCAAGTCATCTTAGCTCTTAGATTCCCATATCTTCAGGTACACTTTACCTGACAGTGAGGCAAAGCTCTAATTCCAAATTTATTTATGCTCATCTTCTTTGAGAAATGAAACACTGACCAAAATCCTCTCTCATACAAGTTGAGTATCCTTTATCCAAAGTGCTTAGGACCAGAAGTGTTTTAGATTTTGGATTTTTTTTTTCAGATTTTTGAATAGTTGCATTGTATTTACTGCTGAGCCTTCCTAATGGGAAAATCTGAAATCTGAAATGCTTCAATGACTTTTTTTTTTTTTTTTTTTTTTGCATTCACAAAGTTTCAGGATTTTGGGGTATTTCAGATTTTCAGATTAGGGATGCTCAACCTGTATTACTTAAAAAGAAGAAGAAAAATCTAAAATATGTTATGTCTCTTTGAGATTTTTTTCCCCTGAGGACATAGATCTGATTCTCTGGTTAAAACCACCTTGTAAGAAAAGGTGATTCTGAAGGGACAGATGTCTAACAGGTTCCATTCAGTATACTTATTGAATGCTTTCTAATAGAACGTTCATAGCTTGCCCTGAAGGTGATTTTTAAATTTGTACATGTGCAGCTCTAATGTCTCTGATCCATCAAGTGGGCAGACAGCAATGATGAGTGTTGTCAGGCTCTCTTAGGGCCTTGCAAACCCAGAAGAAGTATTCTCCCTCCCTGTCTCCACTAAATTTTTTTCTTTTAATTATCAATCTGAGAATTAAAGGTTCAGGGTTGGCTGGGTGTGGTGGTTCACGCCTGTAATCCCAGCACTTTGGGAGACCGAGGTGGGTGGATCAGTTGAGGTCAGGAGTTCGAGACCAGCCCAGCCAACATGGTGAAACCCTGTCTCTACTAAAAATACAAAAATTAGCTGGGTATGGTGGCACACACCTGTAATCCCAGCTACTCGGGAGGCTGAGGCACGAGAATCGCTTGAATCTCGAAGGTGGAGGTTGCAGTGAGCCAAGATCACGCCTCTGCACTCCAGGCTGAGTGACAGAGTGAGACTCTGTCTCAAAAAAAAAAAGGTTCAGGGTAAAAGTTGGACCAAAGATATCGTATGTAACAACCGCCTCTCACTCTCTTTTGCTGACTCAAGGCTTTGCTGCATGGTTGACACTGCTACATGGGCCACCCAAGTTTATGCCACCAACCAGGAGAGACAAACATTTTCATCACAATTCCTGTTTAGTCTCACTGCCCAGGAGGTCCTATAAGGTACAAAAGGTTACCTCCTTTTCAGAAACTCAAAAAATTAACTGGCCATGACTTCAGTTCACTTGCTGAACTAGTGCCATTTCTAGGATGGAGAATAGATTTCTCATTTTTCTTTAATCTGACATTTAACTATCTGCTTTGTAACTATGAGTAGCCTCAACTCACTGGGCTCCTCCCACGTAACAAAAGCAGAGAGAGCTTCTGTCAGGTAACCTGGTCAGTTTGTGGGACCAGATCAGAAATTGAGTTATTGAAAACATATTTGGGTGAAGTCTCACTATTAAGTGACCAGATATTGATAGTAAGCTTATCAGTAGAAATTATTACTTATGGATAGTTATTATGTTTAATTTATACCTTAATTGCTACTTTTCAACTCAAGTCTCATTTTATGGGCAAAATATGATTGAGAAATTTGACAGTCCTTAAATAGGGTTGTGCATTTTACATGTAAACCCTTGTGAAAAACACATGTACTTAGACCCTATGCCCTGAAGATTCTTCTTCCCTAAATCGAAGGTGGCGCCCAGGGACTTACATTTTTTTTAAAATGCTCCTGTGTCTCCACCCCACTTTTATCAATCCCCACCCCCCAGCAAAAATAGATTCCCAAGCATGGCCAGGTGAGTGCCAAGAACAAGCAAGTTTGAGGCCACCTTGTGCCACCTGTGGACAAGTCAGGTGGCCTCTTCGCACCTCAGTTTTTTATTTTTATATATTTTTTTTTCATAAAATGAAAGACTGGATTCCCCAGTCTATGGGAAGGCCCAAGAAATCTCCTTTTTAAACCAGCACATCAAGTGATTCTAATTCAGGGTCCTTGGATCCCATTTGGAGACATGCTCTGTGGATTCAGTTATTCTTCTCAGCTTGTGACAGGAGGAGTGGTGGTGGATTGCTGAAATGAATGTGGGAAGGAAATGTACTGAAAACAGATCTTTTTTGGTACAAATAGGAAGCTATGTGTGTTTCTAAATATATAGGCAAATTAGACATACTTGAAGGTGGGAGGCAAACTGAGGAAAATAAAATAGTTTACTTTGCATAGGGCATTTTCAAATGATTAGGCTTTATTTGGCTGAAACCTTTACAAAGAATTGTAGACAGTAAATATCATCCTAGTGATGCCCTTTTATTTCTCTTCAAATTGATTTATTCATCTCTCAGTCATTTTAAGATCCAATTAAAAATAGAAAGGATTCTAATGCAGGAACCATTTGATAACTCCGTGGCCTGGAGCACAAGGACAACATCCACTTAACCTGCTTCTGGGCAGTCAGCCCTCCTGGGAGCCCAGAACACACAGAAGCCAGGGAGCAGGGCTGGCTGCCTAGAGCCTTTGAGAAAGAAAACAGCCTCAGGAATCAGTTAAATGAACAAGAGAAGGACTTTAAGGAGACACTACTAATTATAGCTCTCAGGGGCCTCAAATTAGGTGTAGGACCCTTAACTAGACAGGCCAACTGGGCCAGGCCTTATCAAATAATGTCTTTGTTTTTTAGAGTTAAGTGTATTTAAATTAATTTATGTTAATGGAAAAACCAAACTCTGTAAGATATTTAAAGAGGTTTATTCTAAGCCAATATGAGTGACCATAGTCCCAGGGAACAGTCTCGAGGTCCTGAGAAAGTGCCCAAGGCAGTCACGTTACAGTTTGGTTTCATTATGCATTTTAGGGAGACAGAAGTTACAGAGAAAGACATAAATAAATACATGTGAGGTATACATTGATGCGATGTGAAAGGTGTGGAGGCGGGGGAGGGATGGGCTTACAGGTCATAGGTGGATTCAAATTGGCAATTGGTTGAAAGAGTCAAGCTTTGTCTAAAGACCTGGAGGCAGTAGAAGGAAATGCCTGAGTTAAGATAAAGGGGTTTGTGGAAGCCAAGGTTCTTGTTGGGTAGATGGTAGCACCCTTCAGAGGGGATACATGGTAAATGTTTCTTCAGACCTTAAGAGGTATCAGACTCTTGGTTCATCTCTCCTAGATCCAGGAAAGGACTGGCTGTATTAATGGATATTCTCTACAGACGCAGATTTCCCCCACAAGAGATAGTATTGTGGAACCATTTCAAAATACGTCAAAGAAATATATTGTGGGGTAAAATATTTGATTTCCTTTGGGGTCTGCTATCTGTCATGTGATGCTGTACTGCAGCCAGGTTGCAATTTGTTATCTTACTGCCACAAAGGGTCTGTTTTGACAGTCTAATGATCTCTATTTTAATGTTAATGCTGGTGGTAGTCATTTGTACCTAAACTCCAAAAGGGAGAATGTATAATGAGGCCTGCCAACCTCCCTGTCATGGCTGAGAATTCAGCTTTCCAGGATTCTCTGAGGTCCCTTTGGCCCAGGGGAGGGGGTCCGTTCTGTTAGTTGAGCAGCTTAGGATTTTATTTTTGGTTTATATTTAAGTATTCAGTGTTAAATTAGGTTAAATATTAACCTAATTTAATAGGTTTTTTTCAACATTTCGTAAGAACTTCTGAACTTCTTCCCCCCGCTCCATTTGTGCTCTCAAGTTAAGGTAAATAGAGGCTGGGCACAGTGGCTCATGTCTGTAATCCTAGCACTTTAGGAGACCAAGGCAGACAGATAGCTTGAGACCAGCCTGGGCAACATGGCAAGACCTCATCTCTATTTAAAAAAAAAAAAAAAAAAAAAGTTACAGTAAATACATAAGCATTTTTAATGGAAACTGTAAAATTTTACAGCCTAGAATTAAGGTGCTAAAGTATTTGACTATTGAATAGGTAATCACATATTAATCTGCTAACATCTAGTTCAGAATGAAATGTTAAATCCAAATACAGAATTAGCCTCTAACAAAGCCAATAGCCACAGTCCTTAGGAAGGGGTGGTCTACTTCCTGGGGCCCCAAGTCAGGTCTAGGCCCAGTAAAAAGTACCAAAGTTTATGGTATATCTATCATTTGGGTGGCCTGTCTGAGCCTGCCTCTCCCTTTCTTCTTTCACTGGAAGGTTTGTCTTCCAGCCCTGTCACCACCCAAAGGGTTCATTTCGCCCGCTGCCCAGATAGAGCCAATTTATCAAGACAGGAGAATTGCACTAGAGAACTAGTTTAATTCATGCAGAGCAGGTTGAACATGAGAGCAGTTTTATTATTACTCAAATCAGTCTCCCCAAAAATTCAGACTAGAGTTTTTCAAGGATAGTTTGGTGGGTAGGGGGCCAGGGAATGGGGAGTACCGACTAATTGGATCAGAGGTGAAATCACAGTGAGTCAAAGCTGTCTTCTTCAGCTGAGTCAGTTCCTGGGTGAGGGCCACAGGACTGGTTGGTGAATCTGGTGGAGCCATCAGTCCTCAGAAATGCAAAAACTGGAAAAGAGATTTTAAAAGACCGATCTTAGATTCTACATGTTATCTGCAGGAGTAACTGGGGAAGTTGCAAGTCTTGTGGCTAATTTGTTAGTTTTATAAAGGTGGTCTGGCTCCCAGGCAAGAAAGGAGTTTGTTTCAGGAAAGGACTGTTAATCATCTTTGTTTCAAAGTTAAACTATAAACTAAGTTTCTTCCAAAGTTAGTTCGGCCTTTGCCTAGGAATGAGCAAGGGCAGCTAGCTTAGAGGTTGGAAGCAAGATGGAGTTGGTTAGATCAGATCCCTTTCAGTGTCATAACTTTCTCACTGCAACGATTTTTGCAAAGGAGGTTTCAGCCCTGTGTAGCTGCAGAGAAGTGACTTGACCTTCCTGTATTAGAGTCCCCCCAACACTCAAATGGGGCAAAGTCAGAATGAGGCTGGAATGAGGCAATGTGAGTAAGACCCATTATGGAGCAGTGTGTTGGGGGAATGAGGATGATGAGGGAGGAGGAGGACCAACTCATGCATTCGCTGGGTGAACCCAGCAAGGAATTCTAGGATAAAATGGTACCGTAACATCAGATTTGCCTGGAGAGTCAGAATTCTACCTTTGTGGCAATCCCACCTATTTTCATGACCTAACACAGCTGGGCTGTAATAACAATGAGGTAGTAACAGCTGACATGTAGTGTGTGAGAACATGAGCCAGGCACTGTTCTAAACCTTTTGCATGTGCCAGTGTCTCTTCAGAACAGCTCTCCACGGTAGGGTCTGTTAGCCATTTGCAGGTAATTTTTTGCACAGTAAATTTCTCTCCAATTGATAAAATGATAACCTCCTTTAAAGATGATTAATGCACAAATAAATACTGGCTCCTTTGCACCTTTTGGGTCTAGCAAGATTCCCAAGCACTCCTACTTTGTAACTCTGACCACCAGTATACCTGCCCTCTGCAGTCAGCTTCACAGACCCCACCTCCTGGAGAAAGCCTTCTTCCCATTGTGTAACAGGAGCCTGGTGCCCATTTCTGTTCATTTGCCCCACTATAGTTTGTTCTGTTTCAGTCTCCCTTGTGAGCTGCGAGGTCCCCGAGGGCCAGGTGATGACTCACTCACTGCTGAGTCCCCTCACCCAGCATAGGGCCTGGCGCCCAATAGACTCTGAATAAATATCCACTTAATCAAACTGAGTTTGTTGACTCACATGTAATTCACAAGCCAATATATTAAATAAATAAGGACAAATGATGTCCTTGGACAAAAAAAAGAGTCTTAAAATAGATACTCTGGCAGAAATGGAAACAGGTCATGTGCCTTTCTGGGATCACTGGGGAAGAGAATGCATTCTGAAGAATTGTATGTGGACACTTTAGAAGGACCACATACCTTGCCTTGATAAAGCTCAAATCCTTTTTTTTTTTTTTCCAAAAAAAATCTGACTGTGATTGACATCAGTAACAAGAGTAGCTCCCCAAGATTGTAAAATAACCCCAAATCACGCAAGAAAGAATTCTAAAATAGTTTGTACTTTGCACTTGTACTTGTTAGCTAGAAAACTAATTCAGGCTCTGGAGCAATCCTCCTTTTATCACTGATGGGTAGACTTTTTCCTCCTGTATTTTATGTTTTCACTAGAGAAAAATTTCTTTAAAGTGCACAGAGGCATCCAGACAGTAAAATAAAACTACAGCTCTTCTGATCGTTGTCTTCCTCAGTAAACAATGTATGTAAGTGACTACTTATCTCATTGGTTTGCTAAGCAAACTGTAAAATTTATATATCTTAATATTCCCCGTAGATGTGAGAAACATGGCCAAATCATAGGCAGATTTATTTTTTCTTATGAAAACTACTGAATAGGCTGTGAAATGGAATAAAATTTACCATTTTTCAAGTCACCCCATTGATAGATTGGAAGCAATGTGGTAAGAGGGGGCCTGGAGGCACAGGTCCATTCCACAGAGAAAGGCCTTGGGGCCACTATGCTGTAGAAGTGATGGCTGTGTGCTTGGGACCATTTTCACAGATGTCATTCAAATGTATTTGCATTGGTAAAGAAAAAACTTGCCTCATAATAAATTCTAGAGATATCAGAATGCTTAAAACTATATTTAAAAACAACAAAAAAGGGTGGGCGCGGTGGCTAACACCTGTAATCCCAGCACTTTGGGAGGCTGAGGCAGGCGGACCACAAGGTCAGGAGTTTGAGACCAGCCTGACCAACATGGTGAAACCCCGTCTCTACTGAAAATACAAAAATTAGCCGGGCATGGTGGCACGCACCTGTAATCCCAGCTACTCAGGAGGCTGAGGCAGGAGAGTCGCTTGAACCCGTGAGGCAGAGGTTGCAATGAGCTGAGATCTCACCACTGCACTCCAGCCTGGGCGACAGAGCGAGACTCCATCTCAAAAAACAACAATAGCAACAACAACAAAAAAGATGTATTCTTTTTTAAAGTTAGAGTTCCAATCTCATATTCTGTATTAGATTAATAATTGCATTGCCATGATGGTCAACATATGGGAGAGCAGCTCTTCTTTTGCAGGTAAATGCCTAGGATTGGCTTATGTATCCATTTATTTACTTTTTATTAAATATTTTAGGAAATTAAAAGATTATACTGTTAGATGAAAAAGTTATGAAGAGGGAGGTAGAGATTTTATGTTACACGTATTTTACCACAATAAAAAAACTTTTTTTTTTGGAGACATGGTCTTACTCCGTCACTCAGGCTGGAGTGCAGTGGCACGATCACAGCTCACTACAGCCTTGACCTTCCAGGCTCAAACAATCCTGCTTCCTCAGCCTACCAAGTAGCTGGAACTACCAGTGTTAGCCACCACACCTCTCTAATATTTTGTATTTTTCTGTATATTTATAGTAGAGACAGGGTCTTGCCATGTTGCCCAGGCTGGTTTCGAACTCCTGGGCTCAAGTGATCTGCCCACCTGGGCCTCCTAAAGTGCTGGGATTACAGGTATGAGCCACCATGCCCAGTTCTTTTCTTTTCTTTATTTTTTGAGACAGGATGTCACTTTGTCACCCAGGCTGGAATGCAGTGGAATGCATGCTCACTGCAGCCTCGACCTCCCAGGCTCAAATGATCTTCCTGCCTCAGTCCCCCAAGTAGCTAGGACTATAGGTGTGCACCACCATGCCCAGCTAATTATTATTTTTATTTTTTGTAGAAACAAAGTTTCACCATGTTCCCCAGGCTGGTCTAGATCTTCTGAGCTCAAGCAATTCACCCACATTGGCCTTCCAAAGTGCTGGGATTACAAGTGTGAGCCACCGCTCCCAGCCCTGGCCAGTTCTTTTCTTGAGACAGTCTTGCTCTGTCATCTACCCTGGAGTGTGGTGGCGCAATCTGGGTTCCCTGCAACTTCCACCTCCTGGGTTCAAGCAATTCTCCCACCTCAGCCTCCCGAGTAGCTGGGACTACAGGTGTGTGCCTCCATGCCCAGCTAATTTTTGTATTTTTAGTAGAGACAGGGTTTCGCCATGTTGGCCAGGCTGGTCTCAAACTCTTGACCTCAAGTGATGCATCCATTTTGGCCTCCCAAAGTGCTGGGATTACAGGTGTGAGCCACCGTGCTTGGCCCCTGGCCAATTCTTTTTAAAAGATTATACTGTTGGCATCATCGAATTTAAAGATACTGGTCTATGACTACCAGACAAGAAGCTTTTTGGAAGCAGGATTACTCCAGAAATGTAGATTTATAATCGTTGAATGAAATAGTCATTAATTAAGTGAACATCATTAAGGTCAAAGCCCCATCCCTTTGTGCCTTTTTTCAACTATTAAGTGCTAATCCTTTGACTTTGAAATTATCCTGTGTGTGTTATAGTTGGGTATTAGATTCAGGAAACCATTATTAAATATTTAATATACTTTCCTACACCAAAAGTGTAGGAAACCACACTTAAAAAAAAACTTTGTTTTTAATTACTAGTAAACTGCTAAAATAGGAAATTTTTTGTTTACTGTAACAAACAGTATTCCTTTCCTTTCCTTTCTTTTTCCTTTTCTTTTTCTTTGTCTTTTTCCTTTGCTTTTGCTTTTTGTTTTTGTTTTTCTTTTTCTTTTTTGAGACAGGGTCTGGCTCTGTTGCCCAGGCTGGAGTACAGTAGCATGTTCACAGCTCACTGCAACCTGCAACCTGCACCTCCTGGGCTCAAGCTATCCTCACACCTCAGCCTCCTGAGTATCTGGGACTACAGGTGTGCGCCACCATGAAGGGCTAATTTTTGTATTTTTTGTAGAGACAGGGTTTCATCATGTTGCCCAGGCTGGTCTCAAACTCCTGGGCTCAAGCAATCCACCCTCCTCAGCCTCTCAAAGTGTTGGGATTACTGGCGTGAGCCACTGTGCCCAGCATATTTTTTACTTGATTTCCAATGCTATAGGATCTCAAGAATATGACTGAATATTATATTATGTAATAAACATAGAGAAACTGGGCTGAAATATATTAGTGATTGATAGGCTAGGAAATTTAGACTTTTAAAGTAAAGCCCTAAGAACAACATGTTTGCTCATTTGTTTCTTTCTCTTAAGAATAGAATGTAGAAAACAAGAAATGTTTGGATTTAAGAACTCTTTTAAATACTACCTAAAGGAAAATAATCACTTCATAAAGAAATAATGCTTATGAGAACATAAATAGTAATATAGTGAACCCATATGTAACTCAAAATGAAAATACAGATATTAAAATTCAGCAACAGCTGGGTGCAGTAGCTCACGCCTGTCATCCCAGCACTTTGGGAGGCCGAGGTGGGTGGATTGTTTGAGGTCAGGAGTTCAAGACCAGCCTGGCCAACATGGTGAAACCCCATCTCTACAAAAATACAAAGAATTAGCCAGCCATGGTGGTGCACAGCTGTAGTCCCAGCTACTGAGGAGGCTGAGGCAGGAGAATTGCTTGAACCCGGGAGGCGGAGGTTGCATTGAGCCAAGATCACACTCCAGCCTGGGCAACAGAGCAAGACTCCATCTCAAAAAAAAAAAAAAATGCAACAAATACTAATTGAATACATCTATGATTGAAACACAAAAATATATCAGAAGTTCTCTGCATCATATAATTGTCCAATGTTAGAGTTGAAAAATTCTATAGAAATGATCTTTTTAGGAATTCTGACTTTACAGATTAAGGAATGGATCTCCAGCTGTTGTTGTCAGCTTCTACGATGTTCTACAGTGATCCCTGCTGCCTAGTATTTATGCCCTTGTGGAGTCCTCTCCCACTTTGTATCTTGATTTTTCTGTGTGATCAGTAGAATACTGTAGAAATGACGTTATGTTTCTTCTGAGGCCAGGTCATTAAACAACATGATGGCTTCTGCCTTCTCCCTCTTGAATCACTCTTCCTCTTGCGAAGCTAGCTGCCATGTTGTGAGGACACTCAGCCAGCCAGTGTAGAAGCCTACAGGACTAGGAACATGGCTTATTGCCAACAACCATGGGAGCAAGTGATCTTGGAAACAGATTCTCTGGGCTAGGAGTTGGCAAACTTTTTCTGTAAAGGGCCAGATAATAAATACTTTAGGCACGTGGGCCATCCAGTCTCTATCACAGCTAATAGTTCTGCTGCTGTAATGCAAAAGCAGTCTTAGACATACGTAAATGAAAGAGCGTGGCTATGTTCCAGTAAACTTTGTTTACCGAACAGGCTGTAGGCCAGTTTTGGCTTAGGGACCTATTGCCATTCCCTTCTTTAGCCTTAGCTCTAAGCCTTTGAATGACTGCAGTTCCTGCCTACATCCTGACTATAGCTTTGTGAGAGACTCTGAGCCAGAGCCACCCAGCTGCTTCCAAATTCCTGACGCACAGGAAGTGTGAGATAATAAATGCTTGTTCTAAGCCACTAAGTTTTGGGATAATTTGTTACGCAGTAATAGATAACCAATGCATCAACAATCCAGGAAGGGAGGCTGGGTGACAGATGAACTGTTTGGCTATGAGTTAATCATTGTTGAAGCCAGGTGATGAGTAAGTTGGGGTTCATTATTCTCTCTACTTTTGTATAATAAAATGGAAAAAGAAAAGGAAATTGGTCACTAAGAAGGATATGTGATTTGTCTAAAATCAGACCCTCAGCACTTTGAAAAAGCCCATGCTGTACACCCAGGTCTCTGGCCCTAAAGTCCCATGTTCTCTTAGCTACCTCTCCCTGCATAAGTAACAACCAATAAAGATCTAGCCCTTTGGCTAAGTTTTCCTTCCAATTCTTTGTTTGTTTGTTTTGGTTTGGTTTTTGTTTTGAGACAGTCTCGCCCTGTCACCCAGGCTGGAGTGCAATGGCACTGTCTTGGCTCACTGCAACTTCTGCCTCCCAGTTTCAGACGATTCCCCTGCCTCAGCCTCCTGAGTAGCTGGGATTACAGGCACCTGCCACCACCCCCATCTAATTTTTTTATTTTTAGTAGAGATGGAGTTTCACCATGTTGCTCAGGCCAGTCTTTAACTCCTGACCTTGTGATCCGCCTGCCTCAGCCTCCCAAAGTGCTGGGATTACAGGCGTGAGCCACTGCGCCCGGCCTTCCTTACAATTCTTTACCACCTTAGTACCTCCAGTTTAACATCCAAGACAATTCTTTGGACTTTGATATCATTGCTGTTATCGAACCATCCTTGAGGCTCTTTAGACCATAGACTATAAGCTTAGAGCTGAGGGAGGGAGCCTTGGTGAGACATGTATGGAATTGAACCTCCATGTGACCTGAAATATAATATTTAACATTTATTTAATTTTGCCATTGATAGAGCACTAGCAGTCCACTATCTTTATTAATCCTCGCACAGCCTATAAGAATAGACCTGTCAGGTCGCAATATAGCAGTTTATGTTTGACTTTAAATAAAAGCACTATTGAAGCAGCTACATTGTGTGGGGTAAATACCTGGGGTTCGTCGTCTTGCACCAAGAAAATTTAGGACACGAACACACGCGAGGAGTTTAGGAGTGGAAGTTTAATGGGCAGAATAAAGAGAAAAAAAGAAAGGAAAACAGCTCTCTCTCTAGTAAGAGAGGGGACTTCCGAGAGGAAAAGAGCAACCGGTAGTGGATGCGCCGGACTTTGTAGTCCGGCTTGAGGAGGCAGTGTCTGATTTAAGTAGGGCTCACAGATTGGTTCAGTCAGGTGTGACGTTTACATAGCCGTGGGGAAGGCTGGTCGCCCCACCCTAATGTTATTATGCAAATAAACTTTCCCCTTGGCCAGCGCCATCTTGTCTCCTTCTTACTACACATGTGGTTGGCAGAGAACGGAAGATGGAGCCACCATTTTGAATATGCCTAGTCCCAGGTAGTTCTTTCCTTCTGGCATTCACCCGTGCAAGTTCCCAGCTTGCCTGTCTGTGTCTGCAGCTGGACTTTACAGGCTGCTCTTTGTTAGAAAATGATTTGGAGCTGCTTTTCATTAAAAGGAAAACCTTACTGAGGACTTCTGTACCCTATCTGCCTAAGTAATTTCTTCTTAACTCCTGTATCACTATGTGAAGGTGCCTAGCACAGCTTTGGGCACATGGGTTCTAAATTAGAGTTTACCTTCCTTTTAAAATCCTATTGAAATTGGAAATGACACCAGAAGGGTTTTTGTTGGCATAAATAAGTTAATGAGGCGATTGTTAGGTACACAGAGTGGATGTTTGAAATAACTCGTCTTTTGATCCATTGCATTGATCAAATGGACTTGCCTCCCCAGAATGGTTGATGATTGACAATAATCTCTAAACTTGGTTGGATTAAGAGGCTGGGAATGGATGGGGGATCCTGTGGATTTTCAGGGTAACCATGAAATCAGATTTGGTATTGGGTTCTGACTATGTCATGTTTTCTGGGTGTTTAACCAGATGTCCTTGGTAATTCCATTTACAAATGAGCTAAAATTATGTGAACAAGGCCTCACAAGTAAGTAGTGGGAGAGCAAAAAGCAGAATACCAGACCTGCTAAAATGCCACTGGACTATGAATTTCAGTTGACAAATACATCTTCTCCTCCTTTTCCTTTCAGAATTCTGTTTCATGTTGTATTTTCCTATTAATAAAAATATGGTTGAGAACAAGTGAATTTTCCCCCATAAATTTTTGAGTTTTGTATTTTTATTTTTGATGGCTATTCTTTTAGATAGACTCTACAAGGCAGTTACTATCTGCCAACTAACTGTTATCAAGAGGTATAACTAAACGTTTGATCTCTCTCCCAAACCAGTTTGGAAAGAATCTTGTATTATTTGTTATTAGGAAAATAAATGGATCTCAGGATTCTCCCCAGGTCTTCATCCAAGTTGCTCTAAGCAGTGTATGCGTAGATTTGTAGACACTTTTTGTTTGAATATTTCTGAAAAAAGATAGGCATATTTTAAATTTGCAAGTCTGGTTTTAGTCACAGGCACAAGAGAAAATGAACTGCCAAATGTCTGGAAGATACAGCTCCAACCCCTCTACTTTCATATGTGAGAAATATTGTTTTGATTAGAGATAGAATAAATCCAGGTAGACTTTTTTTTTTTTTTTTAACTTCTTGGACTGAGTTCACTTTTTAAAATGTCAGTTGTGGAAAGCCATCTTTAACAACATCAGTCTAGGTTATTTAAACTTTATCCAGGATAGCTGTCCACAGATCACTTCTGTGAGAATGATGTGTGATTTAACAATTATAATCAGGGAAACTCGCTAAAGAATTGTCATTTTTTGGCTAGGCATGGTGGCTCATGCCTGTAATCCCAGCACTTTGGGAGGCCGAGGCGGGTGGATCACTTGAGGTCAGGAGTTCGTGAGCAGCCTGGCCAACATGGTGAAACTCTGTCTCTACTAAAAATTCAAAAATTAGCCAGACGTGGTGCTGTGCACCTGTAATCCCAGCTACTTGGGAGGCTGAGGCAGGAGAATTGCTTGAACCCAGGAGGTGGAGGTTGCAGTGAGCCTAGATCATGCCTCTCACTGCACTCCAGCCTGGGCGACAGAGCAAGACTACATCTCAAAAAAAAAAGAAAGAAAGAAAGAAAAAATAAGAACTGTCATTTTTATTCACAGTCTGTACTAAAACATTGGCTTTTGAGTGAAGCATTTTGGTTTGCTGAGGACATAATCAAAATCCACCAGGAGCAGGGTGGGTGTTTTGTGTGTCTTGGTGTTGATAAAATGGCTGTTGGAATCAGGTATACATGTCTTTAAAAACCAGCTTTCACCATTACTAAGTAACCTTGGGCAAGTTACCAAACCTCTCGGCCTCAGTTTCTTCCTCTGTAAAATGGGCACAGCCGGGCACGGTGGCTTACACCTGTAATCCCAGCACTTGAGGAGGCCAAGGCGGGCAGATCACTTGAGGTCAGGAGTTCAAGACCAGCCTGGCCAGCATGGTGAAACCCCATTTCCACTAAAAATAGAAAATAATGAGCCGTGTGTGGTGGTGCATGCCTGTAATCCCAGCTACTCAGGAGGCTCAGGAACGAGAATCTCTTGAACCCAGGAGGTGGAGGTTGCAGTGAGCCGAGATCATGCCACTGCACTGCAGCCTGGGTGACAGAGTAAGACCCTGTCTCAAAAAAAAAAAAAAAAAAAAAAAAAGCACAATGACAGGAACAACCATACAGGGTGAGGAAGTAGTTAGGCCCAGGTCATTGACTTTAAGTCTGTGGCTTTTCTACCATATCAATTAGGAAGATGCAGAATGAACAGAGCACATGGGTATAAGTAACACAAAATTCTTAATTGAGTGTAACAAAGAAATTGTGGACCATCAGGATATAAAATATTTCCATGCTTAGAGATGGATGGTTTTAATACTCCATTCTTAGAGATCTTCCAGAAAAGAAGAAACCACTTTCTTTGGAAAATTACGTGCTTTCTGGCAAGAAGCAGTCTCAGATCCCTCCCAAACCTGTGAGTCCTTAAAAATATTTACTATCCCACTGTATTTTAACCAAAAACAGGTCGTTTTGAAAGGCTAATTAGCCAAAACTAATTTGGATTTTAAATGAATTTCTAGAAATGAAGAGTGGTATCAGGTCACCAAGCAGTAGCCTTCCTTCAAAAATTATGAGGCTCCTGTTGGATATCTCTTTTGGGACTCAAGCTTGAAAGATAAATCTACTCTTTTCATGCCAGAATACACTGAGCAGTTGATTTGAAATAAATCAGAACATAGAGTTTCTAATAATATTAATAATATTAAACATATAGAATTGAGCTGCAAGTATAGTATCTTGTCTGTGTATCAGTCACTATTCCTTTTCTCTTTGCTGCTCTCTCCCCATTTTCGTCTTCTTTTTATTCTGTTTTTCTGAAAGGGAAAAGGACTAACTGCACAGAGTAGCCATTGTTTGAACTGATGTTATCTGAACGCCCTTCTTTTTGTGTGTGTGCTTGTGTTACTATTTGTTTTCTTCATTTCCTTTTAGCAAAATATCCTGCCTTTTCTTCTGTTTATCTTTGCTGGTGCTCATGCATCCTTTCTTTATTCTGGTGGTTCTATCTTCCAATCTTCAAAGCTCTTGTCTCAAACCCTTCCTTGGAAAGGTCTCGGTCCTTGTGGTCTGTGCTGTTAGCCAGAATTCCTGCCTGGGAAGCTGTGTGTGGAGGATGACTTCTCTCATGAAGGCTGCCTTCTCTTGTGGGGAGGCAGGGGGAGATGGACCTGAGAGAGCCCTTCTAGTGCAGCTGACTGTGGTGGGGCCTGTGAGACATGCAGGCTACTTTCCTGGTAACAGCAGGCAAGGTGAAAATAGATCTAATCCAGATCCTGTTACGGATTCAGCCGTGCAGTCAATTTGTCACTGTTCTCTGAAGAAAACGGTCTGCCGCTGTTGATGATCATAAACTAACTCACTTTTAAATGTTGACATACTAGATGGCTGTGTTAGGCTGTTCTTGGATTGCTGTAAGGAAATACCTGAGACTGGTTAATTTATAAAGAAAAGAGGTTTAATTGGCTCATGGTTCTGCAGGCTACACAGGAAGCATGGTGTTGGCTTCTGGGGAGGCCTGAAGGACCTTTTACTCTTGGGTGAAGGTGAAGCAGGAACAGGCATCTTATATGGCACAAGCAGGACTGAGAGGGAGCGGGAGGTGCTACACACTTTTAAACAACCAGATCTTGTGAGAATGAACTGTCAGGAGGACAGCACCGAGCCATTAGGGATGGTGCTAAACCATTCATGAGAAATCTACCCCCATGATCCAGACACCCCCACCAGGATTACAATTCAACATAAGATTTGAGTGGGGACAAATAACCAAACTATATCAATGGCAAACAAGGAGTCGCTCTTAAATTGAACTAGAATCAAAAAGTAAATGCAGCCTGGGGAAGAGAGAACTTCTCTCCATTCTCTCCTGTGGCCTCTTCCATAGACACAGGCAGAGAGAAGTAAAAAGTAGGATGAGAAGAAACAGGAAGAGAGAGTAGAGGATGACAGAGCTTTGAGAAGCAGAACTGTTTCCTGCCACATAGAGATTGTTTTTTCTACTTTGTGATTTTTTTTGAAATGGAATCTTGCTTTGTTGCCCAGGCTGGAGTGCAAGTGGGGCAACCTTGGCTCACTGCAACCTCCGCCTCCTGGGTTCATGTGATTCTCCTGCCTTGTCCTCCTGAGTAGCTGGGACTACAGGCGTGTGCCACCATGCCTGGCTAATTTTTGTGGTTTTAGTACAGGTGGGGTTTCACCATGTCGGCCAGGCTGGTCTCCAACTCCTGACCTCAAGTGATCCTCCTGCCTCGGCCTCCCAAAGTGCTGGGATTACAGGCGTGAGCCACGGTGCCCAGCCACATCGAGATTGTTTTATCTCCAAGTACAGGCTCTTATATTGCTCTACCATAGAGAAGATTTTTTTTGAGATCATAGCACACATGCTTTCCATTGTTCAAACAAGACAGGGAATACAGAGTTTGTTTCTTTCATATGATCAAAAAAGAATGACTGTGAACGAGAAGTTATGTCAAAGATTTAGGCAGCCCTACCTATGGAGATGAGCAGTTGCTTCGGAAGTGCCAGGGCGCACTCTGGAATGGGAACAGCTTTGCAGGGTTGGTAGAGGAAGTGTGAGAATGCGCCAGAGCAGCTGGCCCAGTGCAGTGCAGGCAACGGTGTGTTCAGCCACCCTCAGAGTGGGCACCTGGGATGGTCAACAGCCACAGGTCTTGGCAGTTATCTCTAGTCCCCTCCTTTTCCTCATTCTCCTAAAACCGACTGCATCGGCATTCCTGATCTGCCTCTGATATCAACACTTTGTCCCACTGCCCCACACACGCCTGTCAAGCCCTGTGTGCTTGGTCAGAGGGTGGTTAAGGGGTACCAAGCTAGGCATCATTGTAGGAGAGGGCAGAGGGGGTTTGATTTTCACTTTTGGTTGAAGACCTGGCTGTTTTCTATTCCTAGCTTCAGGAATCTTATTTGAGCCATCAAATGTCCATTTATAACTATCCAGATAGCCTTATTATTTGGACTTGTCAGTTTAAAATAATATATATATACATATATATAATATATTTACAAATATATAAAATATGTAAATATATATTATATATATAAATATGTTTTTTTTAACTTCTCCTTTGTGATACTTAGGCCCTATCCTATCCACAGGCACAGGGAGCTCAAATCAAACAGCTTAACTGTAGAGAGAGGAAAAAAACTAAGTCTTTGTGAGTTAATTACATCCTAACACAGTGACAGTCTCAGAAAGAAATGGTTGGTTAGCACACAGCTATTCCGCCTGAAACTAATTTCTCTGCAAAACAGTAGCTCCAAAATGCAGTTGTTCCTGAGCCCCAAAATACAGACTGAGGCATTTTTAGATGGCCCTACATTGGACTTGAAACCATCTGCTTTTTTGTAGCTAAAGTATGAGTTTTCCATTGTTGTAAGCACCATGACAATGGCATCATTCCAGAGAGAGAAGCAGCACCATGGAGCCCTGTGGAAGGACTCCTGCCAGCCCTGCTCTGAGAGGCACTTCAGCTTCATTTCCATTGATTTGATTAAAGGACAAAGAACCAAAGAAAAATATAGTGTCTATTCAGAATTGAGCTCCACTCTCCTAATATTCTCTTGGGCTTCTGAAGGATTAAATCTCACTTCATCTGCTTCTATTGAGTACCCATTTACGTTATGTCTCTCAAAGAGTAATTAGCCCTCAGCTGCAAAATAGTTGTCAAAATCAGATGATCTGCTTTTGAAGGGCTGTAAAGAAAATGGGGAGGCAAGTTTCTCTTACAGGAAAATTATGGACCATAAAGATGATATTAAGTATGATATCAGAGTGGGTTGTGCCTTGCTCTGATTCTTAGTGTAGCTTCCAATAAATTCTTGATTAACTTCTTTAATCATACTGTATTTGTGCATGTCCCATTTTCCATGACCAGTTCCTCACAGTGTCACTACATTTATGTATACTAGCAAATCAAAACACATAATGCCTAAGGCTGTAGACATAATTATGGAGGTAATAATTTGGTTTTCAATGCACAAAAAAAGTGTACACATACCAGAGATTTGCGGAAGGACCTTATCATTCTGCTATTACGGAACTTTTCTTATAGGTAAGCCCGTGAGGGAGGTGCTATCTTCTGCTTGCCATGTTACCAGAACTGCAGTCGTTTATTCAGGAATTATCAGAGAAAAGTTATACTTCAGACCACTTAGAATCATATTCTCCATCTGAAAACATTCACAGAAAATCTTATTCATAAATACTGCACTGTATTCAAAGTGTATTTTCTCATGCAACTAAATGCCTTGAGCTAGCATGGATTTTCTGAGTGTTCAGTTACATACCCTGAGGCTGAGTAAGTTGGAATGGACTTGGTAATGTTAACTTCTTGCTAGTTACATAAATTGCACCCTGGTTGAAAAGGTATATCCGTGTGTTCTCATGGTTTTTAAGAGCACATCAAAATAGTTTATTATGCTGCAGACTTGGAATGTCTTATTGTTTAAGAAAATATAAACACAGAAAACTCATAATTTTGTAGTCATAAAAGGTTCCATTGCAATCTAGATAATTAAATTCAAATAGTATTGCCTTGCAGAATCAGATACAGGGCCAGTAAGACCAATATAATATTTTAAAACAAACTCTTTAAATGGCAGTAATAGGACATTTAAAATCACATAGAAGCCAGGTGTGGTAGGGCGTACCTATAGTCCCAGCTACTTGGGAGGAGGCTGAAGCAAGAGGATCTCTTAAGCCCGGGAATTCAAGGATGCCGTGAGCTATAATTGTACCACTGTACTCCAGCCTGGGTGAGACAGAGAGACTCTGTCTCTAAAAAATAAATAAAATAAATAAAATCACATAGAGAAAATCTTTGCAACAACTTCTTAGTAAAATACAGTTAAACAAAACTTGTACAAAATCCTTGTTCTCTTGTTTTACCTTTCTGTCATCTTATGTTAAATACGGAAGATTTCGTAAGGGAAGAAAAAGGTAATCTCACAAAATGTAATACGTTTTATCGTTCATTTTCCAAAGCGATTGGCATGATATCCCATTTCAGTGGGAAGAAACAGTCCCAACTTCTCATTTAACACAAATGAAGGACTCAAATCACTACATCCTCCTTACAATTTTCTTAAAGTTTGGGTCTTCAGGAATAATACTGCTGAAAAAAGAAAGAACAATATTCAAATGTAATATAAAAAGTCAGAAAAAGTTAAATCCCCTTAAAACGCTTGCGTAGACCCTTAGCTTTGATGGTCCTTTTCTTTACACTATATTTTGTTAACACAACATTAACCCCAGATGGGTTGATTGCAGTTTAGTCATGGAATATGCATATGCTTATCATTGGTTATAGTTGTTCTTTTGTTGTTATTATTAAAAGTAACTGGTAAAAATTCATTCCAGTTCTTTGCGGTAATTAGCTGTAAGTAACATGAACTGTATTTTATATCTGGATAAACAAGGTTCTGAAAGACATAGACTTGGTTACAGAGGAGTAAGAATAGTGCTTCCTTTTGTTTCTTGTTTCTTTTTCTTTTCTTATTTTTATTGAAACAGGGTCGTTCTGTCACCCAGGCTGGAGTACAGTGGGGCAGTCTTGGCTCACTGCAAACTCTGCTTCCCAGGCTCAAGCGATCCTAGCACCTCACCCCACAAGTAGCTGGGACCAAAGATGCATGCCATGCCCGACTAATTTTTCTATATTTTCTAGAGACTGGGTTTTGCCGTGTTGCCCAGGCTGATCTTGAACACCTGGACTCAAGTGATCCACCCGCCTCGGCCTCCCAAAGTGCTGGAATTACAGGCATGAGCCCATGTGCCCAGACACTTCCTTTTATTTCCTAACGGCACAGCTTCATAGATTCCTTCATTTTCATTTCTGCTCCATGAATGCTGGATTTTTGATTAGGCAGTGGAGGTAGTAGTGGTAGTGATAATGTGTGTGTTTAAATTAACTTTAGGTACTGTTCATGGTTAAGGTACCCTGAAAGCAGGAAAATATTGGTGTTGCACAGATGTCATGACTAGTCAGAAAATACCTAGAGGTACAGCACTCTTTTTTTTGAGACAGGGTTTCTTTTGCCCAGGCTGGAGTGCAGTGGCATGATCTTGACCCACTGCAGCCTCTTTCTCCTGGGTTCAAGGTATTCTCCCACCTCAGCCTCCCAAGTAGCTGGGACTACAGGTGCATGCCACCACACCCAGGCTAATCTTGTGTATTTTTAGTAGAGACGGGGTTTCACCATGTTGGCCAGGCTGATCTCGAATTCCTGACCTCAAGTGTTCCACCCGCCTCAGTCTCCCAAAGTGCTGGGATTACAAACGTGAGCCACTGTGCCTGGCCAAGGTAAACACTTTTACACTGTAGTGTTCTATCCTCGAATCACCAGCCAGAAAGTAAAAGTAAAAAGCTGGCAGGAGAGTGATCCTATCCGGAGCTCAGTGCAGGGCATCCACTGCAGTCTCTTCGATGAAGTCAGAGAACACTGAGGCCTCCCAGGTTTCAGATCGCAGGTTTGGCTTCTTCAGTCATCAGACAATCTTTATGCACCTTTTGTGTACTTTGGGCAGTAAGTAAAATGTAAGGCGGTATGAAAGGAGCAGGTCGGGAAGTGAAATATAAGAGCAAGCTCTAAGTTGAAAAACCCATTTTCAAAATCACAATATATGCTGCTGGTTTCCCTTATGTCCTTATTTTCATTTGGTACTTTAAAAATTTCAGAAATTATCTTAAGGACGAATAATGAAACTTAAATCTCTAAGATTAATTAATATTTTAATCTGCTTTTAAAAGATTTGAAATTCTTCTTTTACATCATTTGAGAACTCTCTATGACCAAGAACTGCTAATTATGGTAACAAGCTGTAGTTTTAGATTTTCTTTGTCAGGGTTAAGAATTCAGATACCTAACTTAAGACTCCACATGATATCTAGACTACCAGTATTTTTTGAATGAGGCTTTCTTAGGAGTATGTTGATGCACTCTCATCCTTTCCTCCCTGGACTCCTACCACAACCCTCTGACTGATCTCCCTACCTCCATTCTCTCTTCTCTCCACTCCAGTTTTCCTTTTGCTGCCACAGCTTGCTATCCCAAATACAAATATGACTCAATGTTATGGTCCTGCTCAAAATTTTTTAGCAGCTCTGCATGACTCAAGAGAAACCCCAGCCCCTCCATGTGGCTGTGCTTGCAGCCTCATCCCCCTGCAAAGCCCCACGTGGGCTCTGGCCACTGGACTGTACCCTGTTCCTAGAACACCCTGTGTTCTTTTGCCTTTGCACATTCTCTTCACCCTGCTGGTTCCCTGTTGTCCACTTTTCCTCCTGGACAATTTCTCCTCCTTTTAAAGACTCACCTCATGGATCACCACCATGGTGAGGCTGTCCTTTGTTGGCATTTGTCATGCTCCATTGTAATCTCTGGGCCACAACCAGAGCGTTTCTTCTCTGTGTTCTCTTAGTTACCGAGCTTGTGGTGGGTGTGCACTAAAAAGTGACATCATTCTCCTTGACCTGGTGATCCCATATTTGCATCTATACTTCCAAGGAAGGTGGTACATGCACTGCTGCTTGAGGCAGCCCTGTTATCCCAGGGAAAGATTCTAAGGGATAGGCCTTGCCTGTCCCTGGGAGTCAGAGAAGTGCAGGTTAGGGAGAGAAACATATTTGGGGTTAGTGCACCTGCGATCAATTTGGCAGTCTCTTTAAGTCAAGGGAGTTTAACTAGCATTCAGAGAGTTCATGAATCTGTGGTCTGAATTCCAGTCTGCGCGCTGGCACAGAAAAGCCATGCAAGCTTGGGCAAGTCTGGTAACTTTTGATTTGGTATTCTCATCATTAAATGGACAAGGTGGACCAGGTGATCTCTAAAGTATCTCCATTGCAGCTGTGCATGGTGGCTCACGCATGTAATCCCAGCACTTTAGGAGGCCGAGGTGGGTGGATCACTTGAGGTCAAGAGTTCCAGACCAGCCTGGCAAACATGGTGAAACTCTATCTCTACTAAAAATACAAAAATTAGCCGGGTGTGGTGGCACATGCCTGTAGTCCCAGCTACTTGGGAGGCTGAGGCAGGAGAATCGCATGAACCTGGGAGGCAGAGGTTGCAGTGAGCCAAGATCATGCCACTGCACTGCAGCCTGGGTGACAGAGCAAGATTCCCTCTCAAAAAAAAAAAAAAAATCTCTGTTGCGAGACTCAGCGTGCACACTGCAGGTGGAATAACCTAGTGACTTTCTCAGGTGTTCAGTTGATAGTCATATGATCAACTGGCACTGTTGTGTAAAAATGCCCATTTCCAAAGATGGAGAGGGAATTTAGAATGTCGTAAATGGAACATAGTGTTCATGGCATCTTTTTTGCTATGGAGTTGTGAACTAATTTTAACTTTCTAAAAGGAAACAGTCCAGCTTTGTGGGTAACTAGGGTAGAAAGCAGCAGTTTGCTTTATGGTGAGTTCTGCATGCTTTGTCATGAATCGGTGGCATGTGATTCGTCATGTAAGCCATTCATAACTGGTGTTTCTGTCAGTCATATGCGTACAGAAGGCAGTTCTCCATGTGCTCATACTTTAGCAGAATAAGAATGTGACTGTTGTTTCAAAATTAGAATCAGTAAATAGGTGATGATGGCTTATTTTTTGCCCCTATTTCAGTATTGGCTCACAACACTTGAAAATGCGCCTCTAAAAAATGTCGTCATGATATTTATAGCTCGATGTTTTGTAAATGAGCTGAATGTGGTGAGTGAGAACAGTTGCACGTCCTGTGCTTTTGATATTTCCCTTGACTGCTGTGAAGGCTCTGACTCAGCATGGATGATGTACAGTCTGCTCAAGATACAGCCCCACAGGAGTGGAGGCTGGCGTCATCCTGGAGGCCTGTTCCCGAGGTGCTGGAAGATGGCACGGAGTGGTTGCCATGCAGATGGGATTCTTCCCACTGCCCTGGGAGCTTCCATTCTAGAACTGTGAATTGTGGACATGTCTATGTCCATCACAGTAGCGGTCTGTGGTTAGCCTGCTTTCATACTGATAGGGCCCAGCTCTGGGGTGATGATTTCTTTCCTTTTTTTCCCCTTCCTTTTCACAGTATACTTTCAAGAATGGTTAAAATAATTATTTCACCTTAACTACTATGCAACTTGGAGTAAATTAAAGGAAAATTGTTTTTCTTTTCAGGTTCAAAGAAGTAGGTAATTACTTTTGGCAAAGGAGCAGACAAAGATCTAGCAATATGAGATTCATTTGTCAATAATTAGGCAATGATAAGTATATATTTTAGGTTGAAATTTTAGCTATTTGAAAAAAACTACAGGCTGGGTGCAGTGGCTCACGCCTGTAATCCCAGCACTTTGGGAGACTGAGGTGGGTAGATCACTTGAGCCCAGGAGTTCAAGAGTAGCCTGGGCAACATGGTGAGACCTCGTCTCTACAAAAAATACAAAAATTAACCGGGCGTGATAGTGCACTCCTTTAGTCTCAGCTGAGGTGGGAGGATCGCTTGAGCCTGGGAAAGCATGGCTGCAGTGAGCTGAGATCACACCACTGCACTCCAGCCTGGGTGATGGAGTGAGACCCTGTCTCAAGAAAGAAGAAAAGGAAAAAACTACAGTTGAATAATTTGCCAGTTTCTCATAAATTAACAGAAAGCTTTGAGTCTTCAGAGTCACAACACAGTGAGTTCATGGATGGTCAGTGGGACTTCTGGCCCAAGTGGCCATTCTCACATCACTTCTGCCCTCCTCCCCGTGGACTGCTTTAGGAATCCATGGGTCCTTCCTCTAATTAAGATGTAACACCCTCTTGCCCCAGAATTCCTCCAGATGGGATTGCTTGGGACTCAGGTGTTTACAGTTTATCAAAGGGTAGCATTTCTTAAAAGTCACCAAAATCCTGCAGAACTAGGAATAATTTGCCAGAAAAGCTAGGCAACACACAGGAATTTGGATTTGTTTAAGATTAAAAGGACATGTTAGATCAACTTGCCAATGAAAATTACGGTGCAGATCTTAAACATTTTCTAAATTTGTGTTTACTTCAAACTGTAAAAAGTTTTGTAACTAATTTCTGCTCAACTATTTCATGTATTCATCATGTTTCATGTATACATCAAGAATGTAGCATAAAGAGTTTCTAGCTTGACACTATATTAGTTTTGCTTTTTTTTTCTTTTCCTTTCTGTTTTTTGGTGGTTTTTTTTTTTTTTTTTTTGAGACAGGTTCTTGCTCTGTCACCCAGGATGGAATGGAATGCAGTGGCTCATTGCAGCCTCAACTTCCTGGGCTCAAATGATCTTCCATCTCAGCCTCCTGAGTACCTGAGACCACAGGTGCACACCACCATGCCCAGCTAATTTTTTTTTATTTTTTGTAGAGATGGAGTCTCTTTATGTTGCCTAGACTGGTCTCAAACTCCTGGGCTCAAGCTATTCTCCCACCTCAGCCTTGTAAAATGCTGGGATTACAGGGATGAGCCATCATACTTGGCCACTGTATTAGATTTCTGTTGCTCTGTAACAAATTACCACAAATATGATGGGTTAAAACAGTCCACATTTGTTATTTCGCAGTTTCTGTGGATCCAGAGTTCCAACACAGCTTAACTGGGTCCCCTGCTCAGGGTCTTAGTAGGCTGCAATCTA
This sequence comes from Homo sapiens, assembly GCF_000001405.40. Taxonomy (NCBI): domain Eukaryota; kingdom Metazoa; phylum Chordata; class Mammalia; order Primates; family Hominidae; genus Homo; species Homo sapiens. The sequence goes on along the minus strand of NC_000003.12, from coordinate 43,404,446 downwards.
AGATGTCAGCTGGGGCTTTGGTCTTATCAGAGGCTGAACTGCAGAAAGTTCTGCCTTAAGCTCTCTGAGGATGTTAGTGGAATTCATCTCCTTGTGGCCTTAAGGCTGTGTTCGGCATTTTCTTGCTGGTTATTATCCAGAGGCTTCCCTTAGCTCCTGGAGGCCACCTGCAGTTTCTTGCCATGTATCCCTCTCCATAGGTCCTCTCGCAGCATGACACTTACTTATACAAAGCCACCTATAAAGAGTCTCTCTGCTCAGAGTCTCTGGCCTCAGGGACAGCTGAGGCCCTCTTTTAAATGGCTGCTCACTTACTAAGTCTGGCCCACTATGGATAATCTCCTTTTTGGTTAACTTAAAGTCAGCTGAATAGGGACCTTAATTACATCTGAAAACATCTCTTCACCCTTGTCATATAACATAACCTACTGTGGGAGTGACCATCCTCTTTTCTACATGCTGTTGATGAGAAGCAAGTCCCAGCCCCTGCTTATACTCCAGGAGGGGAGGGTGTTATACAAGGTATGGTTACCAGGATATGGGAATCATTGTGTAGTGGGGGGAGCAGGGCCTAGGACTTACCCTAGGGTGTGTCCACCACAGGTACTCTGAATGTTTATTAAGTTGAAAGATTCTGTTATAAATCATTTATTTGGAATGAAAATTACATGTTCCAGTAGGAATCGGGTGATATTTATAGTTAAGCTTATAGGTAAGCTGACCAAGCCTATTTAAAATAAAGTGTGGCTAATCTAAAATATTACTATTCCATTTGTCTTGAATTTGGAATAAGGTCAGGGTGTGAAGTACAGGAAAATGCTTCTTCCCATCTTCTGGGGCACAGGGTTATCCTATCCATCAGCTCCACAGCTTTCCCCTGCTTCCAGCCCTATTTGGTGATAGGCCACATTTGCCTTTCTCTTTCCCATAGACTTGGAGTAGCCGGCCCTTCTCCTGCTGCCCTGAGCTCTTGCTGTTGGACCCACATGGGCCCAGCCCAGCCCCCCAGCTCCTCATGTGCCCAGATGATCTTTCTCTTGTTCCTCCTGTCCAAACCATTTTCCCTCAGTAAGTTTCACTTCACTAGGTATTAGACCAAAAGCTTCCAGTGTGGAGGAAGGAGAAAGGCTAATTATGGGTTCTGTTTCTCTCTGACAGATGTCAAGTTTTGCTGTGTTTTTCTCAAATATTTAAAATATCTGTGGCACCTCTGTGAGTTTGCTGCAGTTCCCAGGGGTGCCTCTGGGCATAGTTTGGGAACTGTGGCTGTATCCTGTGTAGGATTCTACCTGCATTGAGCACTCATTATTTGTGAGGTCCAGTGTTCAGGGTTGGAACAGCAAATGGAAGAAAAAATAATCTAACAGCTGACTTGAGCACTGAGAAGGATGCATTTGAGGCTCAGAGGCCCTGCTGTGGGAGGGCAGAGCAAAGTGTGTTTGCTTCTGGGATGGGGTAGCAAACATCATTTTGCCTTAAGACGAAATAAATACCAGCCACAGCATGATGCTTCCTGGCAAAATGTTCCTATATTTTGCCTGAAGCAGAGCTGAAATCCTTAACAGACCATGGTACGGTCTTGGTAATCTGTTTATTTGGTGTAGGGCATTTACTGCCCACTTCAGTGGTCTACTGTTCAGTTGTTTTTAATAGGGACACTAAGGCATGTTTTTAAAAATCAGCTTGAAGGGAAAGCATGTAAATATAGTCACATATCCTGAGCTTGGGCTGGCTAAGGGTCGCTGGTGGGGCAGGGTGCCATTTTGAAAAGAGCCAGTGTGGTACCTCTCAGGACCAAGGGCACAGAAGAAGGGATGACCTGGGAAAAGACCAGGATTCCTTCAGCCTGTAGCCAGGTGATAGAATTTCTACAGCACACAGGGGTAAGGGCTGCTGGGGAAGTAACCCACAAGGACATGGGAATCAGCACTCCATCGTGTCTGTGGCCAGATCACCCTGGAGCCCTGGGCAGGCAACTCTACAATGAACATAATGTTTTAAAATATGCAAAGTAATATTATGTATCATTTAGGCATAATACATGTAGGGGAAAGAAACATGGGAATGATAAATACCACATCTAGGCAAGTGGTCCTGTCTGAGGGTGAGGGCAGAAGATGAGACCCAGAGGGGCTGTGATGTGGAGCGAGCTCTGTTAGCCATGTCCACTTCTTAAAGGAGCTCATGCGCAGGGGCTGAGGGTGTCATTCTTTCCAACCTCAAGTCTTCATAAATTTTTTCTGATTTTTAATGGGAAGAGTAATACTTTATGGATTTATGATAATTACATTTTTTGTTTGTGTTTGTGCATTTGGTTTGAGGAAAACTAGTGAGTGAGCAGGCATGCCAGAGGCCAGCTGTTGTCACCGAGGTTTGTCAGCCTCTGGATTGAAGGAAGAGCCCACTGGGGATGTTACAGACTCTGTGCCCAAGCCGGACTGTGCCTAAAGCACCTCCTTATAACCTGGGCATGGGACCCTCAGAGCTGTACCACATCATCAGGAAAATGCAGAGGGTGACACCCACTCCCTTGAGTGACTACAGAGGAAGGAAGATAGCATGTGCCTGAGCCCGACATATAATTGACCACAGAGTAAACATCAGTTAAACATGGATCTAAAAATGTGATGGCTTTTGGATGCTCCAAAGAATGCCAGGGGAAAGTGAGCAGATATGGGAAGATATTTATATTTATCTTATTTATTACACCTATTATCCTATCACAGAACATATTTAAATATGGAAAGTGCTCCATTCTATAATTATAACAAAAGAAGCAATCATGTAGAATTGTCCCGATTTTAATTCATTAATTTTTCCAACTTGAAAATACTTTGGGATATTTCATAATAGTTCATTTTGCCTGAAACAAATTGAACCATGAAACCACTGGTCTGTGAAATGACTGAATGAATTAAAACTGTGTGTAAGCAGCTAGATCAAAATTAATAAGAGAATCTAAGCATAAGTAGAAGCCCATTAACAAAGAATCTATTCTTGAAGTGTCTCTGTAGCATATTTTTATGGCGTTTCCCCCCCGCCTTTTAAAAAATTTAATGTATCTTTACATAGAGTGATTTAATAACAGAACTTCAGCCTGCAAGGGAATTTTTGAGTTGTTTATTTTGTTTTTTAAAATGAACTGTGTTCTCCTTTGGATCATGAGTGTTCACATGACAGAAAGTGTGGGTTTGCTGCTGGTTTCTGGTACATCACCCTAGCACGTCCTTCATAAATGCTGTGGCCATTCTGTCTTACTTAGGAAAAAAGATACAGGAAATAAAAATCAAACAAAACAAAAGGCTGGGGGCCAAGAGTATTAATGCTTTAAAGGAAAAAGCGAAGTCTCTCAATATAGCTTTTAAAAATGTACTACTACCAAGTACTGACTAGATACTGGAAATACATACACATGTATACTTTTCTCCCAGGAAACAGATAAAGGCAGACTAAAGTCCATCATGAAAGAGGATTAACGGAAGGGAAAAAAAGTTCTTGACACGTCAGACTATAGGCTTGCGTCTTGACAAAGTACGTTCCTACTTGACCTGTGGCTTATAGCATCCCTCAATCCCTCATCCTCATCTCACTGTGCCTGTGCCCCAGCCTTACACACAACCATGCTATTCCACAGTCAGAAGAGGTCATTTTATTTATTTGTTTATTATTTTGAGACAGGGTCTCACTCTCCCAGGCTGGAGTTCAGTGGCACCATCAGGGCTCACTGCAGCCTTAGACTCCCGGGCCCAAGTGATCCTCCCACCTCAGCTTCCCAAGTAGTTGGAAATACAGGTGTGCGCCACCATGCCTGGCTATTTTGTTTTTGTTTTTGTTTTTTAGAGACAGAGTTTTGCCATGTTGCCCAGGCTGGTTTCGAATTCCTGGGCTCAAGCAATTCTCCTGCTCAGCTTCCCAAAGTGTTGGGAATATAGGTATGAGCCACCATGCCCAATCAGAAAAGATCTTCTGAAGACACAGTATTTCACAGTTGGGGAATGAGACCCAGAAAGCCAGAGGACCTTCCCAAGCTTCCCAGCCAGTCGACTTTCTCTATGTAGCCAGCTGGCTTTCATCCAGTATTGCTGGATGGCCTGCTGATTTGTCTAGTTCTGCATTCTATCTCTGGGAGTTGACCTAGTGGACACTATATGGGAAAGGGGGGTCAGACATCCCTAACACTTATTACCATCTAGTAGGACTTCCTAACTTGAGCATACCCCACTTGCCTCTGCCTCTTCAAAAACCATATTTAAACAAAAGGAAACATGAAAGAAAAGCATACATCTATTAAAAATGTTGGAAAATAAAAGAGTGCCATCAGCCAACCAAAAAATAATTTTGAGAAATTTTTGTAACATAGAAAGCAGAATAGGAAAGAGTTGACAGAGAACTAGAGCAGAGAAGCTGCAACCCTCTTTAGATACAGCCAGCTGTTGGGAGATGAGAGCACTCCCTGTATTGGAGGACATTCCAGCCAGGAATGAAACAGGAGCAGGCCAGCACCTGGGCAGTTCATTAACTTCCCCAAAATGAGGAAAATTGGGGTGGGAGCTTAGGGAAGGAGCTTTGGAACTATGAGGGATCTCCAAGTTATTCTGGACTTCCATGAGCCATAAGAAGGGGATGCAAGGAAAGGCTATGGTACCCAGGGATGAAAGATGCTACATCTGTGCCCTGGGGGCTCTTCTGATGTGGGTCTTCATGAGGCCTGCAGATAATTTGCCTGCCACTTGCTCATATGCCCTAAATACAAACATTGACTGTTATATGCAGTCTACGTACACAGAGCGCCCCCATTCAGATGGGAGGGCAAGGAGAAGAGAGATGGGACAAAGACAGAGCAAACCTCTGGAAGCTACTCATTTTCATCACCTGGTCCTTCTTTCCCAAATGCAAGTAGACCACCAGAAACCATGTAGTCCTTGTTTCTAAAATGTGAAGAAACCACCAAGGATCATGAGATATTTGAAGAGCCCCAATAGAGACAGACAGACACCATAATGAAAAACTGACCCACAAGGAAACAGCAAAGTAAAATGAGAACATTCTAATAAAAACCTTTACAAAGATTTGAAAAAGTATTGCATTCATAAATTATGAAAGGCTGACAGGAAAAAGAAGTGATCAGAGAACAAAAAGGCGTTATTGGCAACTAAAAGCATGATTGTCAAAATAGATTCGTTAGAAATGACTCATAATAGAATGGGCAAGGCTGTATAATAATAGTAACAGCTAACATTTAGTGAGTATTTGCAACTCTTCAGACACTGTTCTAAGTGTTTCGCATGTAAATCAGTTTCATCCTTTTAAGAACTATCTGTCCAGGCATGGTGGCTTACGCCTATAATCCCAGCACTTTTGAAGTTCGAGGTGAGTGGATCACTTGAGCCCAGAAGTTCGAGACCAGCCTGGGCAACATGGCGAAACCCCATCTCTACTAAAAATACAAAAATTAGCTGGGCATGGTGTCGCACGCCTGTAGTTCAGCTACTTGGGAGACTGAGGTGGGAGGATCACATCAGCCCAGAAGGCAGAGGTTGCAGTGAGCCAAGATTGAGCCACTTCACTCCAGCCTGGGTGGCAGAGTGAGACCCTTTCTCAAAAAACTCTATGAGATAGATACTATTATCCCCATTTTACAGATGAAGTAACTGAGGCACAGAGATTAGGAAATTCTCAGGGACATGCAATTTCAAAGAGGCGGAACTAGAATTTAGCCCATGTGGCTTGATTCCAATGCCCACACTCAACTGTATTGAAGATCAAATTAGTATTGTAACAAGCAGGCAAGCTCCCCCAAAACAGGGACCGTCTCTGTCTTTGCAGACTGCAGCAGTTACTGGCCCATGTGTGCCAAGTCAATATTTGCCTGGTGAATGAATAAAATAAGTATCTAAAGAATAAATATCAAACTCTTCACAGAAGTTACCTATGAGGAAGGAGACCAAGGTTAGACTGTGAAAGGGAAATTCACTCTTTATTCTCTATAATGCCTGTATTATTTGAATTTTTACAAAGCGATATATTACTTTAACTATTTAAAAAGTTTTAATGACAGACTTTTTGTTACCTACTAATTTATCAAAACTTTACATTAATCTTTACATTAATCTAAAACTTCAAATTAATCTACATTAATCTATGTCATGTACAAAATCCCACAATAGATAAAATGGACATGAAAACAGTTTTTAAAAGTTAAAGCCACTAGCCAAGTCTTAAGAGTCCTTGTTGTTAAGTTGCCATATCAATATTTGTTGTTATTTGTTCTAAACAACCCTCTCCATACCTTATTATATGGGAGACAACTGTGGAGTCCAGAGTCCTCTTCTTTTTATTTCCCATATGGCTTTGACCAAGGTAATATATGTCCATGAATCCCAGTTTCTCAATCTGTAAAACCTGGATTTAAATATCATACAGTTTTGAAGATCAAAAGTAAATGAAGGAACTCCTGCTTCCTGTCAAGATGGAGTAACAGGGACCAAACCCCTTCATGCCAGAAAGAACCCCCCAAAACAGACAAAATACGTGAATCAATGTTTTTCCAACAGTGGACATCAGGCAGTGAAGGACAGTGATCTCTGAGAGATAGAGATAGAAGAGAGACTATTTGAGTTCTACATTCGCCCCAGTTTGCCCCACTGAGAGGCAGAGTCTGGGGAGGCCACAGCAGCCAGAGTTCACAGGACAGAGTACCAGAGACAGCAGAGCTGCAAGGAGAGATAACCCCAGAGATCTGCTGAGGGCTCCATTTACTATTCAGCAGAGCATGTGCATTTGAGGAAGCTCTCTGAGGCTCAGAGGGAACAGTGTTATTCCTACTAGCCTGATTAGGAAAATCGGAATACACGAGGTGTTGAGTAAAACACTCAGAAAGGTATTGCCCTGTTAGTAGGGAATAATAAGTTGTGGACTGAGATCTGCTCTAAACCCACCTAACAAATGATAAAAACAAGACCCAAGAGGATTGAACTGCTTCTAACTTAACTGTATCCTAGAACAAAGCCCAGGAATATAAATATACGCCCCCCGCCCCATGATGAGGAGAATCATGATCAATTAGAACTGACCCAAAGCTGAAATACTTGTCAGAATTAGCAAGCAAGGGCGTTAATACAGTTATGAAAACTGTATTCCATATGTTTAAAAACTATACGGAGACATGCAAATACTTTTAAAAGATGCACACCTGACTTCTAAAGATAAAAACTACAGGGCTGGGCAGGGTGGCTCACACCTGTAATCTCAGCATTTTAGGAGGCTGAGGCAGGTGGATTACCTGAGGTCAAGAGTTCAAGACCAGCCTGACCAACATGGTGAAACCCTGTCTCTACTAAAAATACAAAATCAGCTGGGTGTGGTGGCACATGCTTGTAATCCCAGCTACTTGGGAGGCTGAGGCAGGAGAATCTCTTGAACCAGGGAGGCAGAGGTTGCAGTGAGCCAAGATCACGCCTTTGCACTCCAGCATGGGCAACAAGAGCGAAACTCCATCTCAAAAAAAAAAAAACTACAATGCCTGAGACAAAAAAATACACTGGATGGGATTAGCAGCAGATTAGACATTGCAGAAGAAAAAAATTAGTAAACTTAAAGACACAGCAATAAAATGACCTGGCATGCTGGTGCACACTTTAGGCCTAGCTATTCAGGAGGTGAAGGCAGGAGGAGCTCAGGAGTTTGAGCTCCTGAGCTATGTGAGCTACAGTGAGCTATGATTGCACTCCTGTATTCCAGCTTGGACGACAGAGCAAGGCCCTGTCTCTGGGGGAAAAAAAAGAAAAAACAATAAAACTTATCAAACATGGGCCGGGTGCGGTGGCTCATACCTGTAATCCCAGCACTTTGGGAGGCTGAGGCGGGTGGATCACGAGGTCAGGAGATCGAGACCATCTGGCTAACATGGTGAAACCCCGTCTCTACTAAAAATACAAAAAATTAGCCGGGTGTGGTGGCAGGCGCCTGTAGTCCCAGCTACTTGGGAGGCTGAGGCAGGAGAATGGCATGAACTTGGGAGGCGGAGGTTGCAGTGAGCCAAGATTGCGCCACTGCACTCCAGCCTGGGCGACAGAGCGAGACTCCATCTCAAAAAAAAAACCTTATCAAACGTGAAGCGAAGAAAGAAAAAATAATTGTAAAAATGAAAAGAGCTTTAGTGAACTATGGGACATCATCCAGCAATTGGGAATTTCCTCAACCTGATGAAGGGCATCTATGAAAAGTCTAAAACTGGTGTCATACTTAGTGATGAAAGACTGAATGCTTTCCCCTTGGTATAAGGAACAATAAAAGGGTGTCTATTCCTACCACTTCTTTTCAACATTATGCCGAATGTTCTGGCCAGCGCCATCAAGCAAAAAAAAAAAATAAATAAATAAATTAATAAAAGGCATTCAGAATAGAAAGGAAGAAGTAAAAAACTGTCTACTCACAAATGACATGATCATCTGCACAGAAAATCTGATGGATCTGCAGAAACTAGAAGTCGTCATTTGCAGGTTGTCTGTGGCTGCTTTTGCACCCCAGTGGGAAAGTTGAGTCATTGTGACAGAGACTATATGGCCCAAAAGCCTCAAATATTTACGTCCAGCCTTTTAATAATATTTTGCCAACCCCTGTTCTATAGATTCAGTATAATCCCAATAAGAATCTAAGTAGGCTTTTTTTTTTTTGTAGAAGTTGATGAACTTGCTTCTAAAATTCATATGGAAATGCAAAGGACCTAGAATAGCCAAAGCTTTTAAAAAGAAGAACACAATTGGAAGACTACTTGATTTCAAAGCTTATTATACAGGGGGGAATAGTGTAGATTAACGGAGCAGAATAGAGTTCGGTGATAACCTCACACATGTATGTACTACTGATTTTTGACAAAAGTGCAAAGACCATGCAGTAGAGAATAGTCTTTTCAATAAACGGTTCTGGAACAATTGGATATTCATGTGCAAAAAAATGAACATGGACCCATACATCATACCAAAATGGATTATAGACGTAGATGTAAAATCTAAAATTCTAAATCTTCCAGAAAAAAAGATAAAATATTTGAGATCTTACATTAAAATATTTGAGACCTTACATTAGGCAAAGATTTCTCAGCTACAATTCCTAAAGTATGATCCATAAACGTATGATCCACAAATCGATAAATGACACTTCATCAAAATTTAAAACTTCTGCCCTTCCAAATCTTGTCATCTATATAATGAGAAAGCTAAAAGAAAAGCAGGAGAATCTGCTAGAAAACTTTCCTAGGGTCCTCTGATTGTTAAAAAACTGATAATTACCCTGATAATTACCTGATAATAACATTGATTATTACCATCTCTGGGCTGGAGATGAACTGTATTAGAGAATTCAGCTACCCACCCTCTTCCCTCTCACCTCAGTCCCCCTTACCTTGTACCCTTTCTTCACTAGGAGAAAAAGCCAAGCAGCAAAAGAGTCCAGCAAAATCATAGTTTCCTAAAATAAGAAAACTTTTTACGAAAAGCCACATAAGAGTGGACCTCTCTTGAATACCAGAAGATATGGAAATTTAGGCAATTGGGAAGAAAAGTGGTTTGGAGCCAAGCAGCACTCCTAGATTTTTACCCTAAGACCTAAGCTTATTAGTGGTAGGACCTTGCCCATGTCAGTTACTACATCTGTAAATGGGAACACTGTGAGAATTAGAGATCAGGGCTTCAAAGTGCACCCCCACCCCTCCACCCGGGGCAGCTCAAGGTGGCCTTCTCTTAACCACTGTTGCGTTTTTCAGTTGTGCCAAGATAGGCTGCTTAGGTTTCTTCACTACCATGGGAAATGATTCTGTAAAATGGGAAAACTAAATGCAAGTGTAAGGGCGTTGTTGTTGTCGTTTTCACTGTTTCCTATAAATTCTACATCTTCTTACTGGAAGAGAAGATCTAGGCTCTAACTCTTTAGAGGAGATTAAACATTCCTGTGCAGGATGGAAAAAATTCAGGAAGGGAGCCAGGAAAACAAATATCCTGAAGAGGCTTAGGGTCAAGAGGTGAGGGTGGGAGAATTTGACACAAGGGAAAAAGAAAAATGCAGAGCTACTGGTGGTATATTTATGACAGGAAGGTTTTCCCATAGAGGATAGAGCTGGACTTTTCAAGGGGTGGCTGCCTGCCAGGCCTTAGTACAAGAAGAAGAGATCATAGGCAGGTCACAGGAAATGTGCTGCTGACCATGAGAGGTGGTGATGCCTGGGGGTAGGGACCAGAGGGGGACAACGTCTAAGGCCCCTCTTCCAGGGAGGCCAAACAGGAAGGATGTTGTCTCATTAGCACGGATTTCCAAGATGTGAAAGCATATCTACCAACACTTATCAGGCCTACCAGCCACCCTAAACTTCCCCCAATTCTCATGCAAATGAAGTGACAGAAAAAAAAAGTTATGATACCCTGTGAGTGTTCACAGCCTTTTCCCACCCCCAGGGGTGTTCATTCTCTCCTAGCTCAGTTCCTAGGCTTATGTATAGGGCAGAAAAATTAGGGGCTGGGCAGCAGGTAGAGGGGGTCTTGAGGTGCCATTGTCTTGCTCTGGAAAAGGCCAAGATCTGGAAATGGAGGGGTTAGGGGTAGAGAGAGAGACCAAAGTCTCTGAGCATTGGAGGAGGAGATTGGAAAGGGGAACCTTCATGGTGTAGGTAACAGGAGGGTTTTGCTTGCTTGCTTCCCAACATCACCTTTTGTAACATCCCAGAGTTACAAAAGGCAATGTTGAAAACTGGGAAAAGAATAAAAAAGAAATGAAAATATGTGCCCATGGTAAATGCAGGAGACATGGAGACCAGTGTGGCTGGAGGGAAAGAGAGGAGGGCTATGGAGAGTTGGCCAGGGATTTGCAGGAAGGAGCCTTGCACACAGGGCTGTTGCCTTTATCCCAAAAGCCCAGGAAGCCACCGAAGGGGCTTGAGCGTACGTGTATCATCTTTAGATTTATGTTTAGGTTACATCAAAAAAGACAGATTGGGGATGTGGCCAGAGAGGGTATAAGTAAACCAGTAAGAAGATGGTTCCAGGAGTTTCTGTGATGGATTTATGTGAAGGTGGTCAAAATGTAGAGAAGTAGACAAATTTGAGAAATGATTAGGAGATCAAGTCAATCAAAACCAATCTTGGTTTTCCGAGGCTCCAGAGCCATGCTCTGGGGTGAATGGCTGTGCACTTCACTTGATGGAAGGATAGCCTTGCTTCGGAAGATGATCTTGAATTTAGTGTTGTTAATTTATTAACATCCAAGGGAAATATGAGGTAGGCATTGGTTATGTGAGTGTAGAATTCAGAGGAAAGTCTGGGCTGGAATAAAGACATGTGCATGATCTGCATGTAGATGTGGCTGAGGCCATGGGTGTGCATGGTCTCTCTCAGGGAGAGCACATAGAGCCTCACTGTCCACAGTAGCCTGTGGCCATCTGTGCCTATTTGGATTTAAATTAGTTCAAATTAAATCAGATTAAAAATTCAGTTCCTCAGTTGCACTAAGCAAAATGAGGACCAGGAAATGCCCCCTTGGATTTAACAATATGGCGGTCACGGGTGACCCTAGAGGGAGCTATTTTAGTGGATGAATAGGGCCAGGAGCCAATGTGGAGTGGTTTGGGGAGCTAGAGTTGAAAAAGCAACCAGGATAGACAACTTAAATGCATTTGGCTGGAAAAGAGAGGAGAGAAATAGAATGTCGACTGAAGAGTGAGCAGGGATGAGGAGTGGAGAAGAGGGCTTTGTTTGTAGGTTTAATAAGAGAAACTAGTGTGTATGTTTAATAGCCAGTGGGCAATAGCCGAATTCTAGGAATTTGTCCCTTAGATTTACTCACATATATATAAGGGGATAAACACACGTGTGTGAGCAGCAATGGTTTAAAAACAACCTAAATAGCCTGGTTCAGAGCACTGGTTAAATGAATTCTCTTGTCCATACAATGGAATTATTGCAGCCATTCTAAATAAAAAGAGCTTTCTACAGTTCCTGATATGGGATCATCTCCATGATTTATCAGGCTGATTTTGCAAGATGCAGAACAGGATATATTATTGCCATTCTTTGTATTAAAAACAAGAGGATAGATGTTCCAGAGGTATCCTACACTGATATTTATTTTTTTAAACCACACACACTGAAAGAATGATCAAGAAAATTGCTGCTAAGATGGGGAACTGGGGAATAAAAGTGTGGGTAAATGTTTTTTTCACAGTATTTTTATACTGCTTGATTTGACTTTTTAAAAACTATGTACTTGTATTTTAACAATAAAATTTTTTTTTAAAGTCAGTGAGAAAGATTCAGTTGAGAGAGAGAAGTTAAATAATCAGGAGACAGGAGGGAGAGGGCCCACCTCCTGCCTCTCTGGTGAGGACCCTGTGATACTTTATTACTCCACTGACCAGAAGCTCCATGAAATCAGGTGTAGTTTTACTTAAAATGAGTTTTTGTGATACTAGAGTATCTTAGATCTAGGTAGATATCACCCATCCCATATTATCTATTGCTAGGTAACAAATTACCCCCAGACTTCACAGCTTATGACAAACATTTGCTCTCTCACAGTTTCTTTGAATCTACACATGGCTTACTTCAGTGCCTCTGACTCAGGATCTCTCTCAAGGCCACAGTCAAGGTGATGGCTGAGGCTGCAGGCATCTCAAGGCTCACCTTAGGGAGGATCCATTTCCAGGCTCACTCCCCTGGCTGCTGGCTGAAGATACCAGTTCCTCACCACTATGGGACCTCTCCTCAGGGCCACCCACAACATGGCTTCCATCACAGCTAGCAAATGAGCGAAGGTGCACCCAAGATGGAAACCATAGCCTCTGTAAACTCAGAAGTGAGCCTGTCGCTTTTACTGTATTCTGTTGGTTAGAAATGAGTCACTAGGTGCAATCCACACTCAAGAGTAGGGGATTCCACAAAGGAGTGAATCCCAGGAGGCACAGGGATCCTTGGGGCCATTTAGAGGCTGCCTACTATAAACCCTAAATTCAGCAAAGTTGAATACTTCTTATATGGTAGTGTTCTGTTCCAACTCATGGAAATAATTTTTGTTTCATGAACAAAAGAATTCATGCATTCATCCTTATATGTTTTTTTCCTCAGAATAGTCAGTTGCAGCTTTATTGTTCTGCAGTAATACTTTAGAACTTCCCGTCTGTTTTTGATATTTTCTGAATTTTATCATTTTGATACAGTTTGAGAAGTTTGATAAACTAGGAAACTGATTATCACTTCACCTTTCAAAATCATTTAGGGAACATTCTCCTGTAGTCCTTGTTTTAGAAATATACGCTGACATGAGTGGTTGTAAAAGGGCATAATGTCTGCAGCTTACCCTCAGATAGTTCAGAAAACATGCTGCAGAGAGAGTGATCAAGCAAATGGGGTGAATGTCAGCCATTGGTAAATCTGAGTGAGGGTATTCAGGACTCCTTTTTACTATGCTTATAATTTTTTCTGTAAGATAATGTCAAAGTTAAAATTTTGAAAAAGAAATTCTTATACTCCTCCCCAGACCTACTAAATGAGAATTGCAAGTGGGACCTGAGAAACTTATTTTTATCCTTAGATCCGTTCTGATTACTGATCAGCAAGGTTAGGAACACACTGCGTGAGAATACACTCATTCTACTCATAAAGTTGTCTTCATAGAGCATCTGAAATTGCTAGTTGCACTTTTGAGTCTAATTTTGAAGCCAAGGGCAGAAGAGACCCCTCAAAGATCTGTTTGTGGTTACTGTACATAAGTCCTCCCCATAAGTCTTCTGGCTCACCCCCAATTTTGTGCCACATCTCAGATATGGGGAGACCAACAAACAGGGCCATGTCAGCTCCCACACTGGGTCCTCTGCTCATGGGGTGCAGCCCAGTGGGACCACAGAATGGAGCACCTGTGGCGGGCTAAGGAGGCTTCATAGAAGATGTGGCACATGAACTGTGCCTTCAAAGAGTGATAGGAATGCATGGGTTTGTGCAAAGCCACAGAACTCTCAAATGGGAGGACCCTGAAACAAAAAACCTGCTACTGTTCAGTGTACTGGGCACAGAGGTTGGGAGTGAGAGCCAAGAGAGGCATCTGTGATTTTCCCAGAGCTGCCTGCACAGCCTGTGCAGTGGCTCTGCACTAAGGTTCCCAGCCAGAAGGGCAGTGGGGAAGGAGGAGGGGAGGGAGCTGTAGAGAAGTGGGAGAGGAGACCCAGAGGTGGTGGGCTCAACGTCCAGTCCAGGTGTGTCAGTTTGGTGGCTGGAAGTTTGGGTGTCTCCCACACTCTCCCAGGGACTGCACATTCCTCAGCACATTTTAAATACCATAGGTGGGGTTCGTGTGAGACCCTACTTCCCTAAGAATGAAGAACTTTCCCTGGATGCCAGGACTTTAAAAACTGTTGGCAGAGTTCCTTTCTTGCGTATGACTGTTGGTGATGCACATTTGTACCTGATGAAGGTTTTGTTTGGAAAGAGTTGTCCTCTCATTGAGTCAAGGCCTTTAGGCTCTGACTCAACCCGCTGTTTTGTTTTGTTTTGTTTTGTTCCATTTCCGTCTAGTACGTGCTTTCCTCTGTGGTCAGCCATCACTTCCTCCCAGCCCGGAACACGCATAGGAGTGACTGGCTTTTCCGAGGGCACTGAGGAAGTCTTGATACTGATACCAGTTCCTTTTTGAAAATAAGAATGGTAGTTTTTATCCTTGAGCTTATTTTGTTAAGTCATTGTGGATGTCTTTATCTTCCTTTCCATTGGTTTTCATGCCCTTTTAATCAGGTTTACATAAGTAAGAGCATTTATCCATGTGCTTTGCTACATACTTATCTGGAATGCTTGGTTCAAAGGGCAATAAAATAAACACAACCCAATACAGTTGCATGGTTATTTATTTGGTGCAAGCTTGTTTGTTTGACTTCTCTGAAATGACTTACGGAAATATTGGTTTGCTTTCTTCTCCTAGATCCATCCAAGTTAACTGTGAATCAGCTGTGGGCTTTGCTAGGTAACACAGAATCACCCACTGAAAGCTGACCATGAGCTCCTAAAACATTTATTTCATGTCCTTTTAACAAAATGACTTGGAGGTCTTTCAGGGTAGCAGGATAAAATCATCTATATTTTATAACTTTTACCAAGGGATTTCCTGTTAGCAAACAGCTTATCTCTTGTGCTCTCTGCTGTTCTTGGCTTCATATAAGAAAGCACTAGTAATGTTAGATGAAGGACTAAATATTTGAAGGCATATTTACTTCAACACCTGTTGGGTGGATCAGCTCATGTTTCTGAAAAGCAAAGCAAGGAGGTAGAGTTCTAACACTCTAGATTTCACAACTTTTGTTCATTTGTCTGCAGCCATATGGTTTAAGCAGGATCATGCTAGCTAACAGTTTAACCTAATCTGTGACTGTGATCTCCCTTCCAAAGAGTACCAGTAACATGGGCTAGATGCCATCTTTATAGAACTTTCCAGTTTCTGAAAAGGTTTGTGTGATGGGAACAGAGAAAGAAGCCATTGCTGCTCTCAGTATATAGTACAGCTGCAACTTTAGACTTAGAAGCAGTGAGGAATTGGCATGAAGATAGTATTTGGGACTAGCTTCTTTCCATAGTGATTTTGTGAAATGTGTTTTACTACTTCTCTTAGTATTTTGCATACTCTTCTGAATGTGCTGTGTAGAATGAACCATAACATTTTAGGTTCTAGCCTTTATCCTCTTTGTGAATTCAGAAACATTAGTTTTTTTCAGTAACATATCTAAGTTTGGTAATATTGGTCTTACCTAAAGAACCAAAAACATCTTCCAAGTTCACCCATGTACTTAAAGTTTTTCTTAGTTTTCTCAGAGCCTAGGAAAAATCAGAACTTTTTAATATCCATTAGGTGATCAAAGTGTGAGCCTATGATATTGCATAGAGAGTAAGAAACTAGCTGCAGTTATATTTCCATTATCTTGGTAAGAAAACAAAAGAGCCTTCGGAATGTGGTCAGGAACACAGGGATAAGGGCATGCATTCACACATGCCATCTCCCAGGGCCACAGCCTGTCACCCTGGGAGCGCCGCTCTTCATAGCCAGCTGGGGTGTGTGCATAATGCTGGCTGCCAACAGGGACCGAGTTCATGGTTGATTCCAGTGAAACTCTATAATCACTGCAGTTCTCAAAACCCTATCTCAGCCCACCAATGCCGACACACACACCACAGGCCAGCTCTCTCCTGAAGCACTTGCACACTCAGGAGGAACCTGGTGTGGTTTGACAAGGCTGTACACAGGGGTTGTTAGTCACAAATGCCCCAATTTCTGCATCCAGGCCCTGTGTTCTGATCACACCAGGGTCTTTCATTTCTTTGCTCTCAAAAACCTAGAGTGCACATGTTTGTGAAAAAGTAATTTACTTTTCACAGATAAAGCCTTCCTGCATGTATTTCTTTTTGTGTGCCATTATAACCTATTCCTCTAAGAAAGGTGAATATCCAATTTAGGATTGTCAGGAAAAAAAGAAATTGGAAAAACACAGACATGTCGCCTTAGTATATGTAAACCAAGTCTCAGATCTCCACAGGAAGCCTCTCCCTGGGGGTACAAGCCCAGCACAGGGTGGACCACAGGACTTAGCCACTCGGGGACTTCTGCTAGGGCAGGTGCACCAAACCATCAGAGGAAAGGGGCTGTCCTGCCACCTGTGAACTCCCTCAGCAGAGGAGCTCCCCCACAGAAGGGGCAGTGCCTAGTACCAGCCACTTGGAAGTGAGCCGTTGACACCTCTGTTGATCCTGAAATGGCTTCCACTGAGAACCACAGTGTTTATGGTGTTCAGTGATGCCTCACATAGCCCCAGAAGCTGCCGTCTCTCTTCACAGACCTTTCTTTAGAATATCTGGGGAAAAATGGAAAGGGGATCTCATGTCTACTCCTCACTTAGCCCCAGCTATAGACTGCTCCCAGCTGCGTGTAGGGCCTCTGCCACAAACCATGATCTAGAAATCTCAGCCATCACCTCCACCTGACAGTGCTCTCCCTCCTGCCCTCCTCAAGCTCTCCCTGCCGCCCAGCACCCCAAGATGAGGCTGGAGACATGGGAGTGATAAGGGGCAATTACAGCTAGAAGGGAGACTTTAAAGCTGGACACCAAGTGCAGTCACGCACTGTGTGACGACGTTTTGGTCAATGACGGACCACATATATGATGGTGGTCCCAATGATGATTACTGTACTTTTCTATGTTTAGATACACAGATACTTCCCATATAGTCACCTATAGTGTTCAGTACAGTAACGTGCTGGGCAGATTCGCAGCCTAGCAGCAGTGGGCTACACCATGCAGCCTAGGAGTGTAGTATGCTGTGTCACCTAGGTCCATATAAGTGCACTCTGTGATGTTGACAGTGCAACAAAATTGCCTGACAATACAGTTCTCAGAACGTGTCCCATCGTTAAGGGACATATGACTGTATGACGGTTCCTAGAGTCCAGTGAAGAAAACAACCACATCAGGGCACCCTCAAGTTCCTAATTCTCTTTCCCATTTCGAGATTGGCCCTCTGTCCTCCCAGTGGAGATCCCAGGCTTCAGTCCTGCCCCTAGGAAAGCCCCACCCTTACTCATAGGCGGCTTTCTCCAGGTTGAACCCCCTTTCCCTCAGCAGGACCACCTGTAGAGTCCAGGGATGCATGTGGGTTGCTGGGACTGAGGAGCTGTCAGGGCAGCCCAGGCATGACCCCTGCTCATTCTCCCTGCCTCCTTCCCAGAGGTAGCTGATTTGGAGACACACACACACACACACACACACACACACACACACACACGTACACACCTACACACAACTTTCAAAAAGCCCGTTTTCTCAGACACCATGGAGCAGCCTGAATTCCTACCAAGGAAGAGAAACCTTTGCATGAGAATGAGCCCACCTGCAGAGACCCAGCACACAGTGAGGTCCCCTTTTTCTCTATTTTGAGGGGACATTTAAGTTTCTCAGATCAGGTGTTGCTGGCTCCATATGCAAAGCCAAGACTCCCTCAGTTATCAAGATGTCTTTCCTTCCTTCCCTTTCCTTTCCCTTCCCCTTTCCTCCTTTCTTCCTCTTTATTTCCCTTCCTTCTTCCTTCCTTCTTGCTTTCTCTTTTGCTTCCTTGCTCCTCTCCCTCCTTTCTTCTTTCCTTCCTTCTTTTTAAAGTATTTTATCTCAGATTGCTTTCAGGAAGAGAGGAGTGGCCATCAGCCAGAAGCAGAGGCACTTCCTTCAAACAAAAATGATTTAAACCAGGTCTCCTACTCTCCTAGCTAAAAAGAGGCAGGTGAATCCTTGAAATCACAACTTCCTCAGAATCCTCAGGCAGGACTCCCTGGACTCCAGAGTCAGAGAGAGCAACAGGACAGTTTATTCCCCCCTTGTCCATGGCAAGCCACAGGAGCCTGGGGGAGAAGGGTGTCTTCCTAGAACAGAAGCTCCTTGGGGGATGAATTTAATGTTGTATAATATTTTTGTTTGTTTGGTTGTATTGTTTGTTTTAGAACTTTGTCACATTTAATTTTTTTTATTTCAATATGTTTTTGGGGGACAGGTGGTGTTTGGTTACATAAATAAGTTCTTTAGTG
The DNA here is from genome assembly GCF_000001405.40 of Homo sapiens. NCBI lineage: Eukaryota > Metazoa > Chordata > Mammalia > Primates > Hominidae > Homo > Homo sapiens. Next base: position 43,385,855 of record NC_000003.12, on the reverse strand, counting down.
GTAATTACTGAGATTTTAGTGCACCCATCACCTGAGCACTACACTGTACCCAATGTGTAGTCTTTTATCCCTCACTCCCCTCCCATCCTTCCCCCCCATCCTTTCCCCCATGTCCCCAAAGTCATTCTTACACCTTTGCCTCCTCATAGTTTAGCTCCCAGTTATGAGTGAGGACATACAATGTTTGGTTTTCCATTCCTGAGTTACCTTACTTAATGTCTCCAGTGGTCTCCAGTTCCATCCAGGTCGCTGCGGATGCCATTATTTCGTTTCTTTTTATGGCTGAGTAGTATTCCATGGTATATACACCACATTTTCTTTATCCACTCGTTGGTTGATGGGCATTTGGGCTGGTTCCATATTTATGCAGTTGCAAATTGTGCTGCTATAAACATGCATTTACAAGTATCTTTTTCGTATAATAATTTCTTTTCCTCTGGGGAGATACCTAGTAGTGGGATTGCTGGATTGGGGTGGATCTATTTTTAGTTATTTAAGGAATCTCCACACTGTTTTCTATAGTGGTTGTACTAGTTTACATTCCCACCAACAGTGTAAAAGTATTCCCTTTTCACTGTATTCATGCCAACATTTATTACTTTTTATTTTTTGATTATGGCCATTCTTGTAGGAGATATTGCATTGTGGTTTTGGTTTGCATTTCCCTGATCATTAATGATGTTGAGCATTTTTTCATATGCTTGTTGTCCATTTGTACATCTTATTTTGAGAATTGTCTGTTCATGTCCTTAGCCTACTTTTTGATGGGATTGTTTTTTTTCTTGCTGATTTGAATTCTTTGTAGATTCTGGATATTAGTCCTTTGTTGGTTGTATATATAGATTATGAAGATTTTCTCCCACTCTGTGGGTTGTCTGTTAACTCTGCTGATTGTTTCTTTTGCTGTGCAGAAGCTTTTTAGTTTAATTAAGTCCCATCTATTTATCTTTATTTTTGTTGCATTTGCTTTTGGGTTCTTGGTCATGAAGTCTTTGCCTAAGCTAGTGTCTAGAAGGGTTTTTCTGATGTTATCTTCTAGAATCTTTATGGTTTCAGGTCTTAGATTTAAGTCTTTGATTAATCTTGAGTTGATTTTTGTATAAAGTGAGAGATGAAGATCCAGTCTCATTCTTCTACATGTGGCTAACCAATTATCCGACCACCATTTGTTGAATAAGGTGTCCTTCCCCACTTTGTTTTTGTTTGCTTTGTCGAAAATCAGTTGACTGTAAGTATTTGGCTTTATTTCTGGATTCTGTGTTCTATTTGATTGGTCTATATGCTTGTTTTTATGCCAGTACCATGCTGTTTTGGTGACGATGGCCTTATAGTTTGAAGTCGGGTAATGTATGCCTCAAGATTTGTTCTTTTTGCTTAGTCTTGCTTTGGCTATGCAGGCTCTTTTTTCATTCCATATGAATTTTAGGATTGTTTTTTGTAGTTCTGTGAAGAATGATGGTACTATTTTGATGGAAATTGCATTGAATTTGTAGATTGCTTTTGGTGGTATGGTCATTTTCACAATATTGATTCTACCCATCCATGAGCATGGGATGTGTTTCCATTTGTTTGTGTCATCTGTGATTTCTTTCAGCAGTGTTTTGTAGTTTTCCTTGTAGAGGTCTTTCACCTCCTTGGTTAGGTATATTCCTAAGTATTTTACTTTTCTTTTTTTTTTTGAAGCTATTTTAAAAGAAGTTGAGTTCTTGATTTGATTCTCAGCTTGGTCGCTGTTGGTATATAGCAGGGCTACTGATTTGTGTACATTAATTTTGTATCTGGAAACTTTGCCGAATTCATGTACCAGTTCTAGGAACTTTTTGGATGAGTCTTTAGGGTTTTTTAGGTATATGATCGTGTCATCAGCAAACAGCAGCAGTTTGATTTCCTCTTTACCGATTTGGATGCCCTTTCTTTCTTTCTCTTGTCTGATTGCTCTGGCTAGGACTTCCAGTACTATGCTGAATAGAAATAGTGAAAGTGGGCATCCTTGTCTTGTTCCAGGGGTAATGCCTTCAACTTTTCCCTTTTCAGTAAAATGTTGGCTGTGGTTTGTCATGGATGGCTTTTATTACCTTAGGGTATGTCCCTTCTATGCTGATTTTGCTGAGGGTTTTAATAATAAAGTGACGCTGGATTTTGTCAAATGTTTTTTCTGCATCTACTGAGATGATCATGTGATTTTTGTTTTTAATTCTGTTTATGTGGTGTATCACATTTATTGACTTGTGAATGTTAAATCATCCCTGCATCCCAGGTATGAAACCAGGGATTTTTGTTTTTTATTTGGTTTATGTGGTATATCACATTTATTGACTTGCAGATGTTAAACCATCCCTGCATCCCTGGTATGGAACCCACTTGATCATGGTGGAGTATCCTTTTTTTTTTTTTTTTTTTTTGAGACAGAGTCTCGCTCTGTTGCCCAGGCTGGAGTGCAGTGGCACAGTCTCGGCTCACTGCAAGCTCTGCCTTCCATGTTCACGCCATTCTCCTGTGTCAGCCTCCTAAGTAGCTGGGACTACAGGCACCTGCCACCATGCCCAGCTAATTTTTTTGTATTTTTAGTAGAGACAGTGTTTCACCATGTTAGCCAGGATGGTCTGGATCTCCTGACCTCGTGATCTGCCCGCCTTGGCCTCCCAAAGTGCTGGGATTACAGACATGAGCCACCGCACCCGGCCATGGATTATCTTTTTGATATGCTGTTGTATTCCGTTAGCTACTATTTTGTTGAGGATTTTTGCATCTATGTTCATCAGGGATATTGGTCTGTAGTTTTCTTTTTTTATGTCCTTTCCTGGTTTTGGTCTTAGGATGATACTGGCTTCATAGAATGATTTAGGGAGGATTCCCTCCTTCTCTATCTTTTGGAATAATGTCAATAGGATTGTTACCAGTTCTTTGAATGTCTGATAGAATTCAGCTGTGAATCCATCTAGTCCTGGATTCTTTTTTTTGTTGGTAACATTTTAATTACCATTTCAATCTCACTGCTTGTTATTGGTCTGTTCAGAGTTTCTATTTCTCCCTCGTTTAAACTAGGAGGGTTGTATATTTCCAGGAATTTACCTGTCTCCTCTAGGTTTCCTAGTTTATGCACATAAAGGTGTTCATAGTAGCCTGAATGATCTTTTGTATTTCTTTGGTATTGGTTGTAATATCTCCCGTTTCGTTTCTAATTAAGCTTATTTGGATCTTCTCTCTTCTTAATCCATTAGTCTATCTTTTCAAAGAACCAGCTTTTCGTTTCATTTATCTTTTGTATTGTTTTTGTTTGTTTGTTTGTTTCATTTAGTTCTGCTCTGATCTTGGTTATTTCTTTTTTTTTTTTTTTGAGACGGAGTCTCGCTCTGTCGCCCAGGCTGGAGTGCAGTGGCGCGATCTCGGCTCACTGCAAGCTCCGCCTCCCGGGTTCACGCCATTCTCCTGCCTCAGCCTCCCGAGTAGCTGGGACTACAGGCGCCCGCTACCACGCCCGGCTAATTTTTTGTATTTTTAGTAGAGACGGGGTTTCACCGTGTTAGCCAGGGTGGTCTCGATCTCCTGACCTCGTGATCCGCCCGCCTCGGCCTCCCAAAGTGCTGGGATTACAGGCGTGAGCCACCGCGCCCGGCCTGATCTTGGTTATTTCTTTTCTTCTGTTGGGTTTGGGTTTGGTTTGTTCTTGTTTGTCTAGCTCCTTGAGATGTGACCTTAGATTGTCTATTTGTGCTCTTTCAGACTTTGTGACGTAGGCATTTAATGCCATGAACGTTCTTCTTAGCACCACCTTTGCTGTATCCGCACTGCCTTTGCTGTATCCCAGAGGTTTTGATAGGTCGTGTCACTATTATTCAGTTCAAATAATTTTTTAATTTCCATCTTGATTTCATTGTTGACCCAATGATCATTTGGGAGCAGGCTATTTAATTTCCATGTATTTGCAGGGTTTCAAGGGTTTCTTTTGGAGTTGATTTCCAGTTTTATTCCACTGTGGTCTGAGAGAGTACTTGCCATAATTTCGATTTTCTTATATTTGTTGAGACTTGTTTTGTGGCCCGTTGTATGGTCTATCTTGGAGAATGTTCCATGTGCTTATGAGTAGAATGTATATTCTGCAGTTGTGAGTAGAATGTTCTGTAAATATCTGTTAAGTCCATTTGTTCTAGGGTATAGTTTAAGTCTGTTGTTTCTTTGTTGACTTTCTGTCTTAATGACCTGTCTAGTGCTGTCAGTGGAGTATTGAAGTCCCCCACTATTATCGTGTTGCTGTCTATTTCATTTCTTAGGTCTAGGAGTAATTGTTTTATAAATTTGGGAGCTCTAGTGTTAGGTGCATATATATTTAAGATTGTGATATTTTCTGGTTGGACTATTTCTTTTATCATTATATCATGTCCCTGTTTGTCCTTTTTAACTGTTGTTGTTTTAAAGTTTGTTTTGTCTGATATAAGACTGGCTACTCCTGCTTGCTTTTGGTGTCCATTTTCATGGAATATCTTTTTCCACCCCTTTACCTTAAGTTTATGTGAGTTCTTATGTGTCAGGTGAGTCTCCTGAAGGCAGCAGCAGATACTTGGTTGGTGAATTCTTTTCCCTTCTGCCATTCTGTATCTTTTAAGTGAAGCATTTAGGCCATTTACATTCAACATTAGTGACATGGGTTGACCATGTCCTGGCCCAGATCTCATCTTGAATTGTAGTTTCCATAATCCCCATGTGTCATGGGAGGGCCCAGTGGGAGCTGTTTTAATCATGGGGGCGGTTACCCTCATGCTGTTCTTCTCATGGTGGCGGGTGAGTTCTCATGAGATCTGATGGTTTTATAAGGGGCTTGTACCCCTTTGCTCGGCGCTTCTCTCTCCTGCCACCATGTGAAGAAGGACGTATTTGCTTCCCCTTCCGCCATGATTGTATGTTTCCTGGGCCATGCGTAAATGTGAGTTAATTAAACCTCTTTTCTTTGTAAATTATCCAGTCTTGGGCACTTCTTCATAGCAGCGTGAGAACGGATTAATACAGTTAGTATTGAGATGTGAGGTACTATTCTATTCAACATGCTATTTGTTGCCTGAATGCCTTGTTTTTTTCATTGTGGTGGTGTTTTATAGGTCCTGTGAGATTTATACTTTAAGGAGGTTCTATTTTGGTGTATTTTGAGGATTTGTTTCAAGATTTAGAGCTCCTTTTAGCAGTTTTTATAGTGCTGGCTTGGTAGTGGCGAATTCTCTCAGCATTTGTTTGTCTGAAAAAGACTGTATCTTTCCTTCATTTATGAAGCTTAGTTTCGGTAGACACAAAATTCTTGGCCAATTGTTTTGTTTAAGGAGGCTAAAGATAGGACCCCAATCCCTTCTAGCTTGTAGGGTTTCTGATGAGAAATCTGCTGTTAATCTGATAGGTTAATCTGATAGGTTCCTTTGTAGGTTACCTGATGTATTTGCCTCCCAGCTCTTAAGATTCTTTCCTTCATCTTGACCTTAGATAGCCTGATGACTATGTCCCTAAGTGATAATCTTTTTGTGATGTATTTCCCAGGTGTTCTTTGAGCTTCTTGTATTTGGATGTTAGATTTCTAGCAATGCTGGAGAAGTTTTCCTCAATTATTCCCTCAAATATGTTTTCCAAACTTTTAGATTTCTCTTCTTCCTTGAGAACACCAATTATTCTTAGGTTTGGTTGTTTAACATAATCCCAAACTTCTCGGAGGCTTTGTTAATTTTTTTAAATTCTTTTTCTTTGTCAGATGGGGTTAATTTGAAAGCCTTGTCTTTGAGCTCTGAAATTCTGTCTTCTGTTGGTTCGATTCTGTTGCTGAGACTTCCAGTGCATTTTGCAGTTCTCTAAGTGCATCCTTAATTTCCAGAAGTTGTGATGGTTTTTTATTTATGCTATCTATTTCACTGGAGATTTTTCCATTCATATCCTGCATCATTTTGTTTTTTATTTATTTAAGTTGGACTTCGCCTTTCTCTGGTGCCTCCTTGATTGGCTTAATAGTCAACCTTCTGAATTCTTTTTCTGGCAATTCAGAGATTTGATCTTGGTTTGGATCCATTGCTGGTGAGCTAGTGTGATCTTTTGGGGGTGTTAAACAACCTTGCCTCTGCTGTATCACACAGGTCATCAGGGAAGTTGGGGAAAGCTGGCAGCCACAGCCCTCACCCAGCTCCTATGCAGCCCACAGCCCAAAAGGCCAGTCTCCCTCCCACCGTGCCCCCACAACAGCGCTGAGTTTATTTCCAGGGCTGAGAACTTTCTCTAGGCTACATGCCTCCCAGCTGAGAAAGCAAGCAGACTCACAGTTCCTGGCTGTCCCACAGAGCCTGGAGGCAGTCCATCTCCTTTAAAGGGTCTGTGGATTCTCTTGGCTTTCCTGGTATGTTCCTGCAGTAGTTCTTGGAGCAAAAGTTCACGATGTGGGCCTCCACACACTGCTCTGTTTGCCTGAGTGGAAGCTGCAAGTTAGTCCTTCCTTCTATTTGCCATTTTCAGGTTCAGGGCTCACTCCTCACTTCTTCTAAGTTCTCCAATTGCAAAAGCACATTCAATATTTTTAATAAAAAACATATGCTTTAAATATTATCCAATTAATTACTAACAGTACCCGACTAAAATATGTAACCTGGAGGAAAAAGAAAGACAGTCTGTTGGTAGTTCAGTGCTGTATGTATCCCAAGATGTGTTTTGATGGCCTTTTGTCACCAACTGGGACAGCATTGTGTCACTTGAGTTCTAGATTTGCGAAAATATTGACTGGCTGCCGTGTGTGCTCAGGATCCTGTAGCATAGCAGTGAGGAATGTTCAATGATGTTTTCATCAACCTGTATTTAGTGATCAGTATTGGTTACAGGGACTGCCACTCAGGAAGGGATATAGGTAATGGAAAATTAAAGTGAAATGAAAGGTGTTGGGAAGAAGCAGTAATTAATCCTGCTTGTTGAGGTTTCTAGGTGGGAATGAGTAAAAATTAACTTTTCTGAGGGAAAATGATGTCAAGTGAATAAAGGCTAGAATCCCTGCCTAACACTTACTGTGTTGTTCCTACACAAAAATCAAGCATAGTCAAGTCAACCATCCCTGGCTCCAGCTTTACCCAGGCTCTATAGAAGGGGTGCCTAGTGCCTGCAATTCTGATGACTCACAGCCGTCATCACCCAGGGGTAGCCCTTCTCAACTGGCCAGGAACAGGGCCCTGCTCTGGGGGGAAGGGTACATGGTAATCTCTTGTACAGTGAGGGGATATAGAGTTTTAAAAATCATAATGTTGTAATTATCAATTTTGTTTTACTCATAATAGTAATATTGAAATTTTAAATGACATTATAGAAGATATAGATATTTGCATTTATCAAAGGGCCATACAGTGTTCAGATGTGGGGAAAACTGCCCTGGGAAAGATTGTAAAGGTGATGGGAAACATTTATACTTTCTCTGCGGTCTGCAGTTGTGGCTGCATTTCATAAGGATCTGTTTTCACCTTGGTGATGGCCTTAGTGTTTCTTAAGAATGGAACCAATCCCCTCTGCCACCACCAGGGGTCCTTTGATGCCTGGGTGCCTCCTTTACCTTCCTAGGTGTGCAGAAAGTGGGTGCAGAGCTTTTCTGGGCAGAGAAGGAGCTCACCCTTTGGCAGCTGCTCCTACTCATCCCACTTTCACTTTCCTTGTGGCCACTGGCAGTGTTTTCTTAGATTAAAGGTTGTTCTCCCTTTATAGTTAAGAGTAATATTTACTAAGTTGTGTTGAAACTGATGTGGGCAGTGGACTGTCTCCTGCATTTCATTTAGTAGGCTCTTACTTCATCCTTTAACTTTCTAAACTGAGTTTCTTTCTCATGCGACAGTGAAATTGTGTCCCCTCATACTCCATGAGTCGGGACTGCAGTGGGAGGCTGGACACTGGATTACCTCTGATCACCAAGGCATCTTTTCTCAGATGGCCACCACTGTGCCACCCCAGTTCAGGGTCCTTTTAGAGACTCTTTGATTTCTAGAGTGTTTATTCCTATTCTTTGGGCTTTTAAACTTTTGTGTCATTCCTTGATCTAACCAAACTGTCAAGGCTTCAATTCCTGGATCTGTAAATGTCACCTAGCCATGGCTTTCACTGAAGGAGCCTGCGGGGGTTTCTTTGGAACAGCCACTTGTGCTTGGTGTCCACTGGCCTGGCCACGCCTCCTCTTCTGGCCTGAACCTGAGCCCTGGCTCTCTAGCTATCAACATGGAACCTCAGATCAAAGATGAGGGCTGGCTAGATGGTCATCTTGGCCTTGGATGGTCACAGACCTCTCTGGGTCTTATCTCCCAAGGGCCCCAGGTGACCTGTATGACAACATAGGGGGTTCTCTGGCTTGTGAAAGAACAATGCTGCCGCCCTCCTTGGCTCCAAGGGCTTCCAGACCAGAAAGTAGTTATTCCTGAAGGACTTGGCACCCTTCCTCCCAGGCAAGGAGGAGGGAGAGCCTTCCTGAAGAAGTGATGCTGTGGGCCCTGTGCGGGGGCTCACACCTGTAATCCCAGTGCTTTGGAAGGCCGAGGCAGGCAGATCACTTGAACCAGGAGTTCAAGACAAGCCTGGGCAACATGGTGAAACCCCATCTCTACAAAATATGCAAAAAATTAGCTGGGTGTAGTGGCACACTCCAGCCTCCCAGCTACTCAGAAGGCTGAGGTGGGAGGATCACCTGATCCCGGAAGGTCCAGGCTGCAGTGAGCTGTGATTGTGCCACTGCACTCCACTCCAGCCTAGGTGACAGAGTGAAACCCTGTCTCAAAAAAAAAGTAATTTAAATATTGTTTTAAAAAAGAAGTCATGCTATGTAAGTCTTGTCCAGGAAATGTCTCCTCCAGACCAGATGCTCTTGGTCATCTAGATGACCTGAACAATTGGGACAATGTCCTAGTAACATCACTGAATGTGTCAGTATCATGGGGCTGAGGATAATACACAAGAAGATTGTAGACCTCGCTGGCATCTGAAACAGCTCACTGCCATATTACAGCAGAACCTGGGTGGAAGATCTCCTCTTCGCATTTCTGTTTGCAAAATAACATCACACCTGTAGATCTAGTTACAGTGAAACTAGAAAGGAGCCATGCCAAAGTCATTTTAAAAAGAAACTTCATTCTTTGCCCTGTGATTTGGAGGCAAACTGATTACATGTTATTTTTACATTATTATTTGCAAAAATATGAAAATTTCCCCCTTTCTCAGAATTGGTGTCACCTTCATTGTCTTTTTGGTCCTCCCATCTGGGAACATCATTCCCATGTCTTCCTCACTTTGTTGCCCTCTTACCTATGTTGCCATAACACACATAGTTGATGGTCATTCCAGAAGTAATTGTAGCTTTCGTATATAATTATATTACTTCTTTAAGATTAGTCATAGTTTGCTTTTGATGTTAGGGACTTTGATTCTTTTTATTTATAATTATACCTCTACTTTACAAGTGTCAAAATACTGCCCCTGTCTCAGCCTCAGGCCACTGCTCTAGTCCCCTTGGTTGATGTCCCCAGGACACCCCCAGCCCACTGTTCTCCATGCTCATATCAGGATGTTTCAAAAAACCGTCCATTCAATTCAGCCTTTTAAGCAACATCTGTTACTAGCTTTTTCTCTTCATCCAGTGGAGGAGATATGGCTTATTTTAACCTTTCTTGTTCCTGAATAATTTATTAATGTTTCTGCTCCCTTTTATGTGTTTAGTAAACTGCAGTCCCTTGCGGATCGAGGTTTCTGGTTCTTGCCATGCTCTTTGTTGGAGGTGCTCTTCAGCAGCTCTCCATCACCAGCCAGTTGGTGACAAGAGGCCATCAGAACACATCTGGGGCACACACAGCAATGAACCACCAAGGGGCTCCTTCCATTCTCTTTCCTCCAGGTCACACCTTTTAATGGGGTGCAGTTGGTAATAAGTTGGATAATATTTAAAGCACATGCCTGTTTTTTACTTATTAAAAATATTGAATGTGACAAAGTTGTAAAAACAAACAAAAATGAACAAACAAAAAATATTATATGGCATTAAATTCATCCCCCAAGGAGCTTCTGTTCTAGGAAGACACCTTCTCCCCCAGGCTCCTGTGGCTTGCCATGGACAAGGGGGGAATAAACTGTCCTGTTGCTCTCTCTGACTCTGGAGTCCAGGGAGTCCTGCCTGAGGATTCTGAGGAAGTTGTGACTTCAAGGATTCACCTGCCTCTTTTAGCTAGGAGAGTAGGAGACCTGGTCTAAATCATTTGTGTTTAAAGGAAGTGTCTCCGCATCTGAGTTTCAGCTGCTCTAGCGTTTGTGATTTTGCCAACTGTCTCACTGTGGTTTCCACATTTTCTTATTCTTGTTCCCTTTGGAAGCCTTTCTTTAAAAAAAAAAATCATCAAGGACTTCTGGATATTTTTTAAAACTTGATTCTCTTTTTCTGAGACAGAGTTTCCCTCTTGTCACCCAAGCTGGAGTGCAATGGTGCATTCTCGGCTCACTGCCACCTCCACCTCTCGGGTTCAAGCGATTCTCCTACACTAGCCTCCCGAGTAGCTGGGATTACAGGCGCCCGCCACCACGCCTGTCTATTTTTTTTGTATTTTTAGTAGAGACAGGGTTTCACCATGTTGGCCAGGCTGGTCTCAAACTCCTGACCTCAGGTGATCCACCTGCCTTGGCCTCCCAAAGTGCTGGGATTACCAGCATGAGCCACTGCGCCCACCCAAAAAAATGATTCTTAAAGTTTTTTGTTGTTTGTTTTTTTTTTGAGACAGAGTTTCACTCTGTCACCCAGGCTGGAGTGTAGTGGCGCAATCTCGGCTCACTGCACCCTCCGCCTCCCGGGTTCATGTGGTTCTCCTGCCTCAGCCTCCTGAGTAGCTGGGATTACAGGTGCCTGCCGCCACGCCCAGCTAATTTTTGTATTTTTAGTAGAGACGGAGTTTCACTATGTTGGCTAGGCTGGTCTTGAACTCCTGACTTCAAGTCATGTGTCCACCTCGGCCTCCCAAAGTGCTGGGATTACAGGTGTGAGCCACCGCGCCCGGCCAGTTCTTAAAGTTTTAAGCACTCTTTAATATCTTGCTAAAATGTGTGCATACAGATCAAGATAGGGTTAACCTGGTGTATCTGGAGCCAGGCTGCCATGGTTTCAGAGATTTAGCAGAAGCAGAAAATCTGAGCCAGGTGTGACAAGACAAAATTGGATCCACACCAATAATTCAGAGATACTCGCAAGATCTCATGGATTAGAAGTGTGATCCAGTTGAATCTGAATCTCAAAGCACAGGTGACCCCAGTGGATAGTTGGGTGATATTATTATAGTACAAAAATGAAACGTCTAGATCCAACATCAGGGTAGGGGCCGGGCAGCCTGTAGGTTAGGAGCCAGCTCTGGAGCCAGACGGCCTGGGCTCAAACCTGCTATAACCTGGTGCAAGTTTCTCAACCTTTATGTGCCTCTGTTTTTTCTTTAAAATCATAATGGTATGTCTCTCATAGGGTGGTTATGAGGAGTAAATCAAATGTGCATAGTGTTTAGAACAGTGCCTGGCGTGCAATGTGATGTAAGTGTTGGGCACTATGAATTTAAATTACACACAGGTAATATAACAGACATTAAAAGTTATATCAACAAAGGAGGTTAAAAAGAGGTTTTGCTGTACAAGAGCAATTAGAAATGCAGGAAATGGGGAGTTAAGTAGCCAAGATTGGCATGAACCTGGCACAGGGAACCCTAGGAAGCATAGGACTGATGCCCAGACCCATGGACCTGAGCCCCACAGCCTGGAGGAACCATCTAGATGGGTGCGTCCACTCCATGCTGAAGCCTGGGGGTTCTGCAGAAGGATCTCTTGGTTTAGTTACTAGGTGATTTCGTGTATATTTGGGGTATCCATAACTTGGAGAAAATATCAGTGTCCACTGATAGAACATGAAAGGACAGAGGCGATGAGCAGCCCTGATGAGGGCTTGCTGCCTCTGACGACATTTCCCAGACCCAGGGAGGTGGGTCAGTTTTGCTTGGTCATTTTGTGTTAGCATCCAGCTCTTTCTGGCCACCTGTGGAACCTCATGGCCTGTAGCGTTGGTTGGTATGTGAGGATTCCAACTCCCAGATTTGGGAGGTGGCTGTAGTTAATCAGACATGACTAGCTTCCTGTTCCAGAAGCGGTCAGAATGAGTGTGTGCCTGGGGATGGCTGGAAAGCCAGCCTCTGGCTTCTATAGGCACCTCACTCTCCATGGGAAGTAATTTGCAGTCTCAAAATATCTCCTTTCAAAGTCCTTTAACTTCTGTTTTGGGAAATTTTGCTCTGAAACCCAGATGTGCAGAGAAAGCAGGGCTCAAAAGATCATTTGAGAAACAGACATTACACCTTTGTTTCCCCTTTTGAACTGACATCCACCCACCCCACGGTTAGCTCATGCAGTTAATGGCCTGTGTCATAGACTCCCTCACATGTCTCCTGTTGTGTGAGCGGGAGCCTTTCTGGAATGGGGATTTGATTTTCTTGGCGGAGTCTTTGTTTCTAGCTGGGACCAAGCTGATAATTTGGCACCGTGCTCCTCCCACACAGCTGTAACTGCAGACCACCTTCCGCTTCACCAGAGCCACATCTGAGCTTGCTAATCATGATTTCTGTCACACTCGCCCGTCACTCCACCCCTGACCCTCACCCAGCTTGAGCTTGCTAGCCATGATTTCTGCCACCCACCCCTTCACCCAGCTTCTGAGTCAAAACCTTAGGCTGGGACCCAAATCTGCATTGTTACCAGGGCAGGTAGCTGCTGGGAACCCTGAAACCCGGTGCTTCTGACATAAAGCCCATCCTACTGGTGTGTTTTCTGTGATCCCATACATGGGATTGGCCAATTTGTGGGCCAGAGAGTGATGCTGACTTCAAGAACTTGAATATGTGTTACATGAGAAAAGAGGCTTTTCTCTTTCATACGCATGAAAAAAAGAGGCTTCACAAGTTCATCGGAATTACACTGAGGTTACTGGCTAAATTAGAATTTCTCTGGCTGCTACTGCAGGCTGCAAGCTGCAAGCTGGTCTCTCTTCCACGGTATTCATGGAGCACCAACTCAGTGCCAGGCACTGTCATAGGTCCTGGGGTCTAGTCATGGCCCTGCTCTCTGGAGACCACATACCAGGTAGGATAGAACATTTAAGACAGAAAAAAAATCTGCAAACAATGAATAAACCAGATGGTAATGCGAGGAGTGCAGCAATTGAAATAGAGGGATGGGATGGTGACGGGGGAGGAGGAAATAGAGGGATGAGGAGGAGACAGGCTGAGGACTGAGTGGCAGAAAGGAGTTGCCAGCAAAGCTCAGGCAGGGCAGGCAAGCCTGGGTGGAGGGAGCTGGTGGCTGGAGCAGAACCAAGGTTGGATTGCGGGGCAGCAGGGGACAAGGATGAGAGACAAGAAGGGGTGAACTGTAGTCCCCAGCATGGTAGGGACCTTGGAGTGGCATACTACAGCCCCCCGTTTAAAACCCTGCTTGGGCTGCCTTGAGACAAGAGTGGGATGGTCTGGGGTGCCGTCTCAGTGCAGGCAGGGGCACAGCCTTGAGGAGGGAGGCAGGAGCAGTGCGTGTGTGACAGGTAGAGGGGCTGGGCCGGGGGAGCAGGCATCCGCAGAGATGGCCGAAGTTCCATGGTCTGAGATGCTGGCTGGTGGTGGCACTGCTTCCTGAGATGGGGATGACTGGGAGAAAGGCTGGCTGGGGTGGGAGGTGGGAGCTGGAGCACTGGCACTTGTGGTTGCCTGCAAGTCTTACATTTTTACATTTTGTCAAGTGTTAAAATGAAGCAACAATCAGAGGGAGAGGTGGATGTAACTCCCTCCAGGACCGCCTGACAGGCTGCTGCAAGCACCTTCCTGCCCCTCTACTCACTGCTGTCGTGGCTGTTTAGAGCCTTATGGCACCACCAAGCCCAGACAGGCTTGGACTTTTTAATCATTATATTATGATATTTTCAGAACACTGAGGTAAACTTTTCAATAGAGATAACAAATAAAAAGTCTGTGAAAATAGGTGCTTCAGAAGCCCCACTGTCCTTTTTTGTCTGAATTGTCAGGCTGTTGCTTGATTTTTGCCCTGACTCTAGCTGCATGTCCTCAATAAGCTGCCTAGCCTTGTGAGTCCCCAGGGCCATGTCAGTGACACCTGTAGAGAAGCCCTTGCTTGTGGTTGCAAGGTGTGAATAAGGGGTGTGTGCACAGCTTGAGTGGAGGAGGCTCGAAGTTGATCCTCCCTTCTTCCCCGCCATTCCCCTTCTCAGGGAGACTTGGAGGGTGGCTTCGTTTCAGGCAGTGGCTCTCTACCTCAGCTGCATGTTAGAATCAGTTGGGGAGCTTTGAAAAGTCCCTGTGCCCAGGCCACACTTAGGTGCATTAAATCAGACTTTGGGTCGGGGAGTAGGAATGGGTGATCATGATGCTCCATCTCAGGCCTGCACACCCAAGGCTGGGGTGGCTCGGGGGAACCAGGTGCTGCTGCTGGGCTGAAGTGGCCTGAGAACTCCATTCCTAGACACCCTATGTGGCCAGCAGCCTGGCTGTATCCCAGCCACTGCACCCTGCACTCAGAGGACATGGACGGTGAGGCCACTAGTGAACAGTAACTGATGACGCATGGGATTTTCTATCCTTCAGCCAAGGGCTCCCCAGACAGATTCCTTCTGTAGGTCTTGGTTTGGGACGGGGGGCAGGGGTGAGAAGGGGTAATGGAGTAGTTGCTAGTAGATTTCAAATTGAGCAGGAGATGTAATCAAATGGTAGTGATTCCCTGAATGCTATGAATAGAAGGATCCTAAAGTTTATTGTGGGCTCAGCCAGAAGGAGTCTCTGCTACAAGGCTGGGAGGGAGAAGGGGCCATTTGAGGTCCGTGGTGTCCACCATGGTTATCACAAGTCTATGGAGTCCACCATGGCCATTCCAGGTCTGTGGGAAGCATTGCAATTCTCAGAAAGTATTTCTGTACTTCTCCACAGAGACAAGGGGATCTGGTCACACAGTCTTCCTCAGGTCAAGCTGTGCATTTGGCCAACACACTTAATGATTAGGTTCCTATTATAATCATTACTAATAATGATGCAAAAAATTAGTCAGTGCTTTTTAAAGAATAATTTGGAGCATGGGTGTTTTAATGAGTCACAAGTTAGGGGAAAATTCCATTCTGTCTCCATTTTGATACTTTTTTGGAGAAGTCGTCAGCTCTATTATCTTGCTTATATTTTTATGAAGATTTTAATTTAAGGATCCCCAAAGAAGCCAGGTTTTTTTTAAGGGGATATTGTTGCTCCCTCCCACCCCACCCACCCTCCAGCCAGGTTTGTTAAGGAGAAGAAGCCAAAGAACTGAGCTGCCAGAGGCAGCCTGGTGCCTAGGCACCGTCCCAGCCCACGCAGCCAGAGCCTGCAGTATGGCCTGGGAGAAATCTGTTTCACCCCTCCTGGCCCCAGCTCGCTTATTTGTGAAAGGTGACAGACAACAAATCAGAGACTTGCAAGCCTGGGGTGGCCAGTGGAAAAACTCGAAGGCTCGTTAAAAATTCAGAGAGTCTGGGGTCCACTGCAGGGCCTGCATTTAACCAGGTCTCAGGATTCTTAAGTGGCCATGAGACTGACTGTTCTTCAGGGTTCCTTCCTAATCATAAATTCTGTGATCCTGACATCACTTCTGCCAGTGCTCACCACTTCCCCATCGGGGAGGGTGTGGGAAGTGCTCTTGGGCCAGGGCTGTGGTTAGGGCTCAGCCTCCTCTTCACCAGGAGGACAGCCCTCCTGGAAAACAAATGGGATATTCCTGTTGTACGTCGCATGACCCCCATACTGAGGGTTGCAGACTCATGAGTGGTAGATAGCAATTGGTTTACCTAAGAGAAGCCATCTTAGGGCCAGCCAGCCGGTAATGAGTATCTGTGGCTCTGACTCCATTTGCAGCCAAGGGAGGTAGAGGCCTGCCCCATTTACACAGAAAAGGTGTGAATGTCAGCCACTGATTTCATGACAACTTAGCTTGTCTCAGGAAAGCGGGCTGTTGCAGCTCATTTCCTCCAAATCGCTTGGGTTTTTCTTTGGACTTTAGCTGCAGGTTTTAATTTCTGGTTCTGCCATTGGCTTAGGGTCTTCCAGCTGGGGATTGTGGGCACAGGCAACCCAGGGAGTCGAGCTGAGCCCCCCTCCATACCATGGCCCTGGGAGGGAGAGTGCCCTTGGAAGGAAACCACCTGGTCTGCCACTGCCCTGTGGAGGCCCTGGGAGCACAGCCTTCCTGTCCCCTCCTGTTCCCCTGGCTGCCAAGCTGGCCTTGAGACATCCCATGGCCGTGGCCCAACTTGGGGATCACAGAACACTCCAGTGAGGCTTGGTCATTCATGGCTTTAAAAGAAGCCTTGCTCCAGGACAGGTGAAGGAAAGAGCAGAAATGTGCAAATGGCTCCTGCCTGGCCTGAGGCAAGGGAGGACTGTAGGGTCCCTGGCCATTCTTTCTACCTTTGCCACCAGTAGTGCAGTTCAGTGCAGATGACCTTGTGACCTCGTGGACATCCTCAGGCTCTTAGGTGCTGCCCTGAGCAAGGCAGGCACTGCAGGTGGGAGGAACCCAGCCAAGTGGGTTCCGAGTTCCTTCCCTGAACTTGGGTGAAGCCCCCAACCCTGGGCCTGAGAGAAGGGGCTGTGGCCCTGAAGAAGCCCCTCATGGGCACATCAGTTATAAGGACAAGTGGGGGGCACCCCAGAAGCAGCCCCAGGAAGTGAGACAAAAGTCACATTGGGTTTGGTCATTTGGAGGAGAAGGCCCATCCACCCTGGCTACTGTGGAGCAGGGGGCCCCTCCCAGAGAGCTGCTGGATGCTTCTGTGCCTGACCTCACGGGGCTTCCAGCCACCATGCCTTGAAAGGAGCCTCAGATGCTCCCATTTTGATTTTCTTCCCCATGTGGAATGCCAGGGAAATGTGGCTGCAAGATTCCGTGACAAGCTGGGGAATGTTCTGTCTTCATTATTGTTTTAGTTTAGTTAAATTTACCGCACACAGTGGCTCATGCCCGTAGTCCCAGCTACTTGGGAAATTGAGGCAGGAGGATCCCTTGAGCCCAGGAGTTCGAGGTTGCAGTGTGATCACGCCTCTGCACTCCAGCCTGGGCAACAAAGTGAGACCCTGGCTCTTGAAAAAAAAAAAAAAAGACATTTTAAAAGTCTTACAAGTATTAAATGATAACAGCTAGAAGAGTCTGCAGTGAACCTGGGCTGAAATATTACAGTTTTTATTTATGGTGATATTTTATATCTGTAGTTAACAGCATGGGCTTGTGGGAAGACCTGAAATGTTAGTAATGGAAGAGGTAGCAGATGCAAAAAACTCTGGGGAGACTTTTACAGTGCCTAGCAGTTCAGCCTTTCTAGGTTTGTGAACTATTAAACCATCTCTATCCCCCTGGCAGGATGAAGGTTATAGAAATCTTGCAGTGGTGGGTCATTTGGACAGGGCATGTCCCTGGGCCAGTGTTAACTTGTGTGTCTACCCCCTACTCCAGGCCTACTGAAATGCTGTGGCCCCTGCAGAAAGAACCCTCTTACCCCCACCGCAGGTAAACTGGTCACCTTGACTCTCCGTAGCCCCCTTTCTCATCAAAAGCCATCTCCTAAGCCCTGCTTAGACCTGGATAAGAAAGGGCCAGCCAGTCCCCTCCCCAAGCCAAATGCAGAGGGCTCAGCTTCCAGGAGCCATCATGAGCCGCCCTGTGGGAGACAGGCCAGGCTCAGAAAACATGAGAATGGTCAGGAGTTGAGAGCACCTTCCTGAGGTGCTGCAGATCTAAAGGATCCTTAGGAGGGTAAATTAAAGCAGCAGACAAGGACTTTTGATTGACAGTCTGTGAAAGGGGCTTCTCCCACTGAAAGCCACAGGGAGCATGGTATTGCTTCCAGCCCTGGGTGGCACTTGGGGCTCTCAAGATGAGTAGCCAGGTACTGGGGGTACCAGCCATGTTTGCGCTCAGAGTTTTGTTTTTCCATAGGTGAATCACTGTTATCAAAAATCTGTTTGAAGCCAACTTCCACAGTATTATAGTTATTCATTTATTCAACGAATAGGGCAGAGCTGTAGTGGTGTTTTCTAGCCATAAAACCGAAGTGACTGGGAGCTTCAGGGCTGGGGTAGGGGAAGGTAGGAGCAGCAGAACTGTCCCCTACGCCGCTGCCTGACTTGTGGGAACAGGCTCTCCCTTCTGACACCTCCCTGGAAGTCTCCCATCCTGCCCTCGAGGAGGGCACCTCTATCTTGACGTCACCCTCACAGAGACTTCATGGGTTGTTCCCAGTGAGGATGGGGGCGGAGGGGTGAGTGTAAGTCCTGTGGCTGTACTAGGGACAAAAGGCTGGTGAGAAACATCTGATGATTTGGGGCATCTGTTCTGTGCCAGGGACTTCATGGACAACAATACTTGCAGCCACCCTGCAAAATAGGCACTATTGCTCTCACTGCAGATTTGGAAACTCCGGCTCAGTGAGGTCAAACTGCCAGGGTCGCTCAAAGCACAGGGGCAAAGCAAGCACTTGGTCCCAAGCCTGTGCCCCGTCCTCTCTCAGGCCCTGTCCGCCTATTCCCCTCATCCTGGCCATCCAGGGAGGAGGAGACGCCAGCTGCTTCTCATTTCAGTGTCCTTAAAATCCCTGCTGGTCTGGGCTCACACAGTGCGACATTGCATTTCCACCACACCAACTGTCTCCCATCTCCTCAGAGTCAGACCCAGGGACTTGCAGGAAGCTGCAGGCAGCATCAGAGTCACCACTTCCCTGGGGTCAAAGCCGCTGGCCAGGCTTCCACAGAGAGCAGAGGCCTCGGCCACTACTTAGGCTTCTGTGGCTCACCTGGTGTCCTGTTTTCTCTTAACAGCAAATGAAGCTCGTGACCGAGAACCTGAAGGAGGAACCAATGGAAAGCGGGAAGGAGAAGGCAACCTGAGTGCCCAGCGTGCCCAGCTGCCCTGTTGGCAGAGGCCTGTGTCTGTGCCACACCTGCCACGGTGGCAGGGGGGGTACCCGGGGCAGCATCGTGGCTCCTGAACCCAGACCCAATGCTTAGCCAAACGAAGTGGCTCCCATGTGGCAAGCACCCTTCTCAGTTTCGCAGTGGCTTGGCTCGGGATCCTTGGCAGTTCCCCCAGCCCCACCCTGTCTGCTCCTTCCCAGTTCCTTCCCGGGCCCCACACGCTGCTCCAGCTGCCAACTTTGCTGCAGAGCCACTGCCGCCCTTGAGCCTCTCACCATGAGTGAGCCACCAGCTCTCCACGTTCCCCTCATAGCAGTGTCACTCCCAACCCCACCATGGCCCAGGGACCCGTGGACAGGTTGGGGATGGGGTGTGTGCCCACTGTGCTCATCACAGGAGCCTCAGTTGAGAGTGAGCGGGGTACAGTAAGGCAGTGCTTCCCACACTGGACCTCTTTCCTGGTTCTCTTTTGCAATACATTAACAGACCCTTTATCAACATAAACAATAGTAACTGAGCTATTAAAGGCAACCTCTCTGACTCCTTCTGCCTACATAGGTACCGCAATGGGCTTCCCTTTTCTGAAGCACTTGGTGAGGTCACTGAAGGTGGAGCGGTGAGATCAGGAGCCCAGGGTGAGGGGCTTGGCTGGAGGCCAGGCACCAAAGCTTGTAGCTGAAGGCTGGGCCATTTTTGAGAACTGCTGCTGGTGGTGCCCACCTACAGGGACACTAGGGCTGCTTTCACATGCAGGGTGTACCCATGGTGCCAAGCCAAGGGCCAGCAGCCACTCCTGGTGCCCTGGCCTGGGCTTGGGCTTGCAGAGAAAAGGGCCCTCCTTGCCCAGTGGTGCTGCCCACCTCCCTAGCTGTGTCCATGGACTGCCCTGCATTCACAGGCACAAGAATGCCATGTAGGCCAGTGCTGCCCACGTATACAGCCCTTCCCACCAGCGCTGGCCGTCCTGCTGTAGCCAAGACACTACAGACCCGTGGGCACCTCCACTCGGACAGCAGCAGATGCCCTGGCCCACCCGGAGAAGGTGAGAAGGTGAAGAGCGGGGAGGGCCGCCATGCTTCCTGGTTGGCAGAGGCCTGTTTCCCTCACCTCAGGAGTCGGGCATCTTGATCCCTCCTCCACCTCAGAGATGGGGCAGCCTCCTCAAGCCAATTCAAGCACCACTTGTCTTTGGAGGTCCCGACTCTCCCTGTCTGCCCCTTCATGGGTGTTTGTGTTGGTCCCGTGAGCCCATTCTGTTTTACAGAGTGGACACATGTCAGTGAGCTTTGTCCCTGCCCTTACATGGGATGAGCCACTCCAGGGCCTTGTTATTCGGCGGTTGTTCAGTGTTTGACAGACAGTTTCTAGAACAGGCTCATGTTTGGAAATGTCAGTGAATGGCAGCCACCAATATAGGCCTGAGTCTTGAGACCCAGGATCTTTACTCCATTTCAGCCTGGGCGCCTGTTTGCTGGGAAAGGAGAGGGTTGAAATGGCGCTCTTGGCACCAGCTCTTAGTGTCCCCCTATCCCCCAGAGCCCGGCTTTGGGAGTCAGTCGCATGAATGCAATTGGTTGTGAACCAGTGGGTCCTGGATTCCCGGAACGTGAAGCCACCAAATCACTTGCCACCTGCAGTGCCGCAGAGCCAGGTAGCCTCCTCCCAGCACTGTGACTGTGCCCTTCCCAGAAGCCGCCCATCTGCCCTTCCTCAGCGTCTGATTGGGCACAACTACACCACTTAACTAAGCCTTAGCCAGTCACTGCACAGGGGAGAACGGGACCCTCCAATGGGGCCAGACCTCAGGCACAAGGCCACGGGGGAGGGTGGATGTGGAACCAATTGGGTTGTGTCAAAAGGGATATTGGCAGGACGGGGAGGTTGCCGCGGTTTGCTAGGCTCTAGCTGGCTGGAGCTGTGGCGAGTTCCTCTTCTGTATCCCCCGGCCTGTCGTGGGTGCCATCTGGCACGCCGCAGGTGCTCAGGACTCAATGGCATAGTTGGAAGAGTAGGGGTAGAGGAACAGCGTGTCTGCTGCTTCACATTCTATAGCTCCCTCGCATCTAAGTTGGACTGAGGAAGACATCTAGGCCGATGCCGTCCCACCCACACCCTGGCCTCACACAGCCATTCCCTGCGGTCACGGTCCCCGCCTGGAACCCTGGGGGACCCCCTTCCCTGCACCTCACTTCATCCCCCAGCCCTTCTGGCCACTGGCTCGCCCACTGTTCTCTCGTTGCTGGCCTCACCTCAGCCTCAGATCCAACCCCACCACGCCCCCCACGAGCCTCTTGCGGGCCCACCCTCCCTGGCGGTGCTGCCTTAGGGGCCCCTGGTGACCCTACCCAAGAGAACCTCCCCACTTTGACCACCCAGTTCCCCCGACACCCCTGAGGACTCCAGAGGGTGAACTCCCCCCGCCCCCCGCCCCCCGCCCGACGGTTCCAGCCCGCCTTCCTCCATGGCTTCCAAGAGCTGGGAGGTACCAGCCCCGCGCCCGGCCAAGAAAAGTGCCCAGAGACAGAGCAGCCAAGAGTCAGGAGGCTGAGACTGCAGCGGCCCCTGAGGGACGGACAGGGGCAGGTAGGAAAGGCTTCGGAACCCGGGTCCAAACTCCTCATGGCTTAGAGGAGGGAGGCCCACGCCAGGGAACCACAGGAGACTGAACCCAGGTATTTGGATCCCAGGCCCAGAGCTCTCCCGGCACTGGACAGCTTCCAAGGAGGACAGCTGGAGAGCAGCTGTCGGGCAGGGCGTGGGAAAAGAACCTCGGCCACCCGGGGGAGGCCCCAGTGAGTTAAGCCCAGGCCCCGTTCTCACGCGCAAGCCCGTTCCACCTGCGACCTCGGAGAAGGGTTCCCAGGGAGCCCCCCGCCCCTGCAAGTTGCTCAGACGGGCTCTAGGTGCCCCGCGGCTCCTGCGGTATCTGCGCAGACAGCCCTGCCCGAGCGCTCCTGCCTCACCTCAAAAGTGGCCAGGGAGGTCGTGACTGTCGCATGCATCCCTAACCTGCCTCCCTCAAGCCATGAGATACAGGCTGTCTCCAAGTCCCACAGATTGTCACTGGGACTTGACCCCAGTGGGGGTTTGGCCGCAGGCCCAATTCACTTCACAGCCCAACTCTTCTCTTTCACACAACCAGCGCAGACCGTGTTGAGCCCTGTGCTGGTGACATTTCCTAGGTGCCCTCCCCATGGGGGAGGGCTGTCCCACTCCACACAGGCGGCTCCTCTCACTCTCCAGTGCACTAAAGCCCCACACAGAGGCCAACAGAAACCCCAGAGCATCCCAGGGCTGCAGCCTCCGGGCAGGGGGATCAGGCAGTGGACCCTTCCCCCTCATGGTGGCCACACTGCCAAACTCCCCATCAGCAGCTCAAAAGCTCAGACTTGAGAACAAATCTTTATTTTAGCAGCTTCACTAGCAAATAAGAAGCGAATGCTCATGGCCAACCAGCCCTGCAGCAAAGCTGGATGGCCAAGAGCCCTCTGGGTCACTGTTGCCTCACGTTGTCCCCATTTAATAAAGGAACCCTGAGGCTTGCAGGGTTCAAGTGATTTCTCCACAGCCCATGTCCACCCACATCTGTCCTTTGCCATCTGTGCCAAGCCCCGCTTCCACACAGGCTCTGCCCGGCACCTGAGACCCGTGTTCCCAGCCTCAAACCCTGTGGCTCCTGCCCTTCTTCCAGCACAAAAGTAGCAACAGGAAGAAGGAAGGCCGAAGGCCACACACTGAGGACCGAAGGGTCCAGACTGGTCCTTACTAAGTTTTAAGAACCCCATGACCCTGCAAGGACAGTGCCTGGCCAGTGCCTTGATAAACAGCCAGACAGTGTGGGCCTTGGTGAACTTCTTGCCAGTAGCTGAGTCTACAGGGTTGCCAGGCTCCAGGCCTCCCTGCATGCCCTCTACGCCCCATCCAAGGGACCTGACAGAACCTGGAGCCTCCAGCACCTCTGGAAGCCCAACAGGACACAGCCAGGGGAGCTGTGTCCTCAGGCTTGGGAACACCCTTCTGTCCCGACCACAAGATGGGCCACAGCCACTTGAGAAGGAAGATGCTTTTCCTGGTCCTGGGAAGGGAACCAGTCAGGTAGGCACCGTGGAAGGGTGTGGGGAGCCGCTTCCTAACTCTCCAGGAGTCAAAGTTAGGAGGTCTTGTTCGCTAGCCCAGGGCCCCAGTCAAGGCCTGCACCAGGGTGGGCAGGGAGCCTGAAATCAAGGCCTTGTGGCTGGAGCCAGGCTCAGCAACAGGGCCTCACGTTCCTCTGAGTGTGGCCACAGACCTTGGGAGAGCATCGCCTAGACCTTGTTCCATGCAGATGCCCAGTGCCACCACCCAGGCCTGAGAAGCCACATGGTGATGGTTTGGCCCAGGAATCTGTATCTTTAACAATGCTTGCATTGGATGCTGTTGCACGCTGAAATCCGAGAACCACAGCAGGTTAAAGAGCCTTGCTGGTTTCTGCCCAAGAGCAGCTGATGCTAAAGGCCCCTGCAGAGCCAGCCTCCTTCCCTGCCAACTTGCCACCATGGGGGCAGGTCTGGGGTGCTTCTATGGGGCTGCCAGGGATCTAGAGCCACAAGCATCCTGGGCCTGAACAGGATCCAGGACAGAAAGGAGCAACAAGGTATGGGACCCAAGAGACCAGTTTCTTCCCCACCTGGCGTTAGATGACTGACATCTCCCACCATCCTCTGTAAGCCTTGGAGATTCTTGGGCAATTCAGAGTTGGCAGCAATCTCCACTCAGCAGGGAGGAGACCCTTGACTTCCTGCTGATTGGTATGTGGGGGCCTCACATGATAGACAAGAGAGGTCTGATGAAGTTTGTCCCCTAAGTTTGTGGCACAGATCACGCTGATTGCATTTGGCTCAAGAAAGGTGGCCTCCTCGATAGATCTTATAGTGCTGGTGAATTTCTTCAGTGAAAGGGGAAAACAGTGGCACAGAGCACATGGATTATGAGGCTCCTTCCCTTGTATTATTCCCACCCACCCATTATTACCTCCTGTTTTCACCGGAGAGTCCCACGGCCCAGGGGGTGGATAGATGCAGTCACTGCAAGAAGTGGAGGCAGAGCTTCAATAAATCCAGGCCAGCTGACCCTCTGTGGGAGAAAGGAAAACGCACCCCCAAGTCTCCCAAGGCCCAGGCCTGGGCAACCAGCTGAGGTGTGAAGAGCTTCTGGCCAAATCATCAAATTAATGTGTGCTCAATACAAGGAAAATCACTGTATATTTCTGAAAAATTAACCAGAAGGGCAACAGTAGGGTAGACGTGGATACGTGGATATGTACCTCCCTTTACATAACTGTCCGGCTCAGAAAACAGAAACCAAAGGTGTCTCCATCCTAAGGGAGACTGAAGAGCAACTCACCGTCACCTCTACCTCCCCTTCCCAGAACACAAGGCCACAAACTGGCACCCAGAGTTTGTCCTAGCAAGTGGGGTCAATAAAGACAGGGAGGGCAATAGTGTGGCACAAACGACTGTTTTCTGGGACTTGCCCGCCCTTCTGCCACCATACTGGGGTGGCCTGCCTGGTCATGGTGCCCTTGTAAGCCGTTTGCTGCAGGAGCTGCTCTCCAGCTATAAATGGCTCTGTAGCTGCTGGCATTTGCACCACAACAGAAGGAAGAATGCAGGCTGGGATTTGCAGTAATAATCTGAATCCAGTGACGTGGCAGGCCTCCACCTAAAATACGTCCACTGATGCAGGATTTTGCTGCAATTCTTGCACAAACATGTTGATGACATTGATTCCTAATGGACAGAAGGCATCTTAGGGACTGAGAGGCACTTCTTGCCTAGTTCCAATTTCCTCTCAGACAGCTGGTCCCAGGGAATGGCCACCCAGACCAGGGAAGCTACCTAGAGCTGGAATTCTTTGGGAAATGTTGTGAGCCCAGGTCTTAGCCCCTGAATCTGAATGGTTCCTCATCATGAGGTGTAAGAAGTGGCTTCACCTAGTTTCATCTACATGCCTACAATCTCTTAGGACCAGATGTGTCACGGAATTTTGACTTGTTCAGGTGTTAGAAAGGTAACAAGATGCATATACATGTGTTATGCTGTTATGCAACAGCTTGAGTGTGGTATAAAGTGGACTCCTATAGTCAATTGCCTTAATATTGCTTTCCTCAGCCCTCTGTTACCAGAAGGTCAAAGGCAAAGTTGAGATAGTGCCATCTTCTCACACCTCTCCCCACCCAGCTGGGCAGCCTGAGGAGTGGGCTCCAGGATCAGGTAAACAGTGCATCCCTGGCCAAGACTCTTTTCTGAGCCTCATTGCCCCCTGCAAATGAAATGCAAACAACAGCCTGCCCTGCCCATCCCTTTCTGTGGGGTTCCATCAAAATAACAATTCTGCATTCTCTGGCTTTTAAGCCTCTGAAGTCTGCCTTTGAGAAGAGGTTCACACACCATGCCTCTTTTGCCCAAACACTTTTTTTTTTTTTTTTTTTGAGACGGAGTCTCCCTCTGTCGCCCAGGCTGGAGTGCAGTGGCACGATCTCAGCTCACTGCAAGCTCCGCCTCCTGGGTTCGCGCCATTCTCCTGCGTCAGCCTCCTGAGTAGCTGGGACTACAGATGCCTGCCACCACGCCTGGCTAATTTTTTCTATTTTTTAGTAGAGACAGGGTTTCACCATGTTAGCCAGGATGGTTTTGATCTGACCTCGTGATCCACCCGCCTCCGCCTCCCAAAGTGCTGGGATTACAGGCGTGAGCCACTGTGCCCAGTCTTTTTTTTTTTAGATGGAGTCTTGCTCTGTTGCCCAGGCTGGAATGCAGTGGTGCAATCTTGGCTCACTGCAACCTTCGCCTCCTGGGTTCAAGCAATTCTCCTGCCTCAGCCTCCCAAGTAGTTGGCATTACAGGCGCCTGCCACCACACCCAGCTAATTTTTGTATTTTTAGTAGAGACAGGGTTTCACCGTATTAGCCAGGCTGGTCTCGAACCCCTGACCTAAGGTGATCGGCCCGCCTCGGCCTCCCAAAGTGCTAGGATTACAGGCATGAGCCACCATGCCCGGCCCTCCTCTGAGACTCTTTTCGTGGCACACAAGTCATGAGTCAGTGGACAGGCAACGAGAATTTCGGGTTGAGAGCAGCATGGGTGAGCTAGAGAGAGCTGTGGAAGGGAAGGTGTCCAGGCAGAGCCAGGGGCAGGAGCAGTGTAGCTAAGAGGGAAAGAATTCCCATTTCCAAGACCCTCCATTCCATTCTTGAGTGCCCACCTGTGTTCTAACCACCTCTCTCCTCACACTTCCAGAGAGGCCCCCACAGTACCTACTCCTAGGTTTTTTTAAAATTCCCCTTGGCCTCAGGGTGACCTCTGGCTCACAGGCTGCACAGCCTTTATGAGAATTCTCAGGCTCACCTGCTGGTGTCCCACTCTCTGGCTTCACTCCCCACCTCCACATTTGAGTGGTCCCTGGGCTTCTGTCTCGGGCCTTTGCTGCCTTCTCTGGGCCTAAGCTCTCACCAAAGTCTCCCATTCTCAAGGGTGAGAGCATTCCTCAATACTTGCAGAGCACAGAGCTACAAAGGAATCCCTTGGCCAGGTGCAGAACCCACAGGTGCAAAATGAAAATGCAATGCCCTTTTTCAAACATTATTAAGAATTTTATCTTAGGCTGGGTGCAGTGGCTCACACCTGTAATTCCAGCACTTTCAGAGGCAGAGGCGGGTGGATCACCTGAGGTCAGGAGTTCAATACCAGCCTGGGCAACATAGTGAAACCCCGTCTTTACTAAAAATACAAAAATTAGCCGGGTGTGGTGGTGCACGCCTGTATTCCCAGCTACTCAGGAGACTGAGGTGGGAGAATCACTTGAGCCCAGGAGGTGGAGATTGCAGTGAGCTGAGATCGTGCCACCACACTCCAGCCTGGCAGAGTGAGACTCTGTCAACAACAACAACAACAAAATTTTATTTTATTTTTCAACTTTTAAGTTCAGAGGTACATGTGCAGGTTTCTCATATAGGTAAAACTGGTGTCATGGAGGTTTGTTGTACAGATTATTTCATCACCCAGGTATTAAGCCTAGTATCTATTATTTTTCCTGTCCTCTCCCTCATCCCACCCTTCACCTTCAGGTAGGCCTCAGTGTCTGTTGTTCCCTTCTATGTGTCCATGTGTTCTCATCATTTAGCTCCCACTTATAAGTGAGGACTTGTGGTATTTGGTTTTCTGTTCCTGTGTTAGTTTGCTAAGGATAACAGCCTCCAGCTCTATGCATATTGCAGCAAAAGACAAGATCTTGTTCTTCTTTATGGCTGTGTAGTATTCCATGGTGTATATGTACCACATTTTCTTTATCCAGTCTATCATTGATGGGCATTTAGGTTGATTCCATATCTTTGCTATTGTGAATAGTGCTACAGTGAACATAAATGTGCATGTCTCTTTATGATAGAACGATTTATATTCCTTTGGGTATATATCAAAAGTATATACCCCTTGGTATGTTGATAGTTCTGTTTTTAGCTCTTTGAGGAATTGTACTTTCCACAATGGCTGAAATAATTTACACTTCCACCAACAGTGTATAAGAGTTCCTTTTTCTCCACAACCTCACCAGCGTCTGTTTTGACTTTTTAATAATAGCCATTCTGACTGGTGTGAGAATGGTATCTCATTATGGTTTTGATTTGAATTTCTCTAATAATCAGTAATGTTGAGCTTTTCTTCACATGCTTGTTGGCCACATGTATGTCTTCTTTCAAGATGTGTCTGTTCATGTCCTTTGCCCACATTTTAATGGGGTTGCTTTCTTCTTATACATTTAAGTTCCTTATAGATGCTGGATATTAGACCTTTGTCAGATGCATAGTTTGCAAAAATTTTCTCCCATTCTGTAGGTTGTCTGTTTACTCTGTTGGCAGTTTCTTCTGCTGTGCAGAAGCTCATTAGTTTAATTAGATCCCATTTGTCCATTTTTGTTTTTGTTGCAATTGCTTTTGGCATTTTTGTCATGGAATCTTTGCCCATTCCTGTGTCCAGAATGGTATTGCCTATGTTGTCTTCCAGGTTTTTTATAGTTTTGGGTTTTACATTGAAGTCTCTTACCTGTCTTGAGTTGATTTTTGTATATGATGTAAGGAAGGGGTCCAGTTTCAGTTTGCATATCGCTAACCAGTTACCCCAGTACCATTTATTGAATAGGGGGTCCGTTCCCATTGTTTGTTTTTGTCAGCTTTGTCAAAGATCAGATGGTTGTAGGTGTGCAGACTTATTTCTCGGCTCTCTATTCTGTTCCATTGGTCTGTGTGTCTGTTTTCATACCAGTACCATGCTGTCTTGGTTACTGTGGCCTTGTAATATAGTTTGAAAGCAGGTAGCATGATGCCTCCAGCATTGTTCTTTTTGCTTAGAATTGCCTTGGCTATTCAGGCTCTTTTTTGGTTCCATGAGAATTTCAAAATAGTTTTTTCTAGTTCTGTTTAGAAGGTCATTGGTATTTTGATAGGAATAGCATTGAACCTGTAAATTGCATTGGACAGTATGGCCATTTTAATGATATTGATTCTTCCTATCTATGAGCATGAAATGTTTTTCCACTTGTTGGTGTTATCTCAGATTTCTTTGAGCAGTGTTTTGTTTGTTTGTTTGTTTGTTTGTTTCAGAAGGAGTCTCACTCTGTCGCCCAGGCTGGAGTGCAGTGGTGCAATCTCGGCTCACTGCAACCTCTGAGCAGTATTTTGTAGTTCTCATTGTAGAGATGGTTCACCTTCCTGGTCAGCTGTATTCCTAGATATTTTATTCTTTTTGTGGCAGTTGTGAATGGGATTGCCTTCCTGATTCAGCTCTTGGCTTGACTATTCTTGATGTATAGGAATGCTAGTGATTTTTGTACATCAATTTTGTTTCCTGAGACTGCCAAAGTTGTTTATCAGCTGAAGGAGCTTTTGGGCTGAGACTACGGGGTTTTCTAGATATAGAATCATGTGTCTGCAAACAGGATAGTTTGACTTCCTCTCTTCTTATTTGGATGCCCTTTATTTCTTTCTCTTGCCAGGACTTGCCCTGGCCAGGACCTCTAATACTATGTTGAATAGGAGTGGTGAGAGAGGACATCTTTGTCTTGTGCCAGTTTTCAAGGGAAATGCTCCAGCTTTTGTCCATTCAGTATGATGTGGCTATGGGTTGGTCACAGATGGCTCTTATTATTATTATCATTATTTTTTAGATAGAGTCTCATTCTGTTGCCCAGGCTGGAGTGCAATGGCACGATCTCCACTCACTGCAGCCTCTGCCTCCCAGGTTCAAGCAATTCTTCTGCCTCAGCCTCCCTCCCGGGTAGCTGGGACTACAGGCACGTGCCACCAAACCCAGCTAATTTTTGTATTTTTAGTAGAGACGGGGTTTCACCATGTTGGCCAGGCTGGTCTTGAACTCCTGACCTCATGATCCGCCAACCGTGGCCTCCCGAAGTTCTGGGATTACAGGCATGAGCCACCATGCCCGGCCAGATGACTCTGATTATTTTGAGGTATGTTCCTTCGATACCTAGTTTATTGAGAGAGTTGAACATGAAAGCATGTTGAATTTTGTTGAAAGCCTTTTCTGCATCTATTGAGATAATCATGTGGTCTCTGTCTTTATTTCTGCTTATGTGATGAGTCACATTTATTGAGTTGCATATGTTGAACCAACCTTGAATTCTGGGGATGAAGCCTACTTGATCATGGTGGATAAGCTTTTTGATGTGCTGCTGGATTTGGCTTGCCAGCATTTTGTTGAGGATTTTTGCATCAATGTTCATCAAGGATATTGGCCTGAAGTTTTCTTGAGTCTCTGCTAGTTTTTGTTATCAGGATGATGCTGGCCTCAAAGAATGAGCTAGGAAGGAGTCCTTCCTCCTCAATTTTTAAGAATAGTTTTAGTAAGAATGGTGCCAGCTCATCTTTGTACATCTGCTAGAATTTGGCTGTGAATCTGTCTGGTCCTGAGCTTTTTGGGGGTGGTAGGCTATTTATTACTGATTCAATTTCAGAGCTCATTATTGGTCTGTTCAGGGATTGTTTTTTCCTGGTTCAGTCTCAGGAGGGTGTATGTATGTATTGAGAAATTTATCCATTTCTTCTAGATTTTCTAGTTTGTGTGCATAGAGGTGTTCATAATATTCTCTGATGGTTATCTGCATTTCAGCGGGGTCAGTGGTAATATCCTCTTTGTTGTTTCTAATTATGTGTATTTGGATTGTCTCTCTTTTGCTCTTTATTAGTCTAGCTAGCAGTCTATTTTATTAATGTTTCCAAAGAAACAATGCCTGGATTCGATCTTTTGAATGGTTTTTCGTGTCTCAATCTCCTTCAGTTCAGCTCTGATTTTGGTTATTTCTTGTCTTCTGGTAGCTTTCTTAATTTCTGCCTAAATTTCATTATTATTTATCCAAAAGTCATTCAGGAGCAGGTTATTTAATTTCCATGTATAATCTTATGGTTTTGAACAATTTTCTTAGTCTTGATTTCTAATTTTATTGCACCATGGTCCAAGAGAGTCATTGGTATGTTTTCACTTCTTTTGCATTTGCTGACGATTGTTTTATGTCCAACTGTGTGATCAATTTTAGAGTATGTGCCATGTGGCAATGAATTTTAAAACAACAGCAGAGCATCAAACTTAGTGTGGGACTCTTCTAAGTGTGGTGCCCCCCAAATGAGTATAAAGGTCACATACACACATGAAGCCAGCTCTGCCAGCAGGACATTGACTCAGTCTTGTTTCCACCTTCATGCTGGTGTTCCCCTTAGTGACTGTTTCTACCAGTGGCCCCACCCTAACCCCCACTCTTTTCATCTTCTAATCCAGAAACCTTGGAGTCCTTGTAAAAGGATAAAGGAATCAAGAAGCAAAATGAATGCTGTCTCAGCAAAGTCCACTGCTACCTCCTGTGGCTCACACAGGGACCTCCAGATGATTGGAGCCCTGCTCACACTCTTCAGTTCTCCACTCTCTGCATTCTTCCTCCCTGCTTCGCCCTTCTTCGAATTCCCTGACCCTGATAGCGGTGCTGTGCAGACACATCACCACCTCTGATCCATCAACTTGTGCTAATTTAAATCACCATTTTCTTCTCCAAGGGCATTATGAACTGGCAAGAACCACGATTCATTTTTTTCTCTTCTGACGACTTGCCAATCTGTAACACCTTGCTCAGAGTGAGGTGTCCAGCAAGTGCTTAGTCCTGGATTCAGACGTCCTGAAAAATATGACTCTCTCCCTGGTAGTCACAATGTCCTTAGGCCCTAATAGCTCAAAAAGGGCTACATCCTATTTCCCCTTCTCATCTGTCTCTCCCCAGATCCCAGAAGTCTGAGAAACCTCGTCCCTGCTGAGCAGCTGTAGGGGGCAGAAGGGCCATGGATTGATAACCACCCGAAGTGTGACATCTCCTGTGTTTGGCCTGTTCAAGGACTAGCAAGGAGGTTATTGCAGCCAGAGCTGAATGAGCAAGTTGAGAGGAGCAGATGTGATAACTGGGGCAGAGGACACACTAGGGCCTTGTGGGCCACCACACAAGGATTAAACTTTTAAATCTGAGATGGAAAGCCATGGAAGGATTTTGAGCAGGGGAGTGACCCACTATTTAGACTGCTGTTTCTGGCCAGGATAGAATTAGAGGAATTTGATTGACCCTCTTGCCTTAAACAACTAGGAAACCAAACAAAATATATGGAGCAATAGTTTCCAGACATTGAGCAACAGACAGCATAGGGCTGTCACCCCGAGAGAAGGGAGGCAAATGAGGTGAGCCCTGAGTTGAATGCCCCAGCTCACTGCCCAAAGGCAGTTGCCAGAACACAGAGAGGGAAAGCCCAAATAGTCTGGTTGAGTTGAGCAGGTAGTTTGAAGTTCAAGATCAATGTGCAGGGCAGAGAGGAGGGAGCTGCACAGATAGTGAGCAAGCTCCAAAAGAAAATCTGTGGTCTTTGGTTGAGTACTGATCAGTACTTATGAGAAAACTACCTGAGGCTGGAGAAAGAACCACTGGAAAGCAGCAGGCTGAACAATGCTCAGAACTTACCCAAGGCTGGTAATAGTTCATGTTCCTACCAGCCAGAGTAGAAAAGCCTCAATAGAGTCCCTAGAGAGGTATTGCCTCAGTAGTGGGCCAAATTAGCCCTAGACTGAAGACTGCTCAGGATCTGCCCTAACAGTTTAAAAGTGAGACATGAAGGATCCAATGATTTTAAATAACTGCAGTCCAAAATGAAATCCAATACTTCTCACACGAATACAAAAAATTCCAGCATTCAACAATGCAAAATTCAGTGTCCAGCATTGCAATAAAAATGAATCAAGAATTTTTATACCCAATGATAATATCTTTCATAAAGGAAAAGTAATTTTTCAAAACAAAAGCTGACAGAATGTAATGCCAGCAGATCTGCATTATATGAAATGTTAAAGAATGTTCTACAGGCAGAAGGAAAACCAAACTGTGGATCTACACAAAGAAATGAAGAGTGCTGCAAATGACAAATATGTAGCTAAAATACTCCCCCCCCCCCTGTTTAATCCCTTAAAAACTAGTTAAAACAATATTTATACATATACAAAAATAAAATGTATGACAACAGTAGTATAAGGAACAGGAAGAGGAAAATAGAGGCATACAGTTGTAAGGTTTTTATATTCTACATGAAGTGATATATTAAGATAGACTGTGATATAATAAAATACATGTATTGCAAATCTTATAGCACCCCCTGAAAAACAAGAGTTACAGCCAATAAGCCAATAGCGGAGATAAAATGGAGTAACAAAAGGTGCTCAGTTAAACCAAAACAAGGTAGCAAAAGAGGGAAAAAGAACAGACGAGACAAATAGAAAACTAGGTAGGTTTAAACTCAACCATATTGACAATTACACTAAATGTAATACATCTAAACCCTCAATCAAAGACAGACATTTGCTGATGGGATAAGAAAGCAAGCTCGAACTATATGATATCTGCAAAAAACAAACTTTAAACATAAAGACACAATAGGTTAACAGTAAAGAATGGAAAAAGATATATTCTCACAAGTCAAAAAAAAGCTGGAGTTACTGTATCACTATCACACAAAGTAGATTTCAGAACAAATAGTTTACCAGTCATAAAGAAGGAACATTTCATGAGGAAAGGGATCAATTCATTGATATGACGTAACAATCTTAAATGCTTATGTACCAAACAACAGAGCTTCAAATTTTCTAAAATAACACTGCTAGAACTAAAAGGAGAAATAGACAAATCCACAACTATAGTTGGAGATTTCAACA
Organism: Homo sapiens; assembly: GCF_000001405.40. Classification (NCBI taxonomy): domain Eukaryota; kingdom Metazoa; phylum Chordata; class Mammalia; order Primates; family Hominidae; genus Homo; species Homo sapiens. Next base: position 43,352,599 of record NC_000003.12, on the reverse strand, counting down.
CTCCTCTCTCAATAATTGAGACAGAAAATCAGTAAGAATATAGAAAACTTGAACATTATCAACCAACTTGAACGAACTGACATGTATAGGACACTCCACCAATAGCACTTTCCAAGCACTCAGGAAACATTCACCAAGATAGGTCGTATGTTGGGCCATAAAACAAGTTTCAGTAATTTCAAAAGATTTAAACTATAGAAAGCATGCACTGATAAAAATAGAATTAAACTAAAAATTATAGAAACCTATGTGGGAAAACCCCAAATATTTGGAAACTAAACACGTTTCAAAACATGGTATGATTTAGCCTTTAAAATGATCTCTCATACTGCTAAGTGGAAAATAAATGAGAAAGACAAGGGCAAATGCAGGGAAACCCTTTAAGAGGCATTTACAGTTGAGTGTCATGGACTAGAGTGGTAGTGGTGGTGGCAATGAGAAGGAGTCAACTGTGAAAGGCAAGTTAAGATTTGCTCATAAACTGAATGTTGGGATGAAAAAGTGGATGACACCAAGATTTTCAGCTTGAATGAAACTATTGAAGGCTAGGAGTTGATATTTATTAAGATGGGTGCGCTAGTAAAAGGATTTGAGGGGAAAGATTAGGGGTTTTGAACTTGTAAAAATTGAGATGCTGTAGACACACAGACACATCCAAGAAGAAAAGTCAAATAGATAGTTGAAATCCAGTGTTCCCAGGGTATGTGGGCTAAATATATTTTGGGCTTCTATCAGCATATAGATACTAGACTAACTGAGATCAGGAGTCACTGCAGATAGAGCAGGGGTCCAGAATTGAACATTGGGACATTCCAAATTTAGAGGTTGGAAGAATGAGGAAGGACCAGTGGACATGAAGAGCAGCAAGGCAGAAGTGAGATACTGAAAGATGGGAAGTTCATAAGGAAGAAAGTGAGCAATTCATCAAATTCTAACATGGGATTGAAAATTGATCACAGGAAGTGGTTGCATGAGGCTGGAGTAAAGGGAGTTGCGGACAAGGTAAAGTATGCCAAAGGGCACAAGATTTCTTTGGCGGGCGGGGGGGGGTTGTAAAAGTCAATTATGGTAATGGTTGTGAGAACTGAGTAAGAGTAGCTGACCTTGGAATCACAGTAACAGGAGGAAGGGCAGAGCATGTGAATGTGTATGAAGGAAGGGAGGAAGGCAGAGGTGGGAACTTGTGGCAGTTCTCATTGCTTCCCTTTATTCAATTAGGCAGCATGGTGACCAGCAGAGTGAGGAAAGGAGATGAAATAGAGAAATAAAGTAAGTATACTTAATGGGCACCCTGGCCCCACCTATGATTTGTAGCCATGAGTTTAAACATAATAATGACTGTACTTTTTCAGCCAAATCTGGTGGTGCAGGCACAGGGCATGGAGAAGGCTGGGTCTAACTGAGGTGGGATCACACAAAGCTACACTCATGAGAAGCAATACAACACAGGACACGGTTTATATTGCTGAACACCAATATGTCACTTTATTATTTGGATTTTTTTTCCCATTTGTCACATACCTGTCAATGTTTACACAATGAGGGAAATCAACCAGCATTGGAAGCAACTGACCAAATCAGTTGATAATTCTGTACCCTCTTAACACACATCAATTTTCACTTGGTAGGGATTATCTTTAATTCGGTCTCACAGCTATTCTTAAAATTGGTGTCAAGATTGTCACATCTTTAAATACAGATAGAATTGCCAGAAGTACATAATTATATATATATACACACATACAGAAAAATACAAGACTGTTTTTCCACAATATTTAATTTATACACTACTGTAACTATATGCAACTTTTGAAGACAGGTTAAGGGGTACAAGTAACTGTTTAGAGCAAGTAAGTAGTTTGGTCCAATATTATCTTAATGTAATGGTTTTTCGCTCCCTCCCTTTTATGTGACGACATACTATGACATACAAAACATGCACAATCATTCACTTATAAACAAAGGAGTAAGACACCACTCAGACTGACATTTGTATACCCCAAGGGTCAACCACACAACTAATAAGGCTATAATACAGCTATGCAGCATAAATGGTCAACACTGCTGATCCTAAAGTGAGCACCATATATACATCTGAATATAAAAAACCATTGAAACCAAACACATATGGGTTAGTTAAAAGGTGCCATTCCAAGGCTATACATAATCACAGGAAAAAGTATTTACACTGCTTGGAAAACAGCTGCAACAAAGAGTTTATTGCCAATGCCCTTTATAAACTTCTCTCCTATGTTTAATACAGATGTTACGCTCACTATCTATGTGAACCACACATCTTATTTCTGGCCCTTTATAAGATCCCTGCTCAAGAATTTCAAGCAAATATGTTCTATGGCTTCACCCACACATCTATTCTCATAGCTTTCAAATTATAAATATCACAATGAACTAGAGCTGTAGCTTAAAACATCTAGCCTAGGTCTAGAAAGTAAAATAAGTATTTTAAGTATCATTTTTACTTAGTTTAGTAAGTATACTGTGAAATTCAGAGTTCTGAGTAAAATATATTTATCCTAAAGTAGCAGAGTCAGTGTGTACTTGAAGAAACAGTGACCACAGCAATGCAGTTCTTTGGTGATGTGCCCACTCTCTGAATTACAGGACCAGATGCGTCTCAGTCCGTCACCTCAGACACATGACTCGGGGCTGAAGAGTGGGGAAGGGCCCTGGGTCCCAGCCACATGCTATCACCAATGTTGCTAAGCACTGCTTTTAAGACTCCCAGGGCACTGCATGAAAAAACAGCAACTGGCCCCTTCCATAATCAGCAATTTGCAATATACAGTGTCCTACAAGATAGAATGCCACAACAGATGATTATCTGGTCAAAAACAGTCTTTGTACAGGAATAGGTTAAAGCAAGAGTTCTTTGATTATTGTTTTGGCAGAAAAAGGCAAAGTGAAAAACAATTCCAGAAAAAAAAGTTACGAAGCAGGCTTTGTGCATTTTTGTTTGCTGTATGTGTGAATTTTACCCTTTTATGTATATTTTTTCATCAGCCAATTTCAAAGCTAGCTGAGCCAAAGGATATAACTGAATGAAAATAACAAAAGAGATAATCTAATTACCAAACTCCTAAAAACCAAATTCCAGTAGGTTTTAATTCATGGGGTTTTGACTTTGCCAACATTTGTGTGCACCTTCTGTACTAGGCCCTATAGTTCTTCTATCTACATGGAAATCCTGCAGTGTGCCCTACAGGAAGGAATTTACACAGAGCATCTTTTTGTTCTGTTAGACAGACATACACTCTCTAAGTAGAGTTAAGACATCATCACTTCATCACATTACAAAATAAGATTGTCTGCTTGTAATTTATCACTACAGGGGAAGCTGCCTTATAAATCTAAGTACTTTATCTCACCTATTACAAAAACAAGGAAATCTTTTTCAGTTAAATTTTCAGAGCCCAAACTTTGTTTTTACACTATAGCTTAAGACAAACAGGTGTGGGTATGTTCAACTGTGGTTTAAGGTTCTCAGTGCAGACACTCACTGTCCTCTGCTCTGCACGGGCCATGGACAGCTGGGCGGCACAAGGTCGCTAGCTGGCTCCAGGCCTGTGGGCATCACAACGTTATTGCTTTGGTTCTGTCTCAGACACCAGAGAGTGTGTCTCAGAGCCTAGGGTTTCCACATCACAGAAGGTCAGGACAGGAATTCAGATTTTTCACAAAGAAAAGCATTTTTTCTCTCTCTAGGTTAAGTGCAGAACAACAAATTTCTAAGTGCTCCATTTATAAGAGGTTCCAGATATATATCTTGATTTAATCCTGATCATCCACATTAAAATTATGAATGTAAAAATTACATAATAGGCTTTTCGGCTGGGAAAGAAAAGTGTCTAGCAGCATGCACAAAGACCATGCATTGTCACATCATCAGGCGAACAAATGGAAAGGTAATAAATAATTGCTCCTAACGCCCACTTTAAAATAGTAAAACCAAATGGAACAGTGAAGTGAGCCGGTCTTCACTGCTCTGAGCAGGAAGCGTGCTAGCGGCCAGATGGGGCCACAGTCAGATGACATGGCAACAGCTGGCTGGGCTGGATGCGCACAGCAGCCCCTCCTTAGGGTTCCGCTGGATGTTCACAGAGATGGTCTTTTCGCACAGAGGTAGCTGCAGCACGTTATTTTTCAGGTTCTTGCTCTTTATCCGTTCCAATTCAGTGGTGGTATCTGCCATGTGGTCAGAGAAAAACTTTATGCCGCCCACTGCAGGGACCTGCCCTGCATTCCCTGTGGAGCTAATGCACATTTTCCACGTAGATTTCTCTTGGACTTTCACACTGGAAAATGACAAGCCATTCTGTGGATCAATAATGTACTTGGTGCTCCCATGAAGCTGGGAGCCGAGGCAGAGGCTCATGAGTTTGAGGCTCTCAACGAGCTCCCCAGCACTGCGAGAGGCCAGCTGCATGGAGTTGCTGGGGCCGGCACAGCGGCGTGTGGTACCCGATGTATTGGTGGGGTTGCCACCCGAGCCGCTGGAGGGACTGCCCCCACCAGCATTGTTCTCACTGGGGCTGGCCTTGTCCACCCCTCCACTGGCATTGCTTGGCTTGCTCTGGCCCCCGCCATCCCCCTCACTGCCAGGGGGCCCCTCGCTGCTATCCCGTCGGTGCCAGGAGTAGGTGAACCCGCTATCTTTATCGAGCCGCCGCCGGCTTTCAGAATCATCATCACTGGTCTCCGAACTACTGCAGCTGGAGCCCCGGCCCTGACTTTTCCTCCGGTGGTAGCGTTTGTGAACTGTACCTGGAGAAGCTATATTCATCTTTAACCTGCTCAACTTGGGAGGCAGATTCTCATCCATGTCAAACTCATCGTCAGATTCCCCTTCCTCAAAGATCTGGTTGAGGACGGGCGCACTCTTCCTGGATGTCAGGCGGTTGGTTACAGATGGCTTCCGGCGCAAAACCACTTGTGTTGAGAGGGACATGGGTTTCTTGTCCTCCTCATCTTCCTCTTCATCTTCTTCCACCCTGAACAGACACTTCCGCCCACTGGCTGTGGGTTTTAAGCTTGCGGGTGGCACCGTAGAGAGTGCTGGTCCAGCCAACTCAGGGAGGTCATCTTTCTTAGCTGAGTCACACAGGCCTTTGCTCCTGTGGCCATTGAGGACACTGTCAGCAGCCCGAGCAGGAGACTGAGGGACAGTCGCGTGGGACAAAGGAGTGGCCGTGAGGTCATCCTCAAGGTCCTGGGGTACATCAATTTTGGTTGGCCATGACTGCCTATGTAACAGATAGATTGGGGGGAAAAAAGCCATATAATCATTATGCAGATGATAGTAAAGTACATCACAATGAACTTACTGGGACAAAATCTACAGACTTAAAGAAAAAAGCAGCAGCCTTGCAAACCCATTCAACATCCTGTAAACATCAGCAAGGCCACCAGAAGGGCAAATGTGGTTTTGAAACATGGTTCAGTTTGTGGCTTATTGGCCAAGTGAAAACTTCATCACAGGTGTCAGAAAAGAAAATAGGGCAAAGAGCTACTCCATCTTTTCTATACAAAAGCTTTATACTAAACATTTTTTAGAAGCCCATGGAGGTTATTGGCAAAGCAAAACCTGAACACCACGTCTTGTTTCTTTGGTTCTTAGATCACATAAAGGTATATTACTACAAATAAAATTCACCTGAAATTTCCAGGGCTCCTGATTTTACCATGGGGTAAGAACTTGGTGTTTATAAAATGAAATGGAAACAGTTTAATGGATCTGAATTTTAAAAAAGTTATAACACGTATACATCATACAAAAACATATAAAAATCTCTTCTCCAATTAAAAAAAACTAAGTTAAATATAAATATCTGGCTTTTGAGACAGGGTCTCACTCTTTGTTATTCAGGCTGGAGTGCAAGGGCATGAATGCAGCTCACTACAGCCTTGACCCCCTGGGATATCAAGCAACCCTCCCACTTCAGCCTCTCGAATAGCTGGGACTATAGGCGCACACCACCGTGCCAGCCTTAAATAAGTATATTTTTAAATGCCCATACAAGAGTAGTGAATAACAAAATTCACCATTATTTAAACTTTCATTTTATCTCCCAACCTGGAGCTGGAGTTGCCAAAGTAACAAGAATACTGCTTGGTACCCAAAGAAGATGAATTTTTTAAATGAGGCTCTCTAGCTGCTATTCTGAATAAACGTCTCTGAACTGTCAACTATCCTCTCTCCCCAGGGGGGTATAGTCATATAGTTATAATAATAAAGCAGGAACAAAATTTTACCAGTGGCCACTGTATGTGGAATATCTACTAGACTTGCTATGTGCAAGTTTTCTTTTGTTTTGCACAGGTTCCCCTTTAATAAAATAAACCTGTCATTAAAAAAAAATTTAAATTTGAAGCTAAGAAGCAGTATTCTCTGAAGTGGTCATAACCGAACAATGACTAACACTGTGTGGCCACGTCCTGCTTATGGGTTAACTTCTTGGTTTTCCATTCCAGAACTATCTGGGTGCAGTCTATGAGATGCCTACCCTGCTATCTGGCTCCTCCCTAGAGAGTTCCAACAGTGCTGTCCTCGGCTCTACAGGGCAGGCTGGAGGAAGAGTCTCCGGAGTCTGCAGACAGGCCCCGGACACAGTCAGTCCTAAGAGTTCTCAATTAGAAATAATTCTAAATGCCTAGGCCCTTCTCTCAGACCTCATGTTCTTCCATACGAATGTACTGGGGCAGCCCTACAATTATTCATATTTTTAACAAAGTTAGTGCTACTATATCTGAAACAGAATCTGTTCTAGAATTTAAGAAACCTTAAGCTACTTGATTTGACAACTCCCAATACCACACCACCTCACTGCTGCAGGATCCTATCTGTACCAACACCACTCCTTTCAGCTAAGCCACATCTTATACCTACATTCTTGAGATGGCATCTGGGACTTCATTCTCTAGTGGAGTCCCTGTGTTCTCCCTCAATTCCAGGTCTAGGACCCTGCCCCTGGACTCCAGAACCTGCAGGCCAAATCCCTGTTTCTTTCTGCCTACCGAACTGCTTGTGAAGACACCCAGCCCGGCTAGGAGACTGGATATCAGTCTCCTGTTAACCACTCATCTCAACTGGCCTGTCACAAATTCTTCCAGACTACCCACTGGCCACAGAGCATGTATCTGTTCTCTGTGGCTGTGGTTCTCACTGGCCTGACCCTTCTTCCTCCATCCCTGCCCAGCTAGTTGCCATTTTAAATACAGTCTCCTGACTCAGTCCAGGTTTCTACCTCCTAGGTCATTCTGACCACAAGGCATACCCAGCAATGGAACCAAGGGAGGTCCAGGGTCTTGTCGATAACGTTACAGTGACAACAAAGAGAAGGCAAGTCAGGAGACACTGCCACTGCCAGTGGGCCCTGTGCCATAGAAAAAAAGGTGCTCATAGCTTCTCCACTTCAGAGTCTCCATGACAGCAAAAGGAAAACAGTTCAGAAAGCTCTGGTATTTTTAAATTTTTTTTATTTTTAATTTTTATAGAGACAGGGTCTATGTTGCCCAGGCTAGTCATGAACTCCTGGGCTCAAAGGATCTTCCCACCTTGGCCTCCCAAAGGGTTGAACCACTGTGCCTGGCCTACTATTTCTTTATAGCTAATGTTGGTCTCACATATACAATCAGCTTTAGACTGAGTTCTGGTATGTTTCACTGAATAGAAGAGAGTTCAAATCTAAATATTCTCTTCCAGAAGCCTGGTGGTAGCTCCAGTCTCGGTGCACCTGGCGAGTAGTGATGATCTGCCTTGGGGTTACTCTTTCTTGCCAGGGAGCTCAGGTCAGGACTAGGTTGACCGTAACCTCTGAGCATCAGTCTCTGGTTTATCTCATCCCCAAGAATTTCCTCACTCCCTGGGTTCAGTCCTCTTCTAAGCAGACACTAGACAGTGTGCCTAGTTTTTATTACAGAGGAATGCATCCAAGATATGAATAAAGTTACTAAATTCATGTTCTAGTTAAACTAGACTTCTAAATCTTTACTGTTTGGCAAGCTGGGAATGTTTTCCTCCCCCTACTCTGCCATTCCACCCAAGCAACAAAGTTCACATGGCGAGCCAACTGCAAGTAACTTAAAATCGAAATGGCTTTCTTAATCTTTTACAATCATAATATTATTATTCACAATAATATTCACACACATATATTCATAAATACTTGGAGGTACACACAGATTTACTCAGAATCAGCAGCACTCTTCTGTTTTCGAACTACAGTTCCATGGGTTACTTTATCTGAGTGCATAAACTCGAAATAAATTTCATGATGATAATGAAAAAAGTAAGCCCTTTCCATGCTTTGATTTTAAGTGGAAAGTTACTCTGGCAGAAAAGCAAAGTGGGAAGGCTGGGGGAGAGGAGGAGGAGGAGAGAGGGGGTTAGAAAAGGCTTGGGGAGCAGCACGTTCATGACTTTATTGAAGACAATGGTGGTAAAATATTCCCAGCAGTGATGGCAAACACACAAAGCCCTGGTTCTAAGTGCTTTACATATATTAATTCATCATTCCTCTCCACAACCCCATGAGGTAAATAGCATTGTTACTTTTGTTTTACAGATCGGGTAGCTAAGTCATAGAGAGGTTAAGCAACCTCCCAAGGTCAAGCAGCTAAGAAATCAACTAGCTAATGTTGACTATCCAATCCCGGAAATCCTGAGAGAACACTGTGGCATAGCAATACTCTATTTAGTTTTAAAAATTACTTCAAATAACTGAGGGAAAATTCAGCCTTGTTCCTAGAATGAAAAACTAAAGAAAATAACAGATTAATACATGTTGGATTTGGAAGAATTTAATGAAAATAACTAGCAAGACACTCTGGCTTGAGGCTGCTTCTCCAAACATGTTTTCCTGACCATGCCAACAGACACAGCCCCGGTCCCCACTGAGCCCAGAAGGGGACGGCATCCCTGGTGACGAGGGAACCCAGACCCTCATGTACACCTGAAGAGCCCGTGTGTGGCCTCTCCAATGAGGCCGTCATCACTGTTTGTACTCTCTTGCCCCAAAGAGTTAGGAAGCATTAAAAAAAAAAAAAAAAGTTCGCTATTTCAAAACGTTAAACTTACTAAAATCAGTGAAGATTTTTTTCTCACCTAAACTGGGCCTTGATATTGCTCGGGCTTGCAGATCTGGTCTGTATTTCTTTCTCTTGCTTTTCTCTCAGGATCCTTTCAGCCAGCAGGAAGTATGTGGCTGTGATATGGTTATACCTGTTGGTTTCCAGGGCTCTGAGGAAAA